>NC_000005.10:82534049-82837079 GCF_000001405.40 Homo sapiens
TCCAAGCTTTGTGTCATGCTCCAAGGAACATGCAGATGGCAAAGATGCCAGATGCCCCAACCACATTTTTCTGGGTTGAAGATGTTTAGAAAATTGAAAGCAGTATTTTTTGTGTTTTTTTTTCTTTTTCTCCATTAAGTTTCATCTTAATTATTTTTATTGGTTAAAATTATCTCCTTCCCTCAAATTGGAGATTTCTATTTCTAGAATTTTTTCACTTAGGCATTTGGGTTTTTTTCTGTGTCAGTTTTTTCTGTAATAGTTTTAGCCTCATCTCTCAAGGGATATCTTGTCTTCTATGAGGACAGTTCTATGTTGTCTCAGCAGGGCCAGCTTTTGAACTCATTGCCTTGTTTGCATTGAGGTTTACCGCACCAACATTTGCTGTCTCTTCCTGTTCTGTTTTTTTTTTTTTTTTTAATTTTAACATTTTAGTTGTCTCCACTGGGATCCAGTTAGGGCTCCCTCATGTGTGTCTATTCCAGCTTCATTATAATCTCCATCCTGCCCACTCTCAATTGACTCTCAGCTCTAACTCAGGTTAGAACCTGAGGTTAACTCACTCAGGTTCCATCTGTTGTGTTTTTGGAGGGAGGCACTAAAGCAAATCTCAAAGATGGTGGGTCACCTCAGTATCCAAATTCTGTAGAGTAGCTGAGAAGTAGTGTTACTGTATTTTGGAAGCATCTAAACCCTGACTCTTTTAAGGGCTATTCAGGAATGACACTGATGCACATTTTAAAGGTAAGGAATTAACAACCCTTATGAAATGTTACAAAGCCCTCAAAGGGCTGAATGGACTTGATACCATTCTTTGATGGAGGAGACACTATGTCATTTTCAAATAACATTTTCATCACGCTTTACCCATATTTCTACACCTTCCTTAGGGTGGTCCATAACCCAGACTCTCCAGGAATTCACAGGGAAAGTCTGAAGAAGATAAGTGGTAGCTTTCCTGATTTAGCTGTTTTAATCTATTGCTTTAGGACAATGTGTTGGGAGATAGACCACAATGATTTCTCAAACCTCAGTCAAGAATGGACTACAGTAAAGTCATATGGTAAAGGGGGGATTAGATTCCAAAGGCAGTGAGTAAGTGAAAAATCACATAGAGACAGAATAATTCTTGGAAAGCTTTAAGAAAGATTCTCTGTTGGAAACCAACATAGAGCCAGTTTTAGTTCTGATTTTCAAGCAGATGAGCACCAGATGAAGAGGTTGGCTTGTGTTTTGGGGCCATGCTATTCCAAAAATATGTGTTTTTGTAAAAAATTATCCAATCACACTGAAGGGAAAAGTGGATTCACCTCTTTCATCTCTGGCGCATTTTCTCATGGAATAGAAGGCAAGCAAGATTGCCCTCAATTGCAATCTCAATTGCAAACTCAGTTGCCAAATTTGTATGCCTAACTTTGTGTAATTTAGATACACATGTTGATGTGGCTCCAAGGTAGTTTCTTGAAGAAACATTGCCAGTTCCACTTTGGAGAGATAGAAGGGAGGTCCAGAGTCCATCCTGTTAAATGTCAGTAGCACGGATAGCGGAAATGCTGTAACGAAGGAATTAAAGAGCATGTCCTCAGTTCCTCAGTGCAGAGACAAGACTCCTATCTTCTCAATGAGTCTTTGTTCTTAGAGAAGCTTCTGAGATGAGAGGGAATGAGGCTTCTGTGGAGAAAATTTCCAGTTAACTGTATTAGAGCTGAAGCTCTAAGTGGATGAATTGTTAGTACTTGCCGATTCAGGAGGGGAACTGAAGGGAACCCTCTCCTAAAGTCTGAAGAGCCCAGGCAGTGCTGTGGCTGCCGGAAGCCTGGAAGACCCTTGCATCCCATGATGTCAGACTTCAAAGCAGGTTATTGTGAGGAAAGCACCAGCAGCAACGGGGGATCTCAGCACTGGAATCCCTGCTCTGGAAAGATTCTCTTTCTTAGAGTTTTAAAAGATATTTGGCAGCCGGGCGCAGTGGCTCACGCCTGTAATCCCAGCACTTTGGGAGTCCCAGGAGAGCAGATCACGAGGTCAGGAGATCGCGACCATCCTGGCTAACACGGCGAAACCCCGTCTCTACTAAAAAAATACAAAAAAAGTTAGTTGGGCGTGGTGGTGGTCGCCTGTAGTCCCAGCTACTCGGGAGGCTGAGGCAGGAGAATGGCGTGAAACCAGGAGGTGGAGCTTGCGGTGAGTGGAGACAGAGCCACTGCACTCCAGCCTGGGCGACTGAGCGAGACTCTGTCTCAAAAAAAAAAAAAAAAAAAAAAAAAAAAAGCTATTTGGCAAAGTTTTGCTGAAGGAGTGTGCTAATTTTAAGTTACTGTAACTCACTTTGGAGATTTCCACTGTAGCCAGTAGAATCTTTTTAAGTACTTTCCCTTTCACCCAGAGTAGGTGCAAGTGGCTGTCCTGAGCAAACAAAAAGAGACATTTCTATAGATTTCTGGGTAGGACTTGAATGAAAGAAACCTGGTTCACTTGTCCAAGGGCATTTCTGCCATAACGTTGGCAGAGGAAACAGGATGTCTATGAATTATGTCCTCTAGACCTCATCACTGAAGGGTGTACCTGTGAGCCTGCCTCATACACCAAATTGGGATCCAAGCCCTGACCAGAAGTGATTGCCATTTCTCTATTGAAGAAACTGGAGACACCAATATAGTCAGTGAGCTTTGACTGGGTGACAAATCAGTAGCATGGTTGCCATGTGGCCTCTAGGTCACATTTATCTAGTAATGCCAGTGAGCAAGTTTGTGTGTAAGAATTGCATATTCAGGAAAACTCTCCAAATTTAATGATGTATTGGGAGACCCCAGATTTGGTTTTGGATTGCTTCTAAACTTGAATGAATAGCGGGGGGACCACAACAACTCACTGGGTTTTTTTTCCTTTGCAAAGTAAGGCGATGGAGATTGGGCTGGTGGAGAGCGGGTGGGTGTTGGGTGTGAACTAGTCTAAGATGTATTGCTGGGCTAGCATTTTATGAGTCTGTGATGGGCAGCTCTCTTTGCGTAGAATACAAATGAAATGTGTTCTGAAACATGTTCTTTAATTAGTGGCCCTTGCAGGAGTGTTTCTCTGTTGATAACTACAGTTCTGTATTTTGGACTTCAGTAAACAAAAAGAACCATGTGCTCTTTAATAATCCTTGTGCTATTTGATTTCTGATGAGCAATGTGGCTCCAGAGCTGGAGTCTGTGAGCTCTTCAGGGCAAATGTGTAAATTAACTAGCTGAGGCCAAGTTGCAGAAGAGAGAGAATAGTGACTGAATACTGACCATGGACCAGGCATTCTATCAATTGCTCTACCTGCTTTGTTTCATTAATGCTCACAATAACCCTAGGAGTTTGAGATTATTTTGATCTTATTTAATAAATAGTTGTAGTGAGGCTTAGAGAATCATTTGTCCAAGCTCACAGAGCTAGAAAGTGGCAGGGACAAGATTTGAATGCAGGTTGCTTATTGCTGAGAAGGCTCTTTTAAACATAGTGTGATGGTCTGTTGACTTTTTATGTTTATTCCATTAAACTCATTTCTGCAATGCTTTGGGAAAATTGAAAATATCTTTAAAAGCTACATGTGATAAATGTTTTAAAATTGCCATCTAAAAACAAGCATGTAACTTAACCAACCATTAAAAAATTTATATAAACTTACTGCACAATAAAATGTTGTTCCAATTTTAAATTAAACAGATTAAAATAAATATCCAGTGTAATTCCCAGAACTGTCAGCTACTCACTATCTGTTCAGTCAATTAAACATCATCAGCTATTTGTGTACTCAAGAGTTTTATTGAATTAACCACCAGGCTTTTGGTGTTTTGATTGTTACTACAGATGCCACTGCTTTGCTTCGCTTTGAGAACTGCTGTCAGAAAGACGCAAGCACACACAGCTGAACTGGTGGTCTCTTCAGAGAAAATACTTGTAAATGGAAGACTGGCTTATTACTAATTACTTTTAATAAAGACTGCAGAGAGCGAAACTTGCCTCTAACATTCTCACACGTAATCTTTCTCTGCATGCATACGTAAAACCTCAAACGAAAGCCAATGTCAACAACAATATTCCCAGATAGCTTATTTCTTTCACAAAATGTCCCGAAGCCTCGAATAGCTCAGTTTTTCACAACTGAGTTGACACATTTTTTAAGAATGGGTGAAAAGCACTGAAGGGGGCAGATCCAGAAAGGTGCGTATGAGGCTAGAAGGAAGAGTGACGACTTCTTATGTTTGTATTTGCTTTTCCTTCCAAATAGGTTTTGTTCATGGGGACCTATTTGGGCAACCATGATGTTTTCTTATTTTTCATGGTATGGCAAAATATTAAAATTTTCTTACTGCTGAGCAGGAAGAGTTGTCCTAAAACACATTATGGACATTTTTGGTTTTAGTCTACCCTAGTTTAATGTCCTCCTATTACATAGCACAAAAGCCAGCCCCCACCCTCTCCATGGGGTTCAGGATATCACTTCCGTCTGTTCAGTTTCTGATCAGGCATGTGAGAGATAAGGCAGAGAAAGCATTCTCAACATGAACCACACTTCCTTATGAATCCACAATAGCTTAGGAAGACAAGCTTCATGTTCTTAAGCTTTATAGATATGTTTCCCAATCCTCCTCTGTCTTTCCCATTGTTTCTGCTGAAATAAGGCCTCTCCTGTCTTGCCCTGGCTGCTCCTGCACTGATTTTCTCACTGCATTGGCTGGTGAGCATGTTAACTATCGTGAGAATAAGCTGCTCCCTGTCCTGGCACTGCTTTTTGAAGAAAACATTTCCTTCCCTTGTGCAAGCCAAGGAGTTACTTCCGTGGGGAGAAAGCTGCAGTGCTGATTGGAAACATGCGTTATTGCTGGTTTAAATTTGGCTTATTTGCAACAGACAGAGATTGGGAGAGATAGGAGAATGGGCCTCTCCTGGTCCTGCGGTGGTTCCCACATCTGCTTCATATTAGGTGCACTGTGGAGAAAAGACTTTGAAATTAACTTTAGTTGTGGAATAATAAGGTAGGCTTCTTAGTGTGGGGGATTGTGGATGATTACCCTCCAAAATGAAGGGTTGACGTTTCATCCTCTGGGTACTTTTTCCAGGGTGGTTTGGCACTAAATAGAAACTGGAGAGGTGTCCTGCAACCTCTCTATCCCCAGTGGATGAAGGTGCTATTTTACTTCCTCTTCCTCAGAAGACTAGAGTCTGGCTTTGAGGGCATAGCGTGCACAGCCATCTGGAGTCATCACCTCCACTTCCCTAGTCCTCTGGGACCTACAGCAACCAGGGGTATTCTTGATGACATGTGCAGATTTGTGTCTACTGGGGATAAGGCAGACCTGCTGCTGGTCTTACCTGTTCTAGAGTTTTCAGGTGGCGCTCTAGAAATAGTCACTGTGGCACAGGTCTGCAAAAAGAAAAGGATATATTTTAAAAGTTTTTTGACTATCTTTCTCATCATTTCAGATCTCAACCTCTTTTGAGATAATCTGAAGAACACACCCAGACACTCATGAGTAAGTTATTTTCTGTATATTCTCATTTCTCATTTAATTGTTTTTATTTTTCTCTCCTTATATTGAATGTAAGAGCTGTCACAGCAAAGCTCTTGTTACTGTCTCGTGTTCCCTGGGCCTAAGCAATGTTTGGATATTGTAAGTACTTCAAGATTGAAGGTTGACTGAGTGAACCAAAGAATAAATGAAGGGAAGTCTCTACCAATAAAGGGTACTTCTGGAAGCTGCATTAGACCCTTGGATTCTTGATGGAGAGGACATTGGCACTGGGACAAAAGCTCTGGAGTTGCAATAGATCAGTCTGACCCCTCTGAGGTCAACTTAACCAATATCCTGGGATTAGGCAGGAGAAAGCCTAGACAGAAGAAATTAGAAGGTCGATGACCTTCCAGACTACTTTCAATAACCATGATTTGGGGAGCTTTTACGTTCACTAGGATCAGCCTCATCAGAGAGCTTTCAAAATAGAAACAACAATCATCCATTGTGTGTGGTGTAAGTTTGCAGGCAGAGGCCTCAGTTAGTTCTCTTCTTTAATGACCATCTAATTCTGCAGTTCTCTGATTTCCCCTCATTAAAGTACCCCTAGATAGTTGATTTGAGAGTTGTTTTAACTAGTCTTTTTTGATTTTAAGATTCTGATCAGAAAATCACTCAGATTACCCCAGGAAATGAAACTTTATGGTAAAGACAGGTTTTACATTTTATCATAAGGATTTTCACATTGTTATTTTATATTTGCCCTGCTAGAGAGTTAGGAAGGTAACCTCTTCATGCCTCATGAGAAGAGAAGTTGTAATTGAAATCATATATGTTGGTCCTTGTGGAAGTGGAAGAAGGAGACAAGTCATTCCACATAAGAGAACCCATGACAGGTCTAGCCTCAGCCCCCCGAAGACAGGGATGTCTCCAGGCTGTACTTGCATTTCTGAAGCAGTTATGGAGGGAAATCTCACCACAGGTGGCTGTGACTAATCACAACCCTTGTGACTAATAACTCATTTTTAAAAAATATTATCCCGAGGAGAAAACAAAGGGGCCTTTTGGAAATAATCTGAATAATGTCTGCCTCAAAGAATTCCAAACCTTCTATGTGCTAACTTATAAAAAGTCTAATTAATGTGGTACTTGCGATAATCAAGCCTCCTTAATCTTTGAACAAAATTATTTGAAATTTCTTGAGCTTGCATATAATCCACCATGGCCTCTCCAACTTCTCTGCTAGTAATGACTATAGATCTCCAAATCCTATGAGTAATTGACTTATTCTTTTGTCTAATTCAAAATTTCCAGGCATTCAGAGAACCTTATTGGCCTTCCTCATTGAATTGCAAAAGAACATGGCCTGGATTCCTACTTATGAGCCAAGTGGCCATGTTGGATTCAGTCATGTTGACTTCCATGAGGCTGGCCCTGGAGATGCCTAAACAGAAATTTTTCCTCAGAAGGAGCTATGCACATGGCAGTGATTCAGAAGCTTGTTGTGTTCAGTACAGGGTAGAATCAGAAACGTGGCTTGTTTAATTCTGTTCATTCTTCCGTATCAACTTATTAAAGAATAACGTGGAAGAATTTAGCTTCTATGGAAGCTGAAAGCAACTTTGGATAGTATTTAGATGAACCTCCACATTTTAAAGATCAGGAATCTGATAAACAAATGCCCTGGCCAAGAGCACAAAGGCAATTAGAGGCAGAACCAAAATAATTCAGGTAGACTCACTCGAAGAGTGATGACATGGCTCTGGCAAACTATCTCTGAAACAGTTGCTCCCCACATCTACCCCCTCCCCATTTTCTTCGGTAAAGAGCAGAGTTTAATTTCCAAATAAGTTCATTAAAATCATAATTAGAAAACCAAGTTAGAAGGCAATAAATAATCCAGTATTCTGGAAGGTTTTAAAATGTTTGCCTCATTTATTTTGTGAAGTGAAAATAACTTTATCCAAATTGTGGTAATATTTTTTAACGTTGTTTAGACCCTTTGACTTCTCACTATAAAATTGAATAATATACCCCTGACTACTTAAATGGAGGAAGAAAAGATGAATATTAGTGGTAAACCCCAAAATTTCATTTATTTTAGAGAGATACATGAGTTGATAAAAAAGAAATAATTTGTAGAACAAAGAAGCACAATTCATTGCCTTCAAGTACATAAAACAAATAGAGCCAGGCCAACAAATTTATCTAATGGTGTTTTTAAGGAGACTCATTATAAGTATTTAATTAATATACTATTTAATATGTTATTTTTTTGTGGTCATCAATTGTGCTTTTGGAGTATATATAAAATCATCCAGAAATGGGGATACGGTAAAATTAACTTCATTCCAGACCTTATTCTAATGAATAGCAATTTTTAGTATGCTCAGACTTAAAAGTTTATATAGTTTTGAATATTTTGGTTTTAAAATCGTGTATTTCTCCGACAGGTCTCAACATGCTTTAATATCATTAGATGAGTGTCATTATTATCTATGGACTACATTTTGCTGATGGGAATCTGAATCTCAGGACAAAGGAGGAAGGGGAGAGTGCTGTTCTCCAAACACTAATTCTTAGGCTAATAACTGACTTAGGAGATCATACCCTGCTCTTTCCATTTACTTTTCATTTAGTTCTTCAGGTGTTTGGAATAGAAAAGTGGGAAATAAAATATGGTAAGGGCAATTTATTATTAGACTGTAGATATTTTAAAGGAAAACAGCCCTTTATACTCTTTGACCCTATGACATATGTTAAAAAGCAGGAAGAACAGCAATGCCCTGTAAGTTGATATTTAGGACCTATAGGATTCATGCCCACTCTAGTTCAGGAACAACTTAATATCTACTGGTAAACATCTGGAAAACAACAAGGCCAACCCTATCACTTTTTTCCTAGTTGTGGATTGCTGACTTTTCATCCTTAATCTTTCAGGAAAATTTAACTTTGGTGAATTTACTTTGACAGGTTAGCTCGATGTAACTGCATTAAAAAAAAATCACAATTTTTTTTATGCACAACTGCATTAAAAAATCACAATTTTAACTGCATTAAAATTTAATCACAAGAAATGGAAGAGGAGAGAACTCCCTAATGGCTGTTGCTGTTACAAAGGTAGTCATAGCAGTTTTTAAAATAGTTTTCTTCTTTTTTTTTTTTTTTTTTTTTTGGCCATTTCAGACAGTCCAAAAAAGAAAGAGGGCCTGCTGAGTATTTTGCCAGGGAGCTAGAGAATGAGACAAAGAATGCCAGTGATACATGCATTAGTTTCTCTTGGGAAACCCAGGCTGTTTTAAAAAGCCATGAGCTCAAGGAATCTTGGTGAAACCACTAAAGAAAAAGCTTATCAATGTTAAAGGACATTGTAAAACTCTTTGGAGATATTTATTTTACCGTATTAGAAAATACTTTATTAGATTGAGTCTATTTTATGTGTAGGGTCAACAGAACCAGTCTCATCCTTCCTTCCCTTGTCCTCTTTAGACAGCCCTCAGGACTGACTCCAACTCGAGTCATTACAGAATATAGTTACAGGAATCTCAAAAGGAACAAAAGCACTAATATTGAACCATACTCCCTAATACAGTTTGCATATTTGTCCTCACCTAAATGTCATGTTGAATTGTAATCCCCAGTATTACGGGTGGAACCTGATGGGAGGTGATTGGATCATAGGGGTGGATTTCTCATGAATGCTTTAGCTTCCTTCCCTTGGTGCTGTCCTCACAACAGTGAATTCTCACAAGATCTGGTCATTTAAAAGTGTGTGAACCTCCCCCTGAACTCTCTTTCTTGCTCCTGTTTTTACCATATGAAGTGCCTGCTCCTGCTTCACCTTCCACCATGAGTAAAAGCTTCCTGAGGCCTTTCCAGAAGCAGATGCTAGTGGTATGCTTCCTGTAAAGCCTTCAGAACTGTGAGCCAATTTAATCTTTTTTCTGTATACATTACCCAGTCACAGGTATTTATTTATAACAATGCAAGAATGACCTAATACTGAAAATTGGTACAAGGAATAGGGTATTGCTATAAACATATCTAAAAATGTGGAAGAAACTTTGGAAGTAGGTAACAGGCAGAGGTTGGAAATTCTTGGAAGGCTCAGGAGAAGACAAGAAAATGAGAGAAAGCTTTGATTTTCTTAGAGACTGGTTAAATGGTTGTAACCAAAATGCTGATAGTGATATTGATAGTAATGTCCAGGCTGCTGAGGTCTCAGATGGAAATGAGGAACTCATTGGGAACTGGAGCAAATGTCATGCATGTTATACCTTAGCAAAGGACTTGGCTGCATTGTGCCCCTGCCCTAGGGATCTGTGGAAGTTTGAACTTCAGAGTGATGATTTAGGGTATCTGGCAGAAAAACATTTCTAAGCAGCAAAGTGTTCAAAATGTGGACTGGCTGCTTCTAACAGCTCATCCTCAGATGGAGGAGCAAATAAATAACTTGAAGTTGGAGTAATATTCAAACAGGAATTAAAATGTAAAGTTTGGAAATTTTGCAGCCTAGCCACGTGGCAAAAGAAGAAAAAGCTTTTTTGGGATAGGAATTCAAGTAGGCCATGGAAAAACCACTTGCTAGATATTTGCATAACTAAAAGGGAGCCAAATACTAATATCCAAGACAATGGGAAAGGCCTCAAAGACATTTCAGAGATCTTCAAGGCAGCCTTTTCCATCAAAGGCCTAGAGGTCTAGGACAGAAAAATGGTTTAGTGGGCCAGGCCCAGGGCCTTGCTGCCCTGCTCAGCCTCAAGACACTGTTCCTCATATCCTGGCCACTCTGGCTCCATTCTCAGCTCAAAGGGGCCCAGGTACAGCTCAAGCTGCAGCACCAGAGAGTGTAAGCCATAAGCCTTGGCAGCTTCCATGTGGTGTTAAGCCTGCAGTGCACAGAGTGCAAGAGTTGAGGCTTGGCCGCCACTGCCTAGATTGTAGAGCATGTATGGAAAAGCCTGGGTGTCCAGGAAGAAGGCTGTTGCAGAGACAGAGCCCTCACAGAAAACCTCTACTAGGGCAATGCCAAGGGGAAAATGCGGGGTTGGAACCTCCACACACAGTCTCCACTGGGGCACTGCCTAGTGGAGCTGTGAGAAAGTGGCTACCACCCTCCAGATCTGAGAATGGTAAATCCATCGGCAGCCTGCACCCTGTGCCTGGAAAAGTCATAGGAAGTCAACAACCTGTCAGAGCAGCCTTGGGGCTGAACCCTGCAAAACCTCAGGGATGAAGCTGCCCAAGACTTTGGGATTCCACCCCTTGTAGCAATGTACCCTGATGTGGGACATGGAGTCAAAGGAGATTATTTTGGAGATTTAAGACTTAATGACTGCTTTGCTGAGTTTTGAGCTTGTGTGGGTCCTGTAGCCTTTTTCTTTTGGCCAATTTCTCCCTTTTGGAATGGGAATGTTTACCCAATACTGCTACCTCTATCATATCTTGGAAGTGAATAACTTGTTTTGATTTTACAGTTTCATAGGTGGAAGGAATTCATCTCTAGATGAGACTTTGAATTTTGTACTTGGGACTTTTGAGTTAATGCTGGAATGAGTTAAGACTTTGAGGGGACATTGAGAAGTGATTGTATTTCAAAATGTGAAAAGGACATGAGAGGCTGCGCATTGTGGCTCACAACTGTAATCCCAGCACTTTGGGAAGCCAAGGTGGGCAGATCATGAGGTCAGGAGATCGAGACCATCCTGGCTAACACGGTGAAACCCCATCTCTCCTAAAAAAATACAAAAAATTAGCTGGGCATGGTGGCACATGCCTGTAGTCCCAGCTACTCAGGAGGCTGAGGCAAGAGAATCACTTGAACCTGGGAGGTGGAGGTTGCAGTGAGCTGAGATTACATTACTGCACTCCAGCCTGGGTGACAGAGTGAGACTCCATCAAAAAAAAAAAAAAAAAGAAAGGACTTGAGATTTGGGAGGGACCATGGGCAGAATATGGGTCCTGGTGGGAGGTGATTGGATAATGGAGGTAGATTTCTCATGAATGGTTTAGCACCATCCTCTTGGTGCTGTCCTTGTGTGGTGAGTGAGTTCTCACAAGATCTGATCATTTAAAAGTGTGTGCCACCTGCCCCTACATTCTCTCTCTTGCCCATTTTCACCCTGTGAAGTGCCTGCACCTGCTTTGCCTTCCACCATGAGTAAAAGCTTCCTGAGGCCTTTCCAGAAGCAGATGCCAGTGCTATGCTTCCTGTACAGCCTGCAGAACCATGAACCAATTAAACCTCTTTTCTTTGTAAATTACCCAGTCTCAGGTATTTCTTTATAGCAATGTAAGAATGGCCTAATACACTCCCTGATATATCACAGCCTCCACCCCACAGTGAACAAATGCTCTTAATGAAGCGTATAGGGTCTTTTTTAAAACTGTCTTTGAGACAATGGATAGAACAACAGGTGACACTCTAATAGCAGCTCTGGTGGCCACATAATTATTGCTTTCTTCACTTTGTGGCTCTATTGAGCTACCCAAAAATAAGTGAAAAAATCACAGGCAGATGACTTTGTTCTATAGGAAATGCTCATTATGATTCTGCCGTAGTTAATAAGGCATTTACAAATAATCCACCTTCCTCTATTTATTTCCTTGTTCATATATTAAAAAATATTATTTAGTGCCAGCTTGTGTGAGACATTATGTTAAGTGGTATGTAGTAATTGTGAGTTGAGCAACAAGGAACTCCTTCCTTCTCTTTCTTCAGTTCTTTACTTACATATATTGTAACACTAAGTCCTATCCTGGTCACCCTGTTCATAATTACAACCTCACACACACACTTATTATCACTCTTCCCTGCTTTTACTATCTTTAATCCTTACTCACATCTAATATGTGATATATTTGATTTATTGACTACTTGTCTCTCCCACTATAATGTAAATTTCATGAAGCTAGGGATTTTTATTTTTTTGTGTTCACAGACCCAGCATTTAAAAAAAATGCCTGGAAATAGGCTGTCAATAAATATTTCTAACCAATCAATTAATGAATAAAGCAACTGCAGACAAAAACATAATAATGAAGTGGCACTAAAGTCCCCTCTTGTTTTTTATTTGGATCCATTAATCGGTACAAATTGCATCTGTTTTTTTCAGATTTCTAGACATTTTATCATCTCTTCTCCAAAAATGTCAGGTATGATAGTGCCTGAAGACTTGGTGAAAATACAGTTAATTATATCTATTTTCCTCTGATCTACACATCAAACATGCATGGCAATAAAGATCATATTTTCCTGGAAAAACTTGATAAATTGATAACCGTATGCTTCCAAGAGGGCTCCAAAAATCATCTGCTAAAATTTATTACTAGGGTTGATACTGCTTATTTTGCTGGGTTCCTGTGAAAACTATGTGGGATAAAGTTTACAAAAACCTGTTAAATCTGGCATTGGAGATCAAGGAGATGCAGAAGAAGTAGTAAAGGAGACTGAACATGAACTTCCAGAGAGGCAGAGAAAACCAGGCTACAAAAGTGTTCAAGGGCAAGTGATAAACTTTGCTGGTCTAGTTTATAGCTCAACTAATGAACTAATAGTAAGGAGGAGGTTATTGATGACTTTCATAAAGGAAGCTTCAATAGATTGGTTAGGCAAAACTTTACTGAAATAAATTTAAGATAAAATGAGAGTAAATACATATAGGGGACAATTGGTATAGACAATACTTTCATAAACTTTTGCTATAAAGGAAAGAAGAGACATGGAGTGTAAGGTCATAAAGAGTTTTCTGTATTTTTTATGGTTCCCCAAATAATAGCCTGTTGGTATGAGAATGATTCAGTAGAAAAGAAAAAAAAATATTGATATGATTTATAGAAAAAATGATGCCTGGAGGAATGTTCTTGGTGGATGAGAGGAATGGGGTCTAGTGGACAGGTAGCAATGCTGACCATAGCTAGAACAGAAAAGAAGCCTCAACATTTTCACCCGTGACCTGGAGGAAGACATTAATAAATACTGCAAATTCGGTAAAAATAGCTGATATACTAGATAGTAACATTGAAATTTAAAATATCTGTCATGTATAAATATAAAATAGGGCCAGATAATCTGAAATATATGGGCTTATAAAAAGGTAAATGAAAATACAGATAATCAAAAGCATGTAACTTGGGAGGGAAATAATTAAGGTTAAATTGTTATAAGATTTGTGTATAGTTTTTCAAGGTGGATAAAAATTTTTATTAACTTCACAATGTTAAATTAATTATGAAAGCTAAAACTTTTA
The DNA here is from genome assembly GCF_000001405.40 of Homo sapiens. Classification (NCBI taxonomy): domain Eukaryota; kingdom Metazoa; phylum Chordata; class Mammalia; order Primates; family Hominidae; genus Homo; species Homo sapiens. Next base: position 82,547,782 of record NC_000005.10, read on the forward strand.
AGTGCAATCACTAAAACAAAAAAATAAAGTATGTATAATAGTCTATTACAGGAAAAATAATGGAATTCCAAATATAAAATAGCTTTATCTACTAGAATAGTAGATAAGGAAGAGTAACCAGATGTTCAAGGGTCTGAAAACAATGGTTAAAGGCATAAAATATATAGTTTTGGTAAGAAAAGTCATTTTCTTTGCAGGACTTAATGCTCAAATTATTTCTTCAATTTGATAGTCTTTAAATATTTTAAGATCTATCATAAGTAGGGGAAGGGATTAAATGTACTCCTTATTTAATGTTAGAAAGTTGAACAGGCTATGGATATGAGTTATGGGGAGGTAGTTTGGGGGTTTATTGTAAGAAAAATATTTATAAAAATGGAATGGCTACAGGTGAGATACTGAGCTCTCCTTCAGAGGTCATAGGATCATCTATCTGTCAGGAAATTTTGATATGGGTTACTGTAGCAAAAGTTGGACTAAATGAACTGAATAAACCCTGTGCCAACTCAAAGATTTTAAAATAATAGTAATGATTTAAAAAAATGTTCTAATCACCTTATAGACATTACTTTATTCAACCTTTGCATCAACATCATCAGATAAGTATTATTCCTGTTTTTGAAGATGTTAAATTTAGAGGTTTAAGTGCCTTGTTGAGGATGTGCAGCTTGTGTGGGGATAGAAATCCAGGAATGCCTCATTCTAAAGTGGGAGACTTTTCATTATGCCTCACGGAATCCCAGAATGAGAGTCATCGACTCATTTCTAATCTTGCCAAATTCCCGCAAAGAAGTCCTTTCTGTCTCATAATAGTGGTGTAAAATATCATAAGCCAAAATCAGCAAAGGTAGATATATATATATATACATACACACATACACACATATATATGATATATACATGTATTATATGTACATATATTTCATGCATACACACACACAATTTCAGTAAAGACTTTGCTCCTTCTTCTTTTCCAAAAACCTAGAACCTAAAAGAAGCCTTCTTCATGCATAAAAGTAAATTTCTCCAAATGAATTTTGGCAGTAATTTTTTAAGAACTAATTGTTTCCAGTATACAAAGTGAATCTTTATTAATTTTTATGTAATTTCTCTTCTTTTGTATTTGGTCCATAGATAATTGTTCTTTTTTTCTTTTTTTGCATTTGATTCTTTTATAAAGTCTGATGGTGTTGGATATTCTTATACAAATTCTGATAATAAACCTTAATATTGATTTGTCTAATAGGAGAGGCACAGCTTGAACATACTACTACTGAATGAAAATAAGCGTAACTCGGAAGATTTCTTTTAGTAAATCAGTTGGTGTATAGTGACATTTCAGAGGGAAGTGGATAGAAGATGCATGGATAAAAATTATTTTATGCAAAATAAAAATTGAACATATCTCTACTCTGAATTTGCACTAACTTAAAACTCTAAAGACTACTAAATGCTAAAAGGATTCATTGTGGTCCTGAACTTGGTGGACAGAAATGTGACATTCTGATATTCTGACTTGTGATGCACTACTTCCAGTGTATTTTCTACAAACTTAGCTTGATGGAACTTTCCTGGGAGCAAATTTTCTAGTGAGATTTCCAAGCCAAATTTGATGGCATTTGGTTGAATTGGATGAGCTTCAAAGTAAACACGCCAAATCTGAATCTTTGTTTGAATTGGCTGAAACCCATTGGGTTCATGTCACTGGTGAAAAATGGCTTTGTTTGGGTGAATAGATTTTGCTGAGGCTTCCAGTAGCTATCTCGTGGCTAAGGAAAGGCATGGAAAAATTTGGCCTCAAAAACAAAAAACAAACAACAACAACAACAACAAAAAACAAAAAAACCTGAGAATGTGGAGCAGTGTTATTGGGATCTCATCATCCCTAAAGTTCTTGCTGACATTTAGGATGAGTGTAGACTCTGCCCTTCAGTTTTGTAGGGGTTGAATTCCAACTTTGCTAGTTGACTTCTAAGTATGTCATTTTTACTTTTTAATAACCAATACCTAACAATTACTCTTATTGTGATTGAATTTTAGATCTCTCTTTACCCTGAAAACACAAAACTTATTGTGGGACCATAGGGATGGTGGTGGGGATGCTCTTTCCCCTTCCTTCTTGCAAACTGAAATTTGGAGGTCAAATAGGAAGAAAGAGGAGTCCCTTGCTGAGTCACAGTCCACTTTGGCTTACTCAGTCATAAAATAGGTTTCCCAATTTGGGGTGTGTGTCTGTGTGTGTGTGTGTGTGTGTGTGTGTGTGTGCGCGTAATTGTTTTGGGGATCTCTTCTGAAGAAATATTCACAGAACTTCAAACATGTGGCTCATTAAGACCTATCTTAGAGGACTTGTTCTCATCTACCAGCACTCCTTTCTTAGAGAGGTGTACCGTTCTTGCTTTTATGTAGTAAGGCACAGAAAGCTATGCTAAATAGGAAAAGCTAATGTTAAAATATACCTCCCTCACTTTATGCAGGTAAGCAGAGGAAGCTACTGTTAGGTTAGAAAGTTTTGAGACTTCATCTGTCAACGGTCAACTTGCCTCCAAGATGGAGAAAGTCTACATGTACAAGAAAGTCAAGCAAAGAGAATTGGAGTTGAGAGGTGGAGGGAGAAGCTCTCTGCATATAGTTTTGCCTAAATACAGCTCTATCTCTTGATATTTCAATTACATGAGCTGGTAAACTCACTTCTTTTGCTTAAACTTAGTTTGAGTTGCAGTTTGTCACTTACAACCAAAACCATATAACCTCCACGAGGTTATAAAATAGGTAAGACAGACCCTGTGATACCTATTTCATTTGAATGACTGTGATGGCAAGATATTATATTTATCCACAGTGTTAAAACTGGCATCACCAAACCATCACTTAGGATTTCCAAATGACCTTACCTTTGCATTGTTCACAGAAGGTGGTGACTGACTCATGAGTATGACCTGAAGTTCTATAAAACACCATATACTCAGCACTTCAATATAAATGCATGGATATCATAATGCAATGAGGGGCTACTAAGGTGCCTGACAGCCTTTGGTCATTTTGCAGTTGTTTTGATTGAGGAGATTTCTTTCCTCTTCCTTGACATACTGTTTCATGGCTCCTAGGTACTGTCAGATGCTATATTTCTTGTATTAGTGAATTTTTTTCCTGAATGCACTATGGTTTTCTGTAACACTATCCACCTATCCTCTTCTCCCACTCCCTTGTTAAAATGGTTTTTAGGGAAAGATACTCTTTAAATTTTCAGTAGCATTGGAATATTACAAACATGGAATGCTAAGTTAAATCTGACATTCTTCCTCTTAGCTCACTTTTTTATTACAAGCACATAAGTTAAGAATCCACTGTGAGCTTTAATTGAATTTCTTGAGATGTTTTTATGATAAACCTAACCTACAATTAGAATTTTAAAAATATGATTCACATAGTTATCTTTACTAGATATGTGTTTATGCTGATGTTCACTTTCACCAATTCTTCTGCCAATATGGCAGGTTTTCATTTGAGTACCATAAAAATGCATTTGTTTTAGTGGACAGAATAATGGAATTACTGTATTTTAATGATGTTGTTTTCTTTGTTCAGCATCCAGGCCATTGCTCCAATTTTCCAGTCTGGTCATGGCTAAAATGTTTTAGGCAGTATTTAGGATGGCTTGACTCCACCATGCTAAAACATGCTGCTAATATTATAAACCCTTGTAACTTTGGAGATTTTTCTCAATGTATAAATACAGAAGTGTGGGATGGATTTTGCTTTTGGTGGTTTCAGAGGGGTGGCCATGCAAGAAATTGTTTTCAAAACAATCACCCCCACCATCTGTGCTGCAGAATACAGATTCAAGGGGCTGATAGAGACCCTTGGGCCTCCCAGCAGAAAGGAGCTCATGAAACCTCTGAGATCACCTACCCTTTGTGAGAAAATCACTGGGCCGGGGGTGGGGTGGGGGTGGGGTGGGGGAATGGCTTTACAGAACTGACTTTACCCGATGGGAGGACATGTTCAGGTTTTCAGGATAATGCTTATTTTTGTGGGTTTTGTTTACACAACGTGATTTACTGCTGCCTTACTGGCTAAGTATTATCTTCTCTTCTCTTTTTAGTGAAAGTTTCATACCTATGCTATTAGGAGGTTCTGTAAGAGGTCCAACTTTTTAAGACAATAAGGTATCAGTGAGTAAAGAGCATGGAAATGTTGAATTTACAAAGATAGACTGTTTTCCTTAGGAGAAAATATCCTCCTAATTTCAAACCCTCTCCAGAGGGCTAAGGAAAGCTTTAAATATCCATTCAAAATTCTTCACAGCCAGACATCCCTTTTAAAGGAATTAGGTTACATCAGTTGATGTAATTAACTCAGATTGTTTGGGTGATCCAAATCCCAAAGGCAGCAATACATCTGTGCAGCACACACATTTCCTCTTCTGTGCAAAGGCGCCAGTGGTTTCGATTCTGGGTGTGTATTTGAGGGGGTTGACGAAATGGGGGCAACAGCAGGAGCTGGTGAAAGGTAATATAGAGAACAATCGTGTACCAAAAATGTTTTTTTTTTGATGCTATCTGATTTCCTTTTAAATCTTTGTTTGAAAAAGGAATACCAGTTTGGAATCTCTCAATAATCAAATATATTAAAATAAACCATCTTTTGTTTCATTAGCCCAGTTATTCATTACTGCTCTTTGGGCATCTGGCCAGCAGCGTAGAGCTGGAGGGAGAGGTATCTTTTAGTCAGTCAGTGAACTGGAAGATGTGCCATTTTTTCACCTCTGACTTGCAGGAAGAGGGCTCAAGAATCTGTGTTTGCGAAACGAATCCAGTTGCTTTATATTGTATGTGAATATCATCTCACATCGAATCTTGACGCTACAAAGGTATATTTATGCTTCAATACTTCCATCTCCAGGTGATGTTGCACCTGACCCATTTCATATAGTTTTCTGTCTAATTCTTTTAAGAATTTGAAACTCAGAGCGTCAGAGTATGCTGTCTTTGAAAATCTTTCTGATAGACTCTCTTTCAATTATTACAAAGCTTCATCTCCATAACACTCTATTTCTTGACCAGATTCTACATAGGTTGTCCAGTTTGTATCTACTCTTAGTGTCACATCAGCAAATGTGAAATACAATTATTGCTTTCTCTATATATTAAATTCTTTCTGATATTTTAAAACTGCAGGTCTTCTACGGTGAGAAGAGTTATAACAAGAGGTAGAGATAATGCACTAAATTAATTAAGAACATGTATATATTAAGAGACTTCTGTTGACTATGACTAGATCACTAAAGATAAAACATAATTTTTTTAACAAGACAAATTTCTATTTATATTTTATGTTGCTCTCAGTTCTGCATATTCATTTGTAATAGGAAAACATTATTTTAAGCAAACATAAATAATTGCACAGCCTTTTCAAGACTTTTTTTGGCTTTGAGGTACTTTTCTGGAGTAAAAGGGCTTTTTAAACATCACTATTTTGTCCATGTTCTTAGGAATGTCTGGTAAGAAGATATCTGAGTCTTAGTGAAAGGATATAAAATATAAGTCAATTGCATTTGAAAGAAAAACTCCCACCTAAGACTGACCTCAGTATTTAGGGGGCTTAGGCGTTTTCAAATAACTGTTTCAGTTTTGGCCCATTTGTCTAGACAACACAAGGGAGAATGCTTTTTTCCATCAATTCTAGGTCTAATCTATACAGTTCTGTTCAGCTTTTTTTCTATCTCTCCCATCCAGTCTGGGGAACTTTCCAGATTGGTAATGGTACACTGAATTCACTCTTACCCCTGGAGTTGTTCAATGTTACGGTTGGAAGCATCTTTAGGGATTAGTCCAACTCTTACTTTTTAAAAACTTTTGTATTTTCTTGTAGTAAGAACATTTAATATGAAATTAACCCTCAATAGATTTTTAAGTGTACAATACAGTATTGATATACAATGTTGTACAGCAGATTTCTAGAACTTATTTATTTTAATAACCGAAACTATGTATCCATTGGTAAGCAACCTGTCCCTGGCAGCAACAGTCCCTGGCAACCACCATTTTACTCTCCGCTTCTAAGAGTCTATTTTAGATGTCTCATGTAAGTAGAATTATACAGTATTTGGCCTGCCCTAAGTGGCTTATTTTATTTAGCATAACGTCCCCATGGTCGATCCATGTTGTTGCATATTGCACTATTTTCTTCTTTTTTAAGGCTAATATTCCATTGTATTTATATACCACATTTTCTTTATTCATTCATCTGTTGATAGAAATTTAGATCGTTTCCCTATCTTGCCTGTTGTGTATAGTACTGCGCTGAATTTAAGAGTGCTAATGTCTCTTGGAGATTTTGATTTCAATTCTTTTCTAAAAATACTCAGAAGTGGGAAAGCTGGATTATATGATAGTTCTATTTTTAATTTTTTTGAGGAAACTCTATACTGTTTTTCGTAGTGGCTGTACCATTTTGTATTCCCAACAACAATATACAAGTTTTCCAATTTCTCTACAGCCTCACAAACACTTGTTAGTCTTGAGTTTTTGATAATCATCATCTTAACACTATCTCACTGTGGTTTTGGCTTCCATTCCCCTAATGATTAGTGATGTTGAGCACCTTTTCATATACCTGTTGGCCATTTGTATGTCTTTGGAGAAATGTCTGTTCAAGTCCTTAATCCACTTTTAAAATTGGGTTCTTAGCGCTTTTTTTGCTATTAAGTTGCAGGGGTTCCTTAAATATTTTGGAAATTGACTCCTTATGAAATATATGGTTTGCAAATATTTTCTCCCATTCCATAGGTTGCCTTTTCATATATGACCTTTACTATGTTGAGAAAATTTCCCTCTATTCCTTGTTTATTGAAAGTTTTTATGATGAAAGAGTATTGATTTTTATCAAATGCTTTTTCTGCATTTATTGAGATGATCATACAATTTTCATCCTTCATTCTGTTATTCCAGCCTGATCATGGCTAAAATGTTTTAGGCAGTATTTAGGATGGCTTAATTGATCTTTGTATGTTGAATCATCTTTGCATCTTAGAAATGAACCCCACTTGGTCATGGTGTGTGGTCCTTTTAATGTGCTGTTGAATTTGGTTTGCTAGTAAGTTGTTGAGGATTTTCGCAATTATATTCATCATGGATATTGGCCTATAGTTGGTTTTCTTGCAGTCTCTTTGTCTGTTTTTTTTTTTTTTTTTGGGATTGAGTCTTGCTCTGTTGCCTAGGCTGGGTGCAATCTCGGCTCACTACAACCTCCACCTCCCAGGTTCAAGCCATTCTCCTGCCTCAGCCTCCTGAGTAGCTAGGACTACAGGCATACACCACCATGCCTGGCTAACTTTTTTATTTTTAGTAGAGATGGAGTTTCACCATGTTGGCCAGGCTGGTCTCGAACTCCTGACCTCAAGTGATCTGCCTGCCTTGGCCTCCCAAAGTGCAGGGATTACAGGCATGAACCACCATGCCTGGCCCTCCTTGTCTGGTTTTATATAAGGGTAATGCTGGCCTCAAAAATGAGTTTGAAAGTGTTTCCTCCTCTTTAATTTTTTGGAAGAGTTTGAGAAGGATTGGTGTTAATTCTTCTTTAAATGTAGAATTCATCGGTGAAGTCAGCTGGTCCTGGGCTTTTCTTTATTGAAAGGTTTTTGATTACTGATGCAATATTCTTACCAGTTATAGGTCTGTTCAGATTTTCCATTTCTTCATAATTCAGTCTCAGTAGGTTGTATGTTTCTAGGTTGTTCATTACTTCTAGGTTATCCAATTTGTTGGCATATAATTGTTCACAGTAGCCTCTTATGATTCTTTTTCTTTCTGTGGCATCAGTTGTAGTGTCTCCTCTTGCATTTCTAATTTTATTTGGGTATCATCATATCTTTTTTTCCCCCTTAGTCTAGCTAACAGTTTGTCAAATTTGCTTTTCATAAAACCAGCTCTTAGTTTTATTGATTTTTTTCTACTCACTATTTTGTTTGTTTCTACTCTAATCTTTATTATTTCCTTCCTTCTGCTAACTTTGGGCTTACTTTATTCTTTTTCTAGTTCCTTCAGGGTGTACCAGTAGATGATTGTTTATTTTAGATCTTTCTTTTTAAATGTAGGTATTTATCACTGCAGTTTTCTCTTAGTACTGCTTTAGCTGCATCCCATAAGTTTTGGCAAGTTGTGTTTCTATTTTCATTTGTCTCAAAATATTTTCTAATTTCCCTCTTGATTTCTTCCTTGACCTATTGGTTGTACAAAATATGTTGTTTAATTTCCACATATTCATGAATCTTTCAGTTTTTCTTTTGTTATTGATTTCTGGCTTCATTCTTTTGTGGTTGGAAAAGATATTTGGTATAATTTCAATCTTCTTAAAATTTTTAAGACTTGTTTTGTGACCTAATATATGAACTATCCTGGAAAAAGTTCCATGTGCATTTGAGAATAATGTATATTCTGCTGGTGTTGAGTGAAATGTTCTGTATACCTCTGTTAGGTCCATTTGGTCTATAGGATTGTTAAGTATTGTTTTCTTGTTGATCTTATGTCTGGATGTTCTGTTTATTATTTAAAGTAGGGTATTGAGGTCTCCTACTATTATCATTATTTTTTCTATTTCTACCTTCAGTTCTATCCATGTTTGCTTTATATATATTTAGGAATTCTAATGTTCTCTGTATCATTTTATATTCCTGTATATACATTTTATCACTGTATAATGTCCTCTTTTACTCTTGTGACAGTTTTGACTTAAAATCTATTTTGTCTGATGTAAGTATCACCATCCCTGCACTCTTTTGATTATCATTTACATGAATATCTTTTCCACCCCTTCACTTTCTTCTTAACCTAAATCTAAATCTGAAATTAGCTTCTTGTAGACAGCATATAGATAGATTTTTAAAAATACATTCAGCCATTCTATGTCTTTTGATAGGGGACTTTAATCCACTTATATTAAAAGTAATTATTGATAGGAAAGAATTTACTATTGTTAATTGTTTTCGGTTTGTCTTTGTTTTTGGTCCCTCTTTTCCTTTCTTGTGTTTTCCTTTGTGTTTCATGAAATATTTTTGTATTAATATATTTGATTTGTTTTTCTTTTTTCTTTTATGTAGCTTCTATAGGTATTTTCTTTATTTTTATTTTATTTTACTTTATTTTACTTTTGAGATGGGGTCTCACTCTGTCACCCAGGCTGGAATGCAGTGGCCCAATCAGCGTTCACTGCAGCCTTGAACTTCTGGGCTCAAGCAATCCTCCTGCCTTAGCCCCCCTGAGTAGCTAGGATAGGACTACAGGCACATGCCGCTGTGCCTGATAATTTAATCTCTGACAGTGCTGAGATTACAGGTGTGAGGCACCATGCCTGGCCAATAGGTGTTTTTTGTGATTACCATGGAGCTCACATAAAATATAACAGTTTGTTTTTTAAGCTGATGAAAACTTTAGTTCAATCACCTAGGAAAATGCTACACTTTTACTCCTTCCCCCACTCTTTGTGTTATTGATGTGATATTTGTATAGTGTACCCATTAAGATATTTAAATTTATGCTTATTTTGAATACTTCTCTCCTTTAATTTACTATGCCATAATTAAAAGTGATTTAACAAACATCGTTACAGTAATATTCTGTTTTTGTCTATATATTTACCTTTATCAATGTATTGTATAGTTTCTTATGCTGTTATGTCACTATTTAACATCCTTTGGTTTCAAGTTTAATAACTCCCTTTAGCATTTTTTATAAGGTAGTACTAGTTGTGTTGGACTCTCTTGGTTTTTTTTTGTCTGGTTAAGTCTTTACTTCATTTATGAAGGACAGCTATAGTATTTCTGATTGGCAGTTCTTCTATTTTAACACTTTGAATATCTCATTCTACTCCCTTCTATCCTCCAAAATTTCTGCTGAAAAAGTCACTGATAGTCTTATGAGTATTGTCTTGTATGTAAATAGTTTTATGAGTATTGTTTTGTATGTAACAAGTCTCTTTTCACTGCTTTCAAAATTCTCTTTGTCTTTGTATAATTTGATTATAATATGACTTGATGTGGATTTCTTTGGGTTCATCTTATTTGGAATCCTTTGGGCTTCCTTGATTTGGATGTCCATTTCCTTCCCTGTATTTCAGAAGTTTTCGGCCATTATTTCTTTGCATAAGCTTTCTGGTGCTGCTGCTGCTTCTTGTTCTTGTCCTTGGTGTTATTGTTGTTCTTGTTCTTATTCTACTTCTTCTTCTTTTTCACATCTCATAATGCATATATTGGTCTGCTTAATAATGTCCCATAGTGCCTTAAGTTTTGTTCATCCTTTTTCATTCTTCTCTGTATTTCTCCCGATTGGATTATTTCAAATGACCTGACTTTGATTTTGAGGATTCTTCTGTTTGCTCTAATCTTTGGTTAAACCCCTATATTGAATTTTTCAGCTCAGTTTTGAATTTTTTTAGCTTCATGATTTCTGTTTGGTTCTTTTATGACTCTTTGTTGAAATTCTCACTTTGTTCCTGCATTAGTCTCCTGAGCTCACAGAGTATTTTTATGATGATTATTTTGAATTCTTATCGGGTAATTCATATACTTGATATAGAGTCAGATTCTGGAGTTTTATCTTGTTTCTTTGTTTTGATTGTGTTTTCTTGTTTTCCTTGATTCACTGTGTTACTATCTGTACATTAGGAAAAAACTGCCACTTCCCCCAGTCTGGATTGGCCTCATACAGGAGAAGACCTTCACTGATCAACTCAGCCAAAGCCTCTGTGGGCCTCTAAAAGTTTTGTGCTAGTAAAAACCACTATCTTTGCTCTTAGTGTTCACTGGACATCCAGAGTATATTAGAATTTGTCAGTGCTCCAAGACAGGTGAGACAGAGGCAAATCCCTTGGAAGCATCCGAAGTTGCAACATTGGATGTGGCATCCAATTCCATTTGGAGTTTTTCACCTGTTCACTTTCTGCTGGTCCAGGGGGAGGACATAGTTCAGACTGCATCCTTTATTCTCCGTGGCTCCCAGGAATGTAAAACATGCTGGGTCATATCAACACTCTGAGATAGGTAAGAGAGGAACCAGTCACTCAGGCAACACTCCAAAAATTGAGATATTGGATATGTGGCACAACTCTTTTTTTCCTCAGAGTGAAGCTACAGTTGGGAGTTTCTTCTTGATCATAGGACACTATAATGAGAGTGGGGATTATGACAAGGGGGTTGACTCCAATTTTCTTACTGGGTTTGATGTAGACTAAATGCCTGACCACCCTTACCTGTCACAAAGAAAACTTAAAAATAATAAAACTAAAATAAAAACTTAAACTTAAAATAAACTTTAAAAACTTAAAATAAAAACTTAAAAATAACAAGCATAAAGTAACTAGTTCACATTTGCTTTATATTTGTCTTTGTCATATGTCAGGTCTAATGATATAAACAGGTATTACATCAGAAATTATTAATGATATAAATAGGTATTTCATCAGAAATTATTAAATCCAAATTCTGTTTTGAAAAATGATATATAATATATATTTCCAGAAAGGTCTGCAAAGCAAAATCTATTCCAACAGTTTCTAATTGCCTTAGTTGCTTTGATTTTACACTTACACACACACACACACACACACACATGCTTTCAACACATTTTTTTTCCAAATTTTAATTTTGACTTGGTCAGCTCAAAGAGTAGCTGTTTTATTTTCTAAAAATGGTGTGGAGATTAAATTTACCTTAATCGCAGAAATCTATTTAGATGCGTAATCAAAACAATAACTTCAAGTAAATTAGCTAGGTTGCTACTATAGACTTCCATCTTCGAATTCCACTCTTTGGCCCATGAAGAGTCACCAAACCACTTTGATTATTAAGAACACATGTTTAGTTCTGTTTCTTGACACTAGTATCAGTGGATTCTAAAAGTGGCTTTACTTACTTTGTTTTTAATAGATAGTATACACACACACATTCACACTTGTGCACTTAGGCTTGCTTTCTGAAATGCTTAGTAGTATACAGGATAAGGCAGGTCAAATAATAAAATTATTTTCTGATTCTGTTCTATTAAAAGAATCCAATAAAGTAGAATACTACTTGGAGAAAATTTTTTTGTGATAGGCAACTTACTAATTATGAAGGTATTGCAATTTTGCAGAACTCTGACTTTTAAGAAGTCATTTTTATAATGATTGGAAATCAATCTTCCACTAGACTGTATAGCATTAGTACAAGTTTGTGTCTTTGGGTTCATCCAGAATGAGGTTAATATGTAAGAACGCTTCTAATGTTTAAAGACAAGTGTTTAGTTTACCTTCCCTCTCCAATCCTGTTACTTCTTAAATATTTAGGTTGTATCTCCATTTATTTTACCCTCCTTGTCTTAGCTCTGAATGTGTTCCATTACTATATTAAATGGTAGTGCCTAGTGCCAGAGTTCAATGTGATTGTACTTGGAAATAATTCTTGAATTTCAAAAATAAAGATTTTAGTTAGGTAGGAATTTAAACTTTGCAGTGAAACACTGGTCTCTGAGAGTATGATTTGAAGAATAGCAATGTTCACACATACAAGGAAATAATCCTGAACTTGGTGGTGACTAAATTCTGACAGAAGTCCCTAACCTCCTTCATTTTTGCTAGTTTCAGATACGATGTGTGGAAGGGGCAGTGACACATACAGCACCATCTTGCTTCATGCCATGGCCACTGCCATCTCACAGAAACCCCACTACTCTGCAGTTGTAAATGATGAGCCAATCATGAATTGGGCAGGCCAGCTGAGAAAAGCAAGAAACGCCATCCAGGCAGATGTGTATCTTGCTTCAATTCTTTCATTATTTCTCCAGGTTGCAATTTTACTCCTGGCGTTCACTGAGTACTTAGCTCCAGTAGATGAACAATATTTTGGCAGTGCTGAATACTGAATGAAAACAGAGTAAGGATTAATTTTAAGGGTACTTCCAAGCCATAGAATTGGTGGCAGAATGCCAGCTCTTCTAAATGCCTTTCCCGACTGCTCAAATCAGCAAACCCTTGGCAGTTCCAGTCAAATGAACGTTGCAATTTTCAGGGGTACCTGTTATATTAAATCACATGTTGATGGGGAAATAAAGCAGAAACATCACGCCATTGTGTAGAAAAAAAATGAAGTCTAGAGCTTTTCTGCCAATAGTAGGCTTTTTTATAAGTGAGAAACATTTTTGGGGTTTTATGGTACTTCTATTTAATTGAATATAAACCAAAACAGAATTTTTCAAAGTGTTAGCATGAGTTTCTATGTTAGCTCCGAGGCTATTTCTCCTCTGGCACAAGAGAGTCCTGGAGATCATGTTTTCTACACTCCTAGGTGTAGAAAGCAAACAGGTACATAAAACAAATCCCAGAATCCTAGTTAATAATTCAGTAAGCTGGCAGGCAGATTGGCAGACAGATTATTAACTACAGTGTTACCTTCAAATAAATCAGTAAGTTAACAGCACACTCTTAGATGTGCTAGGCATAATGACACAGCCCAGATTTAACTTATGCTGGGCAATGTGGAGTGGATTTGTGGTATTCAAAGTCATTCTCATTCATCCATTCTCTCCATGTCCTGAATAGTCACTTTTCTAACCTGGTCTATTTTTCCTGACTTCTCTCACACACCATTCTTGTTATTTACTCTATAACATGGCCAATATTGTTCCTGCCACCCAGAAAACACGAGCCCTTCTCTATATTTCTGTTTGGTCTTCTTGAGACAGTGGTTTCACTTCACTATTTCCTCACCTCCTGCTCATTCAATCAACAACATGTTCTATTCCCACTACTTTATCACAGCTGCTGTTGCCCAGGGCTCCAAGGCCTAAGTTGCCATTTCCAAGGGACAGTTTCTAGTTCCTTTGGCTTTCTCTCCCTCTCAGTCTATGTTCTCAGGTTCCTGTGTCAGCATCACCTTCTCTACTTAACTTTAAATGTTTGAGTTCCTCATGGATCTCGCATGGACCCGCATCTCATTTTATACACATACCCTGGTCAGTTTCATTTGTTTGTGTGGCCTCGTTTAAACCTATATCACAGATTCACATTTCCTGACAACAAGCTTTTTTGTTTGTTTTTGTTTTTGTTTTTTTAAATTTTCAGCTGCATGGTAGACATCTCTACTTGGCCTCATAGTAAATATATCACAAGACTATAACTGAATTCATGGACTCGCCCTGTCAAACTTAATCCTCTTGCTGCGCTTCTTATTTCAGGGAATAATGCCAACATCCACCCACTTGCTCATGCTAGAAATCCTGGAGACAGCCAAGTTTTTCTGAATTCCCTCCATTTTTTTCTCAATCCCTATTTTAAAATTAGAACCAATTCTGATGAACTTTACTGTATAAAAATCTCCTGAATAATCTGCTTCTCCCCATATGACTACCTCTGTCCTTATCACCTCTTATGAGGTATATTAGTTTCCTACTGCTACTATAACAAATTACCACAAATTTGGTGGCCTAAAACAACATAAATTTGTTATCTTATGGTTCTGGGGGTCAGTAGTACATCGGTCTAAAAGGGGCTAAAATAAGCTTCTACTCTATAAACAAGAAAATAATAAACCAAGAAGCAGTAATGCAATGAATCCGTAACAGTAGTAATGTATTAATTTCCTATTGTTGCTGTAATAAATTGCTATACTTAGTGGCTTAAAACAACACAAATTTATCTTATAGTTCTGAAGATCAGAAATCTAAAATGAGAGCAGTTTGGCCAAGATGGCCGACTAGAAGCAGCTAGTGTGCACCACTCTCATGGAGAGAAATGGAAGGGGCAAGTAAATACAACACCTTCAACTGAGACATCCAGGTACACACATTGGGACTCATCAAGGAAACAACTCAACCCACAGAGAATGGAGAGAAGTAAAGCTGGATGAGTTGCCACCTGGGCGTGACACAGAGCTAGGGGAACCTCCCCTGCCCAGGGAAGCAGTGAGTGAGTGAGCGACCTTGGGGACCTATGTTTCTCCTATGGTTCTTTGCAGACCATGGATCAGGAGATCCCCTTGTGAACCCACTCAACCAGGGCCTTCAGTCTGACACACAGAGCTACATGGAGTCTCAGCAGAGCAGCCACTCAGGCACCTGTGGAGCCCCAAGAGCCTTAGATACCTTGCAGGACTAGACTCACTGGCTTGGGAGTCCAGTCAGCCTCTTGTAGCAGCACTCTATCTCCCTGAGATGGAACTCCTAGGGCGTAGGGTGGGCCGCCATCTGTGTTGTTTTGCAGCCTTAGCCATTGTTGCTTTTGGCCTCTAGGGCGTCTGAGATGACTAGGGACTGGAGCTGTTCCTCGGCACAGTCCAGCAGCTCTAAGGTGAAGCAGTCAGACTGGTTTTTCATGCAGATGCTGAATCCCATTTCTATTCACTGGGTGGAATCTCCCAACCGGGGTCTCCAGTCATTTCCACTGGTGTTTCCCAGGAGACAGCTGTTTCAAACTTCCCTGGGATGGAGCTCCCAAAGGGAGGGGCAAGCTGCCATCTTTGCTGTTTCACAGCCTTAGCCATTCTTACCTTCAGGCGTTGGAGAATCCAAGGCGACCAGGTGCTGGAGTAGACCTCCAGCACAGTACAGCTGCTCTATGAAAAAGTGCAGACTGCTATATTACATGGGTCCCCAATCCTGTTCCTCCTCACTGGGCAGGATCTCCCGACTGGCATCTCCAGCCACCTCTTGAAGGTGTGTTTGGCCCAGCAACGGGTCTGTACCTCCCTGGGATGCAGCTCTGCAAGGGAGGACCAGGCCACCATCTTTGCTGTTTTGCAGCCTTCACTATTGATACCTTCAGGTACAGGAAAATCCAAGGTGACTAGGTACTGGAGCTGACCCCCAACATACTGCAGCAGCCCTGTAGAAAAGTGGCCAGACTGTTTATTACATGGGTTGCCAATCCTGTATCTTCCCACTGGGTGGGTCCTTCAGGCCTGAGTCTCCAGCCAACCCACACTGGGGCAAGCCAGTAGAAGCTCTGAAACTCCCTGAGACAGAGCTCCCAGTGGGAGGCATGGGTTGCCATCTTTGTTGTCTTGCAGCCCTCACCCTTGCTGTCTCCAGACTCTGGAGAGTCTGTGAGGACCAGGGGCTGGTCTGGACCCCCAGCAGAGAGCAACCACCTCACAGAAAACTGTCCACATTGTTCTCCATGCAGGTCCTGGTCCTCACTTCTCCCCACTGGGCAGGGCCACCCACCTGGGACTCCAGTACAACCACCTTGCCCCTGCCTGATCACTGCAGTCAGAGGCAGCCCAGCATTTCTCCAAGGAGGAAATTCCAGAGTCAACCCACAACCTCTTCACCACTACAGTTGTAGTGGTACTGACCTAACAGCCCTGAGGCTGGGAAAGAAACAAAGGGCCAAGTCATTACACTGGCACCTCCAGCACACCATAGCCACCATATGGAGAGGAGTCCAGCCCCTCTTCCCTGAAAGCCCTCATCCCCACTCTTCACCGGGCAAGAGTCCCAGCTCTTGAATGCAGAACAGTCACTCCATCCACGGCTGAGCATACACACTGGTAGTGGCCCAGAGTGTCCCTGGGGAGAGGCCCCCTGAGGCATACAACAGCACCTCTGCTGATGCTACAGCAACAGTCCTATCCATGCTGCCCTAGGTCTGGGGAAGAAACAAAGAGTGTGAGGGCTACACTCGAGCTTGCAGCATGCCGCAGTCACCATACAGAGAGGAGACCAAACTCTCCTCCTGGTGAGCCCTCAACCCCCTGCTCCCAAACAAGTGGAACCCCAAGTTCATGTCAGCAGTGCAGCCACCCAACCCCACTGACTGAACAGTCCCAGTATGAATGGCTCTGCATTTCTCAGAAGTGGAGCACAATGGGCAAATAAAGCCTCTCTGCCACTGTATCTGCAGTGGTACTACCCGTGCTACCCTTGGAGTTACAAAGGAGCAAAGACCCTAAGTACTTTATCCACACCTCTCACAAGTAGTAATCAACTCAATGAGAGGAGGCCACTCCATCTCCCATGGATACCACCTACCCTCTCTGCTTGTCACCAGGCAGGGAACCCCTGGCTTGGGCCCACAGCATAGACACCCCCATCCTGTTGATTGCACTGAGAGATTGCTGACCTGCATTTCTCTGGGGTGGAGCCCCAGGAGACAAGCAAAAGACCCTGAAAACCTCTACTAAGGTCCCTTTCTATGCTGCCTCCAAGTTGGGGAGGAAATATAAACCCTGAGATCACCCCTGAGCTGTGGTGGGCAGCCTGAGAGTGCCAAGCCATGATCTACAGCTGGCACTCAAGTGGGAGAGGAGCCCACATTTCAGAGCATTGAAAGGGAGCATGGCTACAACTCTAAGGAAATATAAGGGAGCTACGGGATTGAGCAAGAGCCTACCAACTGACCTCTATGACTAAGTGCCATTAACTAATTCACACTCCAAAGCTTTAACACCAAAAATACCTCACTAATATACTCCCCTGTAAAACCTATGACAAGTCAGCTACAAATAAAGACACAAAGCCTGCACAAAGCCTCAGCCCTGTGAAACCATCCAGAAAAGAACTATATTGACTGTACTCAATCTACACTGCAATTAAAGGAACACCCACATGCAGAGATAAGAAAGAACCAGTGCAAGAACTGGCAACTTAAATAACGAGAGTATCTTATGTCCTCAAAATGATCATATTAGTTCTCCAACAAGGTTTCTTAACCAGGCTAAATTGGCTGAAATGACAGAAATAAAATTTAGACTATGAATAGGAACGAAGATCATCAAGATTCAGGAGGATGGCAAAATCCAATCCAAAGAAATTAAGAATGACAAAATGATACAGGAGCTGATAGATGAAATGGCGAGTATGAAAAAAGAACTTAACTGATCTGACAGAGCTAAAACATACACTACAAGAATTTCACAATGCAATGGCAAGTATTAACAGCAGAATAGAAAAAGCCAAGGAAAGAATCTTGGAACCCAAAGGCTGACTCTCTGAAATAAGACAGTCGGGCAAAAATAAAGAAAAAAAGAATAGAAAGAAATGAGCAGAAGCTCCAAGAAATATGAGATTATGTAAAAAGGCCAAATCTATGTAACATTGGCATCCCTGAAAGGGATGGGAAGCAAGCAAATAACTTGAAAAATATGTTTCAGGATATCATTGATGAAAACTTCTGTAACCTTGCTAGAGAGGACAACAGTCAAATTCAGGAAATATGAAGAATCCCTGCAAGATTCTACACAAGAAGATTATCCTCAAGACATATAATCATCAGATTTTCCAAGGCTGAAATGAAAGAAAGAATGTTAAAGGCAGCTAGAAAGAAAGGGCAGATCACCAACAAAGGGAACTCCATCAAGCTAATGGCAGACTGCTCAGCAGAAACCCTACAAGCCAGAAGAGACTGGGGGCTTATATTCAACATTTCTAAAGAAAAAATCTTTAAGCAACATGCCTAAAGAAAAAATCTTTAACCAAGAATTTCATATCCCGCCAAACTAAGCTTCCTAAGCAAAGGAGAAATAAGATCCTTTTCAGATAAGCAAATGCTGAGACAGTTCATTACCACCAGACCAACTTTATAAGAGATCTTGAAATAAGCACTAAGTATGGAAAGGAAAGGCTGTTACCAGCCACTACTAAAACACACTTAAGACACTATAAAGGAACCATACAAACAAGCTGGCATAATAACCAGCTAACAACACAATGACAGGATCAAATCTACACACATCAATACTAACCTTGAATGTAAAGAAGCTAAATGCCCCATTTAAAAGGTGCGGATAAGCTGGATAAAAGAGGAAGACCAAATGGTGTGCTGTCCTCAAGGGATCCATCTCACATGCAATGATACACATAGGCTCAAAATAAAGGGATGGAGGAAAATCTATCAAGCAAATGGGAATCAGAAAAAAGCAGGGATTGCAACCCTAATTTCAGACAAAACAGACTTTAAACCAACAAAGATCAGAAAAGACAAAGAAGGGTATTACACAATGGTAAAGAGTTCAATTCAACAAGACCTAACTATCCTAAATATACATGCACCCAACACGGAAGCATCTGGATTCATAAAGCAAGTTCTTAGAGACCTAGAAAGAGCTTAGACTCTCACACAATAATAGTGGGAGATATCAATACTCAACTGACCGTATTACACAGATCATCAAGGCAGAAAATTAACAGATATTCAGAACCTGAACTCAACATTAGAGCAAATGGATCTGATAGACCTCTACAGAATGCTTCACTCAGCAACCACAGAATATACATGTTTCTAATTGCCACATGGCACATAACTCAAATAAACCACACAATTAGACATAAAATGCTTCTCAGCAAATGCAGATGAACCTAAATTATACCAAACACACTCTTGGAACACAGCACAATAAAAATAGAAGTCAAGACTAAAAAAATTCCTCAAAACCATGCAATTACATGGAAATTAAACAATATGCTCCTGAATGTCTTTGGGGCAAATAATATAATTAAGGCAGACATCAAGAAATTCTTTGAAACTAACGAGAACAAAGATACAGCATACCAGAATATCTGGGGCACAGGTAAAGTAGTGTTAAGAGGGAAATTTATAGCTCTAAATACCCACATTGAAAAGTTAGAAAGATCTCAAATTAAAAACCTAACATCACACCTGAAAGATGAGAAGTAAAAGCAAATCAACCCCAAAGCTCACAGAAGATAAGACATAACCAAAATCAGAGCTGAACTGAAGGATATCGAGACACACACAAAAATTTAAAAGATCAACAAATCTAGGAGCTGGTGTTTTGAAAAAAACTAATAAGTTAGACCACTACCTAGACTAATACAGAAGAAAAGAGAGAAGTTTCAAATAAACACAATTATAAATGACAAAGGGGATGTTACCACTGACCCTACAGATATAAAAATAACCATCAGAAGCTACTAGAAACACCTCTATGCACACAAACTAAAAAACATAGAAGAGATTGATACATTCCTGGACACATATACCCTCTCAAGACTGAACAAGGAAGAAACTGATTCCCTGAACAGACCAATCATGAGCTCTAAAATTGAATCAGTAATAAACAGCCTACCAACCAAAAAATGCCCAACATCAAATGGATTCACAGCCAAACTCCACCAGATGTACAAAGAACTGGTACCATTCCTACTGAAACCATTCCAAGAAAATGAGGAGGAGGGACTCCTCTCCAATGCATTCTATGAGGCCAGCAACATCCTGACAGCAAAACCTGGCAGAAACACAACAACAACAAAACAAACTTCAGGTCCATAACCTTAATGAACACTGTTATGAAAATTTTCAACAAAATACTTGCAAGCTGAATCCAGCAGCACATCCAAAAGCTAATCCACCCCGATCAAGTAGGCTTCATCCCCAGGATGCAAGGCTGATTCAACATACGGAAATCAGTAAATGTGATTCATCACATAAACAGAACTAAAGACAGAAAACACATAATTATCTTAATAGATGCAAAAAAGGCTTTTGATAAATTCAACACCCCTTCATGTTAAAAACTCTCAATAAATTAGGTATCAAAGGAACATACCTCAAAACAATAAGAGCTATCTATGGCAAACCCACTGCCAACATCATATTGAATGGGGAAAAGCTGAAAGCGTTTCCCTTGTAAACCAGCACAAGACAAGGATGCCCTCTCTCACTACTCCTGTTCAACATAGTATTGGAAGTTTTGCCAGAGCAGTCAGGCAAGAGAAAGAAATAAAGCGCATTCAAATAGGAAGAGAGGAAGTCAAACTATCCCTATTTGTAGACAACATGATTCTATATCTAGAAAATTCCATAGTATCAGGCCCAAAGCTCCTTTATCTGATAAACAACTTCAGCAAAGTTTCAGGGTACAAAATCAATGTAAAAAAACACTAGCATTTCTATACATCAACAGCCAAACCAAGAGCCAAATCAGGAACAGAATCCCATTCATAATTGCCAAAAAAAGAATAAAATACCAAGAAATACAGCTAACCAGGAAGGTCAAAAATGTCTACATTGAGAATTATAAAACACTGCTTAAAGAAATCAGAGATGACACAAACAAATGGAAAAACATGCTCATGAACAGGAAGAACCCTTGTCATTAAAGTGGCCATACTACCCAAAGAAATTTACAGATGCAATGCTATTCCTATCAAACTACCAATGACATTGTTCACAGAATTAGAAAAACTATTTTCAAGTTCATATGGAACCAAAAAAGCCTGAATAGCTAAGGCAATCCTAAGGAAAAAAACAAAGTTGAGGCATCACATTACCCAACTTCAAACTGTACTACAGGGCTACAGTAACCAAAACAGCATAGTGCTGGCACAAAAATAGACACATAGACCAATGGAACAGAAGATAGAACCTAGAAATAAGGCCACACACCTACAACCTTCTGATCTTTGACAAAGCTGACAAAAACAAGCAATGGAAAAGCATTCCCTATTAAATAAATAATGCTGGGATAACTGGCTAGCCATATGCAGAAGACTGAAACAGGACCCGTTCCTTACACCATATACAACAATTAGCTAAAGATGGATTAAAGACTTAAACGTAAAACCTAAAACTATAAAAACCCTGAAAAACTACCTCAACAATACTATTCTGGATAATATCCAGAATACTATTCTGTAATATATCCAGAATACTACTATCCAGAATAGTACTATTCTGGATATATATAACTGGCATAGATTGTCATCAAATCTGGGGAAACCTCTTTCAAAATCCTTTCATAGCTGTAAGACTTCTTGGGCAGGGACTAATCTTAAACATGCTCCCAGTTGATAACACACATTAACCTGTTTTCCATAATGTCTTTATTGTAGTATCATGTTAGGAAGTTTGTATAAAATTCATTAATGTCAGAATTTTGGATCAAATCAGCAAAAAACATTTAAACATTTTTCCAATATGTTTATACTATTCCTTTCTCTTCTCTAATTAGATTATCAAAGAACCTGCTCACTGTTTCTACTTGAAAATTTCCTCTTTTTCTGAATGAATTATTGCTTTTGGTAAAATTTATTTTTTTTCATTACTCTTTGGTTCTTGATGTCAGAATAATTTGTATTGGTTTTATTACTCATCTTTATAATTTCAGTTTGTTATAAATCTTTAGTTTCAGTAGTCTTTCAATTCTTTAATAAGTAAAATCAGCAATTAAAAACAGTTCCCTTCATAAACATCTAAATCAGGAGTTTGTGAAATATTTATTTATTGCCAAATACTTTTGGATCCACTTTTCTATAACACCCTTGTGTAGTACTTAAGGGAAGAGTTCACACATGGAGAAACTGAGCTTAAAAGGCATTTCATATCATATATTTTGTCAGCAGTGGTATAGCTGAGAAAAGAAGTTACATTACTCACAGTATTCTTGAATTTTGTCCTTCCTAAGGACAAACTGCCAGAGCATTAACCATTGTCATTATTTAGAGATTTTAGAATTACAGTGCCTAGTTTTCATTCTATGGGGCTGATCTAAGATTTGAGAAGTTAATCTAAAAGTACAAGTTTTCAGCTAGGCGTGGTGGCTCATGCCTGTAATCCCACTACTTTGGGAGGCTGAGGTGGGCGGATCACTTGAGGTCAGGAACTCGAGACCAGCCTGGCCAATATGGTGAAATCCTGTCTCTACTAACACAAAAATTGGTCAGGTATGGTGGCAGGAGCCTGTAATCCCAGCTACTTGGGAGGCCGAGGCAGGACAATTGCTTAAACCTGGGAGGTGGAGGTTGAAGTAAGCCAAGATCGTGCCACTGCACTCCAGCCTGGGCAACAGAGCGAGACTCCCTCTCAAAAAGAAAAAAAAAAAAAAAGTAAAATTTCTCACAGGTCACAGTACAAAGATGATAAATTGGTCTAGGATAAGTTCTAGTTTTGCAGTTTCCTCATTTCATAAAAATATTTAATAAGAAGACATTGATTGAAAGGTTTTTCCATAATGTGAAGCCTCAATATATTACCCAAGTCTAGGAACAACTTTTAAAGATGAAAACAGACTTTTGGATATGGGTAAGTTTCAAGTAAAAAATAGTACCAAAAATGGAGATCTGAAACATATATTTTTAATGATTATAGTTTTTAATCTGCTTTTACAAATTATCTTTAGGGCTACTTGAAAATTTGAGTTCTTTGAGTGTCTCAATTAAAGGAATAATCACAAAATTGTAGCAGAGCAAATACTATTTAATAAAAACAGTAAAGCATAAACAACTTTAAGTAAATCTTACCTGGAAATTTTACTAAACATTACATATTTGTAATAATGTTGATTATTAATTTACAAGTTAAATGGGAGGGAGAGAAACAGAGAGAGAAAGAAAGAGACATACACATATACATGCACACACACAGAGAGGTAATTATTAATTAATTATTAAATGTATGCAGGTTTCTACTCTAATTAGGCTGAGATTATTGATCCTCCTTGATGGATGTTAATGGGGTTTAAAATGAATACTTTATTAAATCGTTTACTGATATTTGGGGATTACCACAGAAACCTTAGAAAGAGAAAGCATTCACTGAAATTTCTAGTGTGCATTTTCTGAGAGACTCCTTCAGCACAAAGGGGCTCACAGATACTTTGTCCATGCAATAATAGGCCCATAGCGGATTCTCCATAAATGTTCAATGAATGTATAAATACTATATCTGTGCTATCTCAACCCCAAGTGTATTTCAGTTGAACACATGCACACAGAGGGTCTTAATAGCCTTAGCTATTATTATTATTATTATAACTTTCAGATCAGTTCTGTCCCCTTATAACTTTTACCAATTGGCCTAAGTTCAAGGCCTTGAGATCAAAAATGGCAAATCTAAACTTTTCTACCCATTCAAATGTGAAAAGACAATTATTGTGACCTCAGACACTTTCTGGTCCTTTCACCATATGGTAACAATGTTTTTGATGATCTAAAGCTTAAAACGCATAGAAGAGTATCCTTGTCCTATTAGATTAAAATAGGCTTTTTTTTTCCTATTTTCTCCTTAAAAAATAGTTTTTTTTTTTCCCTAAAACCAAAATAAGTTTTATTTCCTAAATATAGCCAGAGGCAAGCATATATTGAAGGCAGCTAATTTAATCTCAAGGAAACAAATTTTTCCTTATTTGCCATAGAAAGCACAAGTATCACCACCACATTTTAAGGAACTTTGAGTCTGTGGGAAATTATATCTTACTAGAGGGAGTTCTGTGTTCTTTCATAGGGTCATGTAATATTTTAATTGGAAATCCGGCAGAGTTGGCTTGTTTAAAAGGTCAGGTGCCTCTGCTTAGCACTTGTATTATTGTGAAGTGATTTTGAGGTTCTCAACCTGAAGAGATTTGGTTTGCATTGCAGAATGTTCTCAGACTTTGGAAAAGGTTTGCAAATATGTTCTGAATATTTGAAAGGTCCCTAGGATAAATTGCCATTGAATTTGTTTAGGTCACTATGAAAGATGAGTTAATAAAAGGAGGGCTGACTTCCAATTTAGTTGGAGTAACTCATTAAGCGAAGACAGCATGCTATTAGATAATTGCAAATTGTTTAGCCATGACCATTGGATTAAAAACAGAGCAATGTGTTTTTATATACTTGTATGTGAGTAGAATATTGCTTTCATGGAAGTGATCAGTCTAACAGGGCATGTGCAAGAGACATCATGGAAATGCCAGAAATGTCATGGGCATGCACTCACTGAATTTCTCTCTCCCTCCTTAACTCCCTCACCCACTTCCTTGTCTTGGTTATACAAAGGCAGAAATGTGTTCTCCTGTGCTATATATTGAGGTCATTAGACCCAGTGACCAGATTAAGTAATTTGTTTAGGTTTCACCTAATGTGGCTATGCAGGATTTGGTGGAAACTTCTCAATGCTTGGCTCTCTCCCACAGAAAGAGCTAGTTGTTGCAAATGTGCAAAAAGACATCTCTTGGATGTATACTTAAGTGAAGGAAGTTCCTTTCTCTTTTCTAGCCATGGTATATGTGTACTTTATACATCCCTAGTAATGGCAGGGTTTAGGCAGAAACATTTGGCCTGGAGCAGCTAGCTTTCCTCCTGAATGATGCCTTAGCAAATACTGCAGAAAGGAAGAAAGCACTATGTATAATCTGGGGAACTGGATACACCCTTTTCTGGTAGCTATTCAAACTGGACAAAGGCTGACCTTTCTCTCCACAAATAGGTCAGCCCACAGAGTGTTTTATTTCTCCATTATGTCCTGGAACTGCTACTCTTCCTCCCTCATCTTCTTATCCCCGTGAACATGAAATCTAGCACTTTCCATCGAGAACCTTAAACAGCATGAAAAGCTTTCCCCAAATCAATGTCCTTCCAGGGTCATAGGTGAATACACTTCCCAGTGTGCCTGTGGTCCAGAAGCTGCCCTTGTGGCCCTGGGGCAATCTACCCATGATTATGTTGGAGGGTGAAACAGATTGACCACAGGTAGTGTTTTGTTGTTAATTTTGCAAGGAGATTCTGAGAGGCTTTACATGTATCTGACAATTACCTAAAATGCTGCTCAATGTAATGATGTGTTGCGAAGTGGAAAATGCTGAGGGGGTCATTTAGCAATCATGTCCTGATAGTATTCTTTCAGCAGATTATAGGTTTCTTCCTTTCTCTTTAAAGTAATGTATAGAAGTAAATATAACAACTTTTCACAGCAACAGCAAATACATATCCAGATTACAACAGGTCTTTATCAGCGTTAAACAATTAGAAAAATTATTTGAGAAGAGGTCTTTTTGATGTGTCCCGGGTTTTCATTAATAAACCCCAGAGGGATGTGCATGCATCTTCCCCGTAAATACAGTTTTTGAGCTCTTCAATGTACACAGGTGTAAGTTCTTATGCTCATACATGTTCCATTATTTCTCACAATTCCTTGTCAAAATTATCTTTGAAAATAAGAGGATATAAATCTGTGAATTTAACACTTAATTGTCATTCTAGGCTGTCCACTTTTATTAGAGATTGCTTAAATATTCAAGACTGTCTCCAACTCTGAAAATCAGTAATGCTCAAGGATACCAAGCTGAAGTCTTAACTTGCTTGAAAGTGATATCTTCCAAATTTCATCTTAGCTTTTTTTTTTAAAAAAAGAGATTGATGTTAGAAACTCTTAAAAATGTTTTTATTTAAATATACAGTTCTATTTTATTGTTTATGAATTAACGATGCAATCAAATTGAGTTTTGACTAAAAAATAAATGTCATTAGTATTGGATAAATAATCTTATTATTTTTAATCACTAATATAAATTAAATGTGTGATCAGATGCCTATCTGGAATCTCTAACTCAATTTTCCTCTTACTTAGTTTAAATCTGTTTTTAAAACAATAAACCATGCCAAGTAGTTTTACTTTCCTTAAATATCATATAAAAATGTATTTCTATTTTCTGAAACTTGATCAAGCATACTGTGAAAGAACGTTTAATTCCCATTCCTCCTTGAAAGTTAAATAAAAGCTATAAAGATTTCCTTCTTCGTTTGCTGTTTTGGTTTTGTACTGAAATCCCACGGACCATATTATTTACTGAATCAGGTCCTCAGAATAATCCACTGTTTACCAAGGCATGTAAACATGGTTTCTAGTTAATAGGTGCTATTTACTGAAGAGAACCACCGTTTATACAGCACAACACAGTTACAAGAGATGCTTTCTATCATGTGAAGAAAAGTTTCTCACCAGATTATTATGTTTTTCTGATTTTTTCTGGATAGTGGGTGGGGAGAATTAGTGGGCTGGAGAAAGATTACAAGTTCAATAGCATAAATGATGTGTGTAAATAGCACAGGGTACTTTTATGCTGCCAAACATTCATAGAAGATTGCATTATTAAGCTAAAAACTTGTAAGCTTTTAAACACAAATTGGCAAAATGTCTAAACAGGCCATTCTTATATGTATTGATCTAAAGCTATGTGGTGAAATATCCAATTTGTTTATTTTTGGTTGTCTTCATGTTAGAATATGATAATTATTATAGTCAACATTTATTGAATACTTATTATGTGTCAGATACTGTTTAAGGGCTCCAGATGCATTATCAATTTATTTACTCATTGACATGGTTTTGCTGTGTCCCTACCCAAATCTCATCTTGAATTGTAGTTCCCATAATCCCCATGTGTTGTGGGAGGGATCAGGTGGAGATTATTGCATCACGGGGGTATCTCCCATCCTGTTCTCATGATAGTGAGTGAGTTCTCATGAAATCTGATGGTTTTATAAGCGGCTTCCCCCTTCACTGGGCACTCATTTCCTCTCCTTGCTGCTGCCATGCGTTTGCTTCAGCTTCCACCATAATTGTAAGTTTTCTGAGGCCTCCCCAGCCCTGTGGAACTGTGATTCAACTAAACCTCTTTCTTTATAAATTACCCAGTCTCAGGTATTTCTTCACAGCCGTGTGAGAACAGACTAATACACTCATACCCAATCTTCCATGCATTATTTTTAGTCTCATTTGTATGAGGAAATAGGACTTGACAGCAATTTGCATAAAAAGGTAAAAAATTGTGCTCTCCAAATGTTCAGTATTTGTCTCATTTATTTTTCATTTTTGTCATTCATAAATAAGAACACTTCCTAAGGTTTTGTTTGAAATGCTCTTTGATTTGCTGCTTCTATTCCCTCCTCTTGTAAGCTCATTCACTCACAAAGTCTGCTGTCCATGTCAATTACTTCACAGGTCTTATTGCTCCTTCACTCTTTTCTCTCCCTTTCCTGCCTCCCACACCCAGCTCAAGAGCAGTGCTGGAGCTTCTAATGATACAATGAAAATTTTTACATGGGCACAGCCACTGCTCAGGTCAACTTGATGGTCACCATAGGATAATGTTGCTCTAGTGTTGTCATAGTCTAGATTTTTTAATGAGAAGATAAAAATCAAAGTTTTTATACAAAATCTTTGACATTAGAATAATGGCTCAAGTTTAGGGGAAAAATCTGTGAACTCCCTTTGCCTCCAAAAACAATATGTCCTTGGGGATATATAGGCTACAAGTTCGAGGTCTCCATTTGGACTCCAGTCAGTACTTAGCTCAGTGCTCATGCTTGTAGGTGTTAATAAACATCAGCTATGCTTCCAATTAGAAAACCTTCAATCCTACAAATTTAAAACCTCAAATATGTAAAAGAAAAGCCATACAACATTACAAAAGCCACTGACTTCAATAATTAAAAAATTAATTTAAGGACAATCAAAGTCTCTATTATAAGTCTTTTTGTTTTTTTATCTTTCTGCTTCTCTAGTCATATTTCTTGTTCTTTTAGTTCATTTAGGAGCATTCTTTAGGGACACTAGTTTAACTAAGAATTCAGTGGACATAATTTCAAAGAGAAAAGCAGAGAGAACTAAAGATTCAACAATGATGATTCGATTTGCTGTGTGGTCCACTCAGAGAAAAATCTCCAAATAAAACATAGCAAATGCTTACAGGTATGTCAGTTTGCCTCTGTGGCCTTCAACACCCCTCTGTCAAATGTGATTCTCACCTGTGCCTAGTATCCTTTAATCTTTCCTTTGGTCACATTCAGGACTCAAAATAGGAAGAAGATATGCAGGGGGAGATTATTGTTAATTTTTATCAAGACTCTTACCCAGAGCTTGCTGTCTTTGAGCTCACAGGAGTTCTTTCAGGGCCTATGTCTAAGACTGGATAGGCTAATAGTGTTTGATATTTGCCTTCTCTCTAGGTCAGCTTGGGTTGCTATAGCAGAAAATCACATGTTGAGTGGCTTAAACTACAAACATTTATTTCTCACCTTTATGGAAGCTGAAAGTCCAAGATTGAGGTGGCAACATAGTTGAGTTCTTGGTGAGGGACCTTCCCTGGTTTCTAGATGGCTGGTTTTTTGCTGTATCCTCCCATGGAGGGGAGTGGGAGAGACAGAGAGGGGGGAGAGAGAGAGAGAGAGAGAGAGAGAAAGAGAGAGAGATCACTTTGGTCTTTCCATGCTCTTTAAGGGCACCAATCTCATCAAAGGTGCCCCACCTCCATGACCTCCTCTAAACCCAATTACCTCCCAAAGGCCCCACCCGTCACACTGGGGATTAGGACTTCAACATAGCATTTTGGGGGTCACAAATATTCAGTCCACAGCACTTTCCATTGGAAAGTAGTAGAGACATTAAACTTAATCAGTTTGTGAATCTGAGTGTTACTGTTTCTCTTGTGTCTCAGTTTCCTCATCTTTAGAATAGGGATAATAATTTCACACACCTTATAGGTTTTTTGTGAGCATTGAAGAAGTTAATATATGCAAAAAGCCCTTGGCATAGTGGCTGCCACAGGTTAGTATTTGATAAGTGCTGGCTATTACTACCCACAGACCACAGTAAGAATACACCCACCCAGCTAGATACCACACATCAGAAACAACATCTTCCTTGCTCTTTTTTTGTGTGTTGAGAGCAGCCAAATAACTGAGGTCATGGCAAAATATTTGGTGGAAAACTCTAAACCAATGTTTGCAATCTGGGTGGAACTGAAAAAGTGTTCTATGTTTTGCTGTCCTGGTTAAGTCTGCAGTCACATTTACAAGCTATTCGCTCTTTCTCACAGGCTCTGGTCCAAGCAGTTATGTAGAACAACTAGGCAAGTCTTCATCGAGAGTTGCCCACTCAGAGAACATGAATTCCAGGGTGATCATGAGAGGTGGTGGGTGTGATTCTTCGGGTTGTATCATGAAAAGGGTATTGAAGCTGCAGCCTCAAGGCCTTACTGTGCAGCTTGTGTTCAAATGTTTTTTGCACATCTGGGGAGTGGGAAGAGGAGGGCAAGAGAGAAAGCTGGATGTTAGAGAAGAGAATAGATGCTAAACATTCTTCAACAGAAGACCCCAGCAAGAGATTTGACACAGCAGCTATTCCTGAGTTATTTAGACTGTCTTGTT
Organism: Homo sapiens; assembly: GCF_000001405.40. Taxonomy (NCBI): domain Eukaryota; kingdom Metazoa; phylum Chordata; class Mammalia; order Primates; family Hominidae; genus Homo; species Homo sapiens. The sequence goes on from NC_000005.10 coordinate 82,577,676, forward strand.
AGTATGTAGAAAATAAAAACAATGCTACTGATTTTCCACAGCTTCAATTTCTTTAGTGATTTAATTTGGCTTTGTCATTTACCAAGCAGTTCTTCAATATGTGTGCCTCTGATATTTTTTTCAAGCTGGAAAGTAAAATGGACACTGCTGCTTAAAAATTTTCCTACAAAGACACTTTGAAGAATAATGAATATCAGATAAGTGTTCTCTAAAACCTTAAACTTTTAAATGAATATACTAAAAGATGCTATTCCTAAAGAGCCAGTAAGCTCACAGATTCTCTGCAATATGCTCATTGCTCTTATCTCTGGAATACAAAGCAAAGAATTGAGAAGCTTTTGGTTTTGTTTATTTCTTTCACCTTTGGTATAAACAACACATAGGGAAATATAATCTAGAATTGATATCACATGTCAAATACAGTTTGAAATGATTGGTTAAATTGTGGTTTGGAGAGAGGCTGAGGTGACATTGTTCTTCAACATACAGTCTAAGTTGGTGAGGCCCGTGGTGGGAAAAAGAATGCATTATTCTTTAATATCTTTGATAAAAATTATAGCTTTTGGCTAGGGAAATGTTCCAGATTAAAGGACACTAAACTGAGGCAGGAGAATTGCTTGAACCAGGGAGGTTGCAGTGAGCCGAGATCATGCCACTGCACTCCAGCCTGGACGACAGAGCGAGACTCCATCTCAAAAATTAGAAAGAAGGACACTAAAGAGATTGGACTAAAGAGATATGGTAATGTGAAATGCTAGACTAGATGCTGTAGTAGAAGAAAAAATCCTATAAAGAACATTATTGGGTCAATTTAGAAAATTGGAAAAGGACACCCAATTAAAGGATAGTATCAATAATGTACAATTACAGTAAAGTTTATAGCTGTACAGTTCATGTAAGAACATATCCTTATTCTTAAAAAAAAATTGAAGTATTTAAAGGTAAAGACCCATGATGTATGCAACTTACATTCAAATGATGTAGAAAAAATATTGCATCTATTTTTATAGATGTGCATATATATAAATGTATGCAAATGCACACATATAAATACACACACATATGTATGTGTGCATGTGTATGTGTGTGTGTATATAAATATCAGATAAGTGTTCTCTAAAATCTTAAACGTTTAAATGAATATACTAAAGGATGCCATTCCTAAAGAGTCTCAACAAGCTCACAAAGGGTGAACTTCACCTTCAAATGGCCTTTGTGTATGTGTGTGTATATATATATGTGTGTGTGTGTGTACACACACACATACAGTTTTTTTTAAGTTTCAGGGTACACGTGCAGGTTTGTTACATAGGTAAATATGTGCCATCGTGGTTTGCTGCACCTATCAACCCATTACCTAGGTATTAAGCCCAGCAAGCATTAGCTACTTTTCCTAATGTTCCTAATGTTCTCCCTCTCCTACCCTACTTCCCAACAGGCCCCAGTGTGTGTTGTTCCCTTCCCTGTGTCCATGTGTTCTCATTGTTCAGTTCCCACTTATAAAGCGGAATATGTGGTGTTTGGTTTTCTGTTCCCACCTTAGTTTGCTGAGGATGATGGCTTCCAGCTCCATCCATGTCCCCGCAAAGGACATAATCTCATTCCTTTTTATGTCTGCATAGTATTCCATGGTGTATATGTACCACATTTTCTTTATACAGTCTATCAATTATGGGCATTTGGGTTGATTCCATGTCTTTGTTATTGTGAATAGTGCTGCAGTGAACGTATGCATGTATGTATCTTTTTAAATTTTTATTTATTTTTATTTTTTGAGTTGGAGTTTCACTCTCATTCCCCAGGCTGGAGTGCAATGGCACAATCTTGGCTCACCACAACCTCCACCTCCCAGGTTCAAGTGATTTTCCTGCCTCAGCCTCCCGAGTAGCTGGGATTACAGGCATGTGCCACCATGCCCAGCTAATTTTGTATTTTTAGTAGAGATGGGGTTTCTCCATGTTGGTCAAGCTGGCCTTGAACCCTCGACCTCAGGTGATCTGCCCACCTTGGCCTCCCAAGTGTGTATGTTTCTTTGTAATAGAATGATTTCTATTCCTTTGGGTATATACCCAGTAATGGGATTACTAGGTCAAATGGTATTTCTGGTTCTAGATCTTTGAGGAATTGCCACACTGTCTTACACAATGGCTGAACTAATTTACCTTCCCATGAATCGTGTAAAAGCATTCCTATTTCTCCACAATCTCACCAGCATCTGTTATTTCTTGACTTTTTAATAATCATAATTCAGACTGGAGTGAGATGGTATCTAATTTGGATTTTGATTTGTATTTTTCTAATGATCAGTGATGTTGAGCTTTATTTCATGTGTTTTTTGGCCACATGAATGTCTTCTTTTGAGAAGTTTCTGTTCATGTTCTTTGCCCACATTTTAATGGGCTTTTTTTTTCTTGTAAATTTGTTTAAGTTCCTTGTAGATTCTGAATATCAGACCTTTGTCAGATGAAGAGATTGCAAACATTTTCTCCCACTCTGTAGGTTGCTTGTTCACTCAGATGATACTTTCTTTTGCTGTGCAGAAGCTCTTTAGTATAATTAGATTCCATATGTCAATTTTTGCTTTTATTGCAATTGCTTTTGGTGATTATGTCATGCAATCTTTGTTTGCACCTATGTCCTGAATGGTATTGCCTAGATTTTCTTCTAGAATTTTTACAGTTTCGGGTTTTACATTCAGGTAATCCATCTTGAATTAATTTTTGTATAAGGTGTAAGGAAGGGGTCCAGTTTCCATTTTCTGCATATGACTAGCCAGTTCTAACACCATTTATTAAATAAGAAATCCTTTCCCTGTTGCTTGTTTTTGTCAGGTTTGTTGAAGATAGATGGTTGTAGATATGCGGTCTTATTTCCGAATTCTCTATTTTGTTCCATTGGTCTATATGTCTGTTTTTGTGCCAGTACCATGCTGTTTTGGTTACTGTAGCCTTATAGTATAGTTTGAAATCTGGTAGCATGATGCCTCCAGCTTTGTTCTTTTTGCTTAGGATTGTGTTGGCTATATGTGTTCTTTTTTGGTTCTGTATGAATTTTAAAATAGTTTTTTTCTAATTCTAAGAAGAATGTCAATGATAGTTTAATGGGAATACCATTGAATCTATAAATTACTTTGGGTAGTATGGCCATTTTCATGATACTGATTCTTCCTATCCATAAGCATGGAATTTTTTCCATTTGTTTGTGTCCTCTCTGGTTTCCTCAAGCAGTGGTTTGTAGTTCTTCTTGAAGAGGTCCTTCACTTTTCTTGTTAGCTCTGTTCCTAGGTATTTTATTCTCTTTGAAGCAATTGCAAATGGGAGTTCATTCATGATTTGGTTCTCTGCTTGCCTGTTTTTGGTGTATAGGAATACCTGTGACTTTTGCACATTGATTTTGTATCCTGAGACTTTGCTGAAGTTGCTTATCAGCTTAAGAAACTTTTGGGCTGAGACCTGGGGTTTTCTAGAGACAGGATCATGACATCCGCCAACAAAGACAATTTGACTTCCTCTCTTCCTATTTGAATACCCTTTATTTCTTTCTCTTGCCTGACTGTTCTGGTTTGAACTTCCAATACTATGTTGAATAGAAGTGGTGAGAGAGGGCATTCTTGTCTTGTGCCAGCTTTCAAGAGGAATGCTTCGAGCTCTTGCCCATTCAGTATATTGGCTGTGGGTTTGTCAGAAATGGCTCTTATTATTTTGAGGTATGTTCCTTCAATACCTAGTTTATTGAGAGTTTATAATATGAAAGGATGTTGAATTTTATCAAAGGCCTTTTCTGTGTCTATTGAGATAATCATGTGGTTTTGTCTTTAGATCTGTTTATGTGATGAATTAAGTTTATTGATTTGCATATGGTGAACCAGCCTTGCATCCTGGGGATGAAGCCAACTTGATCGTGGTGGATAACCTTTTGATGTGCTGCTATATTCAGTTTGCTAGGATTTTATTGAAAATTTTTGCAGCGATGTTCATCAGGAATATTGGCCTGAAGTTTTTGTTGTTGTTCTATCTCTGCCAGGTTTTGGCATCAGGGTAATGCTGACCTCATAAATGAGTTAGGGAGAAGTCCCACCTTTTCAATTGTTTGGCATAGTTTCAGAAGAAAGGGTATCGGCTCCTCTTTGTACTTCTGTTAGAATTCAGCTGTAAATCCATCTGATCTTGGGCTTTTTTTGTTGTTGTTGGTTGGTAGGCTATTTATTACTGCCTCAATTTCAGAACTTGTTATTGGTCTATTCAGGGATTCAACTTTTTCCTGGTTCAGTCTTGGGTGGGTGTATGTGTCCAGGCATTTATCCATTTCTTCTAGACTTTTTAGTTTATTTGCACAGAGGTGTTTACAGTATTCTCTGGTGGTTGTTTGTATTTCTGTGGGGACAGTGGCGATATCCCCTTTATCATTTTTTATTGTGTCTATTTGATTATTCTCTCTTTTCTTCTTTATTAGTCTAGCTAGCAGCCTATCTGTTTTATTAATTTTTTCAAAAAAACAGCTCCTGTATTCATTGACTTTTTTGAAGGGTTTTTCATGCCTCTCTCTCCTTCAGTTCTGCTCTGAGCTTGGTTATTTCTGGTCTTCTGCTAGCTTTTGTGTTTGTTTGCTCTTGGTTCTCTAGTTCTTTTAGTTGTGATGTTAGGGCATCAATTTGAGATCTTTCTAGCTTTCTGATGTGGGCATTTAGTGCTATAAATTTTCCTCTTAAAACTGCTTTAGCTGTGTCACAGAGATTCTGGTACATTGTTTCTTTGTTTTCACTGGTTTCCAAGAACTTCTTGATTTCTGCCTTAATTTCATTATTTTCCCAGGAGTCATTCAGAGGCAGGTTGTTCAGTTTCCATGTAGTTGTGTGGTTTTGAGTGAGTTTCTTAATATTGAATTCTAATTTGATTGTGCTGTGGTCTGAGAGACTATTTGTTATAATTTCAGTTCTTTTGCATTTTGCTGAGAAGTGATTTACTTCCAATTATGTGATCAATTTTAGAGTAGTGCCATACAGTGCTGAGAAAAATGTATATTATGTTGTTCTGGGGTGGAGAGTTCTGTAGCTATCTATCAGGTCCACTTGATCCAGAGCTGAGTTCAAGTCCTGAATATCCTTGATAATTTTCTGTCTTGATGATCTGTCTAATATTGACAGTGGGATGTTAAATTCTCCCACTATTATTGTGTGGAAGTCTAAGTCTCTTTGTAGGTCTCTAAGAACTTGTTTTATGAATCTGGGTGCTCTTGTGTTGGGTGAATATATATTTAGGATAGTTAGCTCTTCTTGTTGAATTGACCACTTTAGCATTATGTAATGCCCTTCTTGGTGTCTTTTGATCTTTGTTGATTTAAAGTCTATTTTGTCAGAAACTAGGATTGCAACCCCTGCTTTTTTCTGTTTTCCATTTGCTTAGTAAACTTTCCTCCATCCTGTTATTTTGAGCCTATGTGTGTCTTTGCACATGAGGTGGCTCTTTAGAAGATAGCATACTGATGGGTCTTGGCTCTTTATCCAGCTTGCCATTCTGTGTCTTTCAATTGAGGCATTTAGCCCACTTACATTTAAGGTTAGTATTGTTATGTGTGAATTTGATCCTGTCATCACGATGCTAGCTGGTTATTTTGCAGACTAGTTAATTGTTGGGAACAGGCCCCCAAATCTGGCCATAAACTGGCCCCAAAACTGGCCATAAACAAAATCTCTGCAGCACTGTGACGTGTTCGTGATGGCCACGACACCCACGCTGAAGGTTGTTGGTTTACCGGAATGAGGGCAAGGAACACCTGGCCCACCCAGGATGGAAAACCACTTAAAGGTGTTCCTAAACCACAAACAATAGCATGAGCGATCTGTTCCTTAAGGACATGTTCCTGCTGCAGATAACTGGCCAGAGCCCATCCCTTTGTTTCCTGTAAGGAATACTTTTAGTTAATCTATAATCTATAGAAACAATGCTTATCACTGGCTTGCTGTCAATAAATATGTGGGTAAATCTCTGTTTGTGGCTCTCAGTTCTGAAGGCTGTCAGCCCCCTGATTTCCCACTCCACACTCTATATTTCCATGTGTGTGTCTTTAATTCCTCTAGTGCCGCTGGGTTAGGGTCTCCATGACTGAGCTGGTCTCGGCAGTTAATGTAGTTGCTTCATAGTGTCACTGGTCTGTGTGTTCCTCTCTAAACTGGTTATTCTGGTTAACAGCTCCTATACTGTTTTATCATGCCTCTTAGCTTCTTTGCAGTGAGTTAGAACATACTTCTTCAGCTCAGCGAAGTTCATTATTACCCATCTTCTGAAGCCTACTTCTGTCAATTCATTTATCTCAGTCTCAGCCCAGTTTTGTGCCCTTCCTGGAGATGTGTTGTGATCATTTGGAGGAGAAGAGGTACTCTGGCTTTTTGAGTTTTCAGCATTTTTTAAAATTGATTCTTTCTCATCTTCATGAGTTTATCTGCTTTTGATCTTTGAGGCTGCAGACCTTTGGGTGGGGTTTTTGTGGGGTCTTTTTCATTGATGTTGTTGCTTTGTGTTTTTCTTTTAGCAGTCAGGCTGCTCTACCATAGGGCTGCTGCGGTTTGCTGGGGGTCCACTCCAGACCCTAATCGCCTGGGTTTCTCCTGCCCCTGGAGGTATCACCAGTGGAGGCTGCATAACAGCAAAGATAGCACCTCTTCTTTCTCTGGGAGCTCTGTCCCAGAGGGGCACCAACCTGATGCTGGCTGGAACACTCCCATATGTGGTGTCTGGAGACCCCTTGTTGGGAGGTCTTACCCAATCAGGAGGAGGGGGATCAAGAACCCACTTAAATAAGCAGTCTGGCTGCCCCTTGGCAGAGTGGGTATGCTGTGCTGAAGGAAATTTTCCTTGTCCGGGCTGCCCTGACTCTCCAGGGCTGGCAGGCAGAAAAGAGTAAGACCACTGATCTACAATCCTGTAGCCACCCCTTCTCCTAGTGGCTCATCTCAGGGATATCAGAGATCTGTCCATAACCCCCTGACTGGGGATGCTGAAATTCCTGCAGGGGGACTTCCCTGGTGAGGAGGAATGGATCAAGGTCCAGCTTAAAGAAGCAGTCTGGCCATGAACTGTCCCAGCCGCTGTGCTGTGGGGGAATTGCTCCCAGTCCAAACTGCCCAGTCTCACTGGCACCGGTGGCAGGGGAAAACAGCCAACTGGAGCTGCAGTGATGCTGGCTGCCCCTACCCCCCAGAACTCAGTGTTCTTGGGCAGTCTCCAGCCTGCTGTGCTGGCCAGTGGGGATTTCAAGCCAGTGAGTTTTAGCTTGTGGGGTTCCGTGGGTGTGGGGCCCGCTGAGTGAGGCTGCTTGGCTCCCTGGTGTCAGCCCCCTTTCCATGGGAGTGGATGGATCTCCTGCCTCACTGAGCTCCTGGAGCTGGAGTAGGTAAAAACTCCTGCAGCTCTGTGCCTGCTCTGAGCAGCACCCACCTGAGAAGCCGCCATAAGTCTGCACAGCTCTATGCTTTGGATCCAAGGCCCTGGTTGCATGAGCTTATGAGGGGACCTTCTGATCCGTGGGTTGCAAAGATCTGTTGGAAAAGCATGTCTTTCAGTGAGGGGGTAGCACAATCCCTCACCACCTCCCTGGGGTGGGAGAGGGAGCTCCCTTTGCCCCGTGCAGTTCCCAGGTGGGCCCTCGCTCCACCCTGCTTTTCCTGTCTCTCTGTGGGTCGCGCCAACCGCCTAGTCAGTCCCAATGAGAGAACCTTGGTACCTTAATTGAAGATGTAGCATTCACTCACCATTTTCATTCTCAGTGGGAGCCGCAAAGTGGAGCTGTTTCTATTCGGCAGTCTTGGCTGCTCCCCCACATATACAGTTGACCCTTAAACAACATGGGTTTGAACTGTGCAGGTCCACTAATATGCAAATTTTCTTGCTCCTCTCCCACCCCTGAAACAGCAAGAGGAATTTCTCCTCCTTTTCCTCCTCCTCCTCAGCCTATTCAATGTGGAGAGAATGAGGATAAAGACCTTTATGAACATCTACTTCCACTTAATTATAGTAAATATATTTTCTCTTCTTTATGATTTTCTTAATCACATAACCTTTTCTCTTCTCTAGCTTACTTTATTGTAAGAATACAGCATACAATACACGAAATATGTATTAGTTGATGTTATTGTTAAGGCTTTTGGTCAACTGTAGGTTATTAGTAGTTAAGTTTTGGGGGAGTTAAAAGTTATATGTGGATTTTTGACTGTGTGGGGCTCTGTGCCCCTAACCTCCAGGTTGTTCAAGGGTCAGCTGTACACACACACACGAAGAGAGAGAGTGAGCATAAATATAAAGCAAATTTACAATGTTATTAATAAGTGCATCTGCGCTAAGGATATACAGGTCTTCTGTACATTATTATTAATTCTTAGAACTTTTCTCTGTGTTAGATTATTTCCAAATAAAAAGTAAAAAAAAAAAAAAAAAGAATTCAACAACAACCAAAAACAAGACTTTCTAATTTTCAGCATCATATTATTTGGATGGTTTTGGGGATGGTACACTTCACTACATCTTAAGCAAGTTGTTTAAGAAAATATTACAGGCAGAAGGCAAACTTCAATTAACACTCTAAAGCTGGGCCCTTAAAACAGGCAAAAATACATGGGTGGTGTTTACAAGTTGACGAAAGACATACTGTGGTAACAAAGCTGACAGAGTCTTGAATGAGAGCCAGTGGGGCCTATAAGCAGAGGGGCTTCCTGTGCAGGGACTGTGGGTCTTCCTAGATGTCACTGACAAGCATAAGGCTGAGGCTGGGGAGACATGTAAAGGGAAAGGAAGGAGAAAGGAAGCGAAACAGAGGAGGAACATGGAGACAGAAAACAGGAGAGAACTGTGAAAAGCAGCTACTATTCCTTGAGTGCTTACAATGTGCTGACTTTGTTTTTGGCTTATTTACTTGCATTTAATCCCCTCCCCTTGTTCCTAGTAACCTTACAAGGCTCTTGTTACTGTTTCCACAAAAAAAAAAAAAAAAGAAAAGAAAAGAAAAGAAAAAAAACCCTGAGACTCAGAGAAGCGTCTATGCCAGTTAGGCAGTAGTAGAAGCTAATATTTAAACCAAAGTCTGTCTGACCTCAAAACTATTAACCACTATATTATATGCACCCCACCCCGATCCAATGTCTTTGTGGGGAAAGGTAAACAAGGAGTCCTAACTGTTCTCTCAAAGGCCTGTTGGCAGCTCCTTGGCTGGGCCATTGATGTCAATATGTTAAGAACACTCACCTTGACTTTGGCTCTTTCAGCATTAAAATCACTGGAAGTCAATAAAAAACTACATGGTATGTCCCAGGGAGAAGCGTCTTAGATTGCCTATGCCCTTAAGCCAAAAGAAGCAATTCCATTTCTCATGTGGCCCCATGTAGTTCCAACTCCCTTTCCTTCCTTGTTATATAGACATGCACTGTGGGGTGTAAAAAGTTATTTAAGGGCCAAATACTACAGTACAGATGGAAAACCCTTGCCTCATGCAGAAGCAGCTGTGGAGTCCTTGGTATTATTCTTTCTTCTTAGACTGTCTGTTAAAGAAGCCAAGTGAAAATGTACTCTCTGGCATGACAGGCAGATTGTTTAAAGAGCTGCACACATCACAGAAGTATTAACTTGTCTACAAGGTTTTTGATAGGTCAGTAGTAGCTTTCTAGGTAGAGGCAATGATATTCATTTATAAGATGGAGATTTTCAACTTTCAGGTTCTATTTTTCCTACTCCCCAAACATGAAACAAAATTGCAATTCAGCCTGTCTCCTACCATAGTTACGGTCTGTGAGTTCATTTCTGTTTTTCAAAAACCAGGACGCACAAATTTAAGAGGACTATTACTTTTCAAAGACTTAATCCTGCCTTTTTTAAAAGCTAAAGCAAAGCTTATTATGCCCAAAGTGCAGACTGAAAAAAAGAGAATTGGCCAAACCAGCTGTTGTAGGGTGTGTAGCCCATTAAAAGTTATCTTGCTAATAAGAGGTAGTTACAACTTCTTCAGTCTTAGTTTTCTTGCTACTTTTCTATTTGCCAGATTTTAGATCCTTGTGTACAGATAATATATCTCATATATCTAAATGAAATCTTTCTCAAAGAACCAAAAGGATTATTACTACTAATCCCCAGTGTAGGCCCTAAATGCCAATTAGTTTGTCTTTGGTTTTTCATTTGCTGATTGATTGGTTAAGTTTTTATTTATTTGTTTTTCTTTGTTGTTAGTGCAAAGATCAAACAAATACTATAACTAACTAACTAATTAATTAATTTTAAAATGTACTGAACACTTATTCTGGGTTATATATGGTGACGCCATGATTTACTCCCTCCCCCAGAAACTCTCATAGTCTGAAAGGAGAGACAGAGAGTAGACAAACACCACATGAATATAAGTAGTCCTGGCTCTACCTTTAAGGTTGGCTACTCCTTCTCCTTCATTCCAGTGAAAATATCTTCCTAACAGAAAAGAAACACCCAAAAGCAAACTCTCCCTCTGAAGGTATTGCTTCTGATGAGAAAGGGGATTTGGGAGTCAAAGAAGAGAACTGACTTGATGTATGACATGTTCTTCCAGGCTTGTGGTAAGGCATGGACCTAGGAGTCTGTGGTCAGAAGCAGAGGATGGAGTCTCTTCTTATCTGGAGCAGCAAAGCTCTTGGAAATTGGTTGCAATCAAAATTAGGGTGCAGGTAGAGCATTGGAACATTCATTTTAAGCCAACAGAATAAAAAGAACAAGGAATAAATACCTCTGAGAGCTTTATGAGAGATTTTGTCCCAGTCTTCCTTGAGTGCAGAGCAACAGGAGTGATGAAAGGAGAAGTCTAGTTTTCGAGCTATAGTTTTCATTTTCAGAGTTCGAGTAACTGAACTATAAAGAAAAGTGCCCCCATGGAAGGCAAAAATTGGCTGTACTTTACTTTTTTTTTTTTTTATAGTGTAGTTACTCTATGGAAGCCTAACTAGTTTGACAAAGCAAAGAGTAATTGTCTACATATTTACTTCATGGGGAGAAGTATTATTTGGAGCACTTGCTGTAACTTCTTCACATAGGTCTCTGTTTGAGTCATATACAGAAATGTGACTTTGATGTATGGTTCATCAGCCAGAATAAAGGTTGTTTTTGACTTCTTGAAAGATGGTTGTGTGTGGAGACGAGAGGAAAAAATTATTAGTTGTATTTTTGGTTAATTTGAATTTAAATGGTAGAATCATGAACTGAATTTAGAGGCTACTTCAGCCAATGTTTACTGAGAAATTCACCAGATGTTATGTGATTATAGGTGAGCACACGTGTAGAGGATTTTAAACACTAGTTAAAGTCTGAATCCAAAATTATTCTGTAACATGTTTAATTGTTCTTTAAAAGACTCTTAAAACTAAAGAATAATGATGTTTGGGAGGTAAGCTTATCAAGGTCCAATCAGTGAAGCCAGATCTACATGAAGCCTCAAATCAACTTCTTCCTGGTGGGGTTTTAGAATTGTCTTAAATGACAGGAAAAATTGTCCATAACTGCAAGTGGAAGTAGTCATTAAGACAGGCACAAACACCACCAAATAGACCACTTTTAAACTTAAATATGTTTCATTATTGGGCACTATAGTAAACTAGAACTGAACAACAGTGACAGCACTTAAATTTACCAGAAAGTTCACTTTCTGAGAAACTCCTTCCCTTCTCTATTCTCTCATACTTCAACACCTTATATGCGAGACATTAAAGAAAGCAAACTAAGAAAATATGCATCACACCAGACTTGATCATATATGGGAAGTAAGGTGTGGCTGCCAAAGTTTGCAGGTTTGTAGTCGTCCCGAACATATTTGTGCTACTCAGCCAGTCACTTTGATATCATTGAGTCCATGAGGGACATTTAACAAGATCTAACTTGTCCTCTGGTCAGGACCAGAGGACTCTGGCCACATTGTGTCTGGAGCATTCCTCTCTCTTTCCTTGCCCTAATGTCCTCCCCAGTACTAAGCATGGTCTTTTGCTACTGGGGTCTCAACAATGGAAAATGATCCCATGCCTTTTTTGTAAATTTTTCTTCTGCAATTATTTTATTTACAGAACATTTGCAAAGACAGTCAAAGAATCTCTGTATCCCTTCACCTAGCTTTCCCTAACCTTAGCCATTCTATGTATTGCTATTTCATTACGGTTGGAATTTATATTTCCCTAATGACTAATTATGTTGAACATCCTCTCATGTGCTTATTGCCACCTAGATATCTTTTTTTGGTGAAACTTCTCAGAAATACATCCCAGTTTTTTAAATTAGGTTATTTGTTTTCTTATTCAGTTTTGAGAGCTCTCTATATATTCTGGGTATAAGTCAGTTATCACGCAGCTATTTTCTCCCACTGTGTGGTGCTTTTTCTTTTTGTATGTATGAGTTTTGGTTTGATATATCTCTACTATCTGAAGAATTTCTTTTAACATTTGTTATAGAGTACATCTGCAGGTAATGAATTCCATCAGCTTTTATTTGTTTGGCAGAGTCTTTATTTCTCCCTCAGTTTTGAGGGTTGTTTTCACAGGTTATAGAATTCTGGGTTGGTGGTTCACCCCGACCCTGGCCTCTCCTTTCCTCCCCTAGCACTCTAAAGATGTCTTTCCATTGTCTTCTGGTTTACATGATTTCTGATGAGAAATCTGCTGTAATACTTCCCTGTATTCCTTCTTTTCTTCTTGCTTTCAAAATTTTATGTTTGTCTTTTATTTTCAGCAGTTTGAATACAGCAAATGAAGGGGTGTGTGTGTGTGTGTGTGTGTGTTTATCTTGCTGGGTTTTCTATGGCCATCATGTACTTGCATTTGGTGTTTGCCATTAATTTTGGGAAATTCTTGGACTTTTTCTTCAAATATTTCTTCTGCCCTTTTCTTTCTTTCTTCTCCTTTTTGGGATTCCAATTGTGTGTATATTACAAATATCTTTGTTCCCCAGCTCTTGAATATTTTGGTTGTTTTCTTTTTCTCACTTTTGTTTCCCTTTGTGTTACAATCTCAGTAATTTCTGTTGATTTATTTTTACGTTAACTGATGCTTTCATTGGTGGAGTTTAGTTTGCTGATGAGTCTGTCAAAATCATCCTTTAGCTCTGTTCCTGTGCTTTTCATGTTGAACATTTTCATTAGATTCTTTCTTATCTCTCTGATTAAATTACTCATCTGATCTTGCATGTATCTCACTTTTTTCTTTAGAGCATTTAATGTATTAATTATCATTATTTTGAAATTTTCTTTCAGATAGTTCATATAGCTGTGTTTTAGCAAGGTCTGGTTCTGATGGTTGCTTTGCTTTGTGTGTTCTTTCTTTCCTATTTGTATACCTTTTAATATTTTTTGAAAGCTGGATAGCTTGTATAGGACAGAGGAGACTGAGGTAAATAGTTTTTATGCCTGAAAATGGGCATATCTTTCCTTCTGTTGGGTCTTTAACATGGGAATTTGAGTTGGTTTAGTTAAGGGTGGAGCTAAGTTTGATATTTGCTATTGCTGTGATTACCCTCAATACTCCAGATGACTCAAATTTCTTAGTGATGCCTTATGTTTAAGGTGGTGATTCATTATCCAGAGCAATGTCTGTTTGGTCCTGCACCCTAAGTCTTTCCTCTCTACTTTGCCTTACAGTGGGTCTAATTTGCACATTCTTGCTCCTTCAATGGCCTTCTCCCTGCAGTATTCTTATTGTTATTTAAACTTATTTTCTTGGATGACAGTGGAAGAGAGCATTCTCTATTGTTATAAATTTCAGGCTTATGTAGAATTTTAGGAGTGTGGCTTTCTTAATGCTTCTTCTCCTTCCCTGGCTGTTATTTTTGGTGCAGTGTGTATTTCTGCCCCTGACACAAGATTAGGCTTTTTTCTCTTTTAATTTTTCTTCTCTCAGCTACAAAGAATTTTTACCTACGCCTTAAAGGCAAGAGTGATTTTTGTTCCTGCCTAACCATCTCTTTTCCTTTCCCCACCCGTATAGTTTAAGACTTTTGTTCAATAGAGGAGACAGACAAAAAACTCTGGTGAAGTTTCCGGTTTCTCTCATATAGCTGCTATTTTTCCCCAGGTTTGCCTCACAATTAAGACTTTCTATTTCTGTGATCAGCTGGTGGGGTTTGCAGGGAAAGAGGGGCAGGAGGGTATGAACTCTTTAAATTTCTGTGTCTCTTAGTGGTTTCCTGCTGTCCTCCCAGTCTTGCTTTGGCCTTCATGAATTCACCAATTATTTGAGTCAGAATCTGATTGATGTTCAGTTACTTTTGATCTAGGTAAGAGAGTGCTCATATCTCCTATCTCCCAGCAGGCAACTGTTTTTCCTAAAATTTTGAGCCAGTTATTTGTTTGCAAACTCAGTTCTCTGATGGGTTCAAAAAGTGTTATGGATTTAAATCTAGTTTAGCTCATTTTCCTTGTAAGATTAATAGTGATATTCCTTGCAGCTAACATTGTCAGATAAAACACAGGATATACAGTTAAATTTGATTTTCAGATAAACAATGAATACTGTCTTAGTATAAGTATATTCTATACAAAATTTAAGTTTAAATGGGTGTTCTATATTTTTATTTCCTATATCTGGCAACCCTACTTTGAGCTCCCTATATCTTAGTGCTGAAGTTCCCATTATCATTATTTTCTTCTTTCTTCTTCTTCTTCTTCTTCTTCTTCTTCTTCTTCTTCTTCTTCTTCTTCTTCTTCTCCTCCTCTTCTCCTTCTTCTTCTTCTTCTTCTTCTTCTTCCTCTTCCTCTTCTTCTTCTCTTTCTTCTTCCTCTTCCTCTCCTTCTCCTCCTTCTCATCCTCATCCTCATCCTTACCTTCCTCCTTCTCCTCCTCCTCCCTCTTATTATTATTCTTTCTTTTTTTTGGGGAAGTACTATCACAAACAAGTTTCATGATTAAAGAATGTTTTAAAACAAAGGGTATTTTTAAAAAGGATTTGAAAGAAAAATATAATAGTAAACACAAAAGAATCAAGTAATGGTGATATTTGGTGTTTCAATGAAGAGTGTAATTTTTAACTTGAATGATTTTTATCTCTCTGCTGCTCTCTCATGCATACTATATAAGCTGGACTGCAATTTAGCTTTAGTGATCAGTTTCATTTTTTCATTTATTCATTAATGATATGATTTTTCCTACTTTGGGATCATGGAGTTCTGCGACAACTGTGGGTAGTGATGAATATTCTTCTGAGAAAAATTTGTATAACACTTACACTTATGATTTCAGAGGTTGACATATCTTGTAAAGACCTTCTATAAAACCTTAGATGAGGCAGAGAGGGAAGAATTATTGAATGTTGCCTCAGCCTATTAATGTCATGTCAAACATACAGAGTGGTGTCATATATTATGGAATGTGAGACAGCATGCTGATTAGATATGTCCCAGTCTGATAACATTTTGGTCAAGGAGATACTTATTTTAGAAATAGCTTAATTTAACCATTTTCTGCTTGAGATAATGATCCATTTGCATTTTTATTTATTTCTATGTTTCACATAGCTATCCATTGCACACAGCAGCAATTTTTTTGGACTTCCAAACTCTAGTAGTCATGCCGTGAAGCTAAACTTGGATGATCTATCAGAACAGACAGACCTGTATTATTTTCAATTGTGTTTCCTATCCTGGACATTTTTCAAAGTTATGAATTTCCATATTCACCACAGACATATTTCTCTACTTTCCATATATTATAATATTCCCAAATATAGTGGCTGAGTCATGGGGACAAAAGAATTTCATAGGAACATAAAGATGGTAACTTCTTTCCATAGTTCTTTAAGTTTCTTGTTCTAAACAGGAGTTGGAAAGATACAGCTGGCAGACTAGCATTGTCTATGGCTGTTTCATGCTTAAAGGACAGAAATGAGCCATTGTGACAGAGACTTTATGGTTCACAAGCCATATTTGGTATATGGTCCTTTAATAGAGAGTTTGCTGACTTCTCTTTTAGACAAAATACAAAGAAAGATAAGAAAAGAACAAATTAATACATGACCACAGGCTGTTGTGTGACTCATTTAGTTTCCACAGCAAGCTTGTTGCTATGTGAAATTTGCTTATTTATACTTAAATTCTTTAGAAGGCCCCAAGTTGCCCCGAGATGCTCAGAAGCAATTTGAATAGCCTCTTTAGGCTAGTTTGGAAAATTTCCTCAATTCTCCCTTCTATTTTCATCCCTCATTAGTTTTGGGATAAATATCAAGTACAGTTGAGAGCCAATCAGCTTGGGTTTTGGGATAAAAAATGAGCAGAGTTGAGAGAGAGAATTAGAAGTTTTATCTCAGCATGAGATCAGGAAGGAAAAGAGAGAACACTATGTAATCCAATAATAAATGCATTTTATTTGGTGGTCTCTTTTATCATTATTGAAAATTTTGCCAGTGATTTTAAAAGGAAAGAAATTTTCTTTCTAATTTAGAAAATCCTGAGAGGGCATTACATTTTTCTTTTTAAAAAATAGATCTATAGAATTTCTTGAAAGGTCAGTTGTAAAATGCTCTTTCTCACTGACACATACAGACACATACAGACACAGACACAAAGACACACACACACACACCCCTTTTGTAAAAATTTTTATCTGGATTCTGGGGCAAAGACTATGAGGCGAACATTTGGAATTTGGCCTTCTTTCTGCAGAGAGCTGTCAGGTATTACATAAGCTCTACAGAAACTGGTTTTGTTTGAGAAACTGAAATAGGCTACACATCTTGGAGTCTAGGTGCAGTTGACCAGATAGCTGATCCCAGCAGTAATCAGAGGTATTCTTTATACTTCTGTAAAAATAACAAAAAGATTAACTGGGAGTTAAACCTGCACCATGGAATTAACTTAAACAAATATATTTGCTAGGGGTTCTCAATTGTTATACTGTATATGATAAACTGATACCCTGCAAACATTTCAGGTTGGGCCACTGAATTTTGATCCAAGCATACAGTGTATTTGAGTTGTGATAGTGTGTATATGCTGTTGTGGCAGTGTCTGTCAGAGGAAATGTTGGGCTGAACAGGTTTTGTGCCGGTAGGGTGAGAAATGCTATGAATAAGAGATAAGAGGCATCATATTGTACTATAAAGCCAAGGAAAGTATATATATTTACTAGAATTTGCTAGAAATTTTGTTCTTCAATATATAAGAAACAAAGAACCATCAATACCTTAATCACTCCTTGACCTGTTAACATTGTGCTGAAAGGAGACAAAATGCCTTAGCTTGGGTTCCTACCCCTTAACCAAAAACAGTCTGAAACAAAGGGTTGAGTGGCAGTTTATTTTGCAAAATGACTTCTTTGAGAGGAGGTTAACAGGTAGGAGGGAAAGCCAATGAAGAATAGATAACTGAGTTAATCACTGCTGTCAGTAACTGGTGCTTGATGTGTGCAACCTATATTTCAGAGCTGTCCATCTGTGAGACCAAAGAGGAAACATGTTTCCACTGGCTCCTACCCTTCACTGGTCAAGGGTTGCCCCACTGGGTGGTAACCCTCTCATAGTTCCAGGTCTGCACATGTGTAATGCTGAGCAAGTTCCCACAGGAGCCCCAGACCAGCGGTGTCAGAAAGTTCAGAACACAAAGTGAGCAATTAACAGTATTTACACTTAAGGAGAGGTGCTGTCAGACTATACCTGCGAGAAGCTGGTTGCCATAGCAACAGCTGGACTACAAGGTGTACTGTGAGGATATTAGGTAGGAACCAGAAGCGTGCATTAGAGTTATTTATTGCTGGTAACAAATTACCCCAAAACGTAATGGCTTGAAACAATAGCATTTATTATCTCCATTTCTATAGGCCAGGAATTCAGGTGGGGCTTAGTTGAGTCCTCTGTTTCTCTCACAGGCTGCCTGAGAGTCCCAGGCATAGTTATAGTCATCTCAAGCCTCTACTTGGGAAATATCTGCTTCCAAGATTACTCACACGTTGTTGGTAGAATTCAGTTCCTTGTGAACTGGATTGGGTTGTTGCTAGTCCTTATGATACCATATGATATGGCAAGGTGAAACATTGGTAGAGGCATACGTATAAAAATAGTCTCTCACTCCCTCTCTGCTTTCTTAACCCCTTAATTTTGGTGGTCTAGTTGCTGCTAAAAATAGTCTCAAAGACATTTATAGTTTACGTTGTGATGCTTTAGGGGTTCCCTCTCTGTACAGGACACATTCTAGGCAGCAGAGCTATTTCCTGAAGATGCTACTCCCTCTTTCTGAAATACCTTTTCCTTCCTGTTTACTAAATAAACTCCGATTTATCCTTTAAAGTCCTTCCCAAAAGCACCACCTCCGTGAAGCACTTCTGACTCCCCAGGCTTCATCCTCGGACTTACTTGGAAATGTATCTTCTGCGGCTTTTATTCCATGTTTTTTAACTTCCATTTCTGTCCTACTGGATGGTGAACACAAGAGTCCTGTATTTATTCTGAATGTTTTCTCTGCAATTGTAGAGCACATGTTTTCAGATGTTTGTAAGTTCGTTTATGTTTCTATGTCTTTGCGTGCTACTATGTTTAGAGCTATTTAGCTCTAGTGATAGAATCAAAATTGACTCACAAATTACAAATTTAACAGAATAAATATTTCCTATCCTTTCAAATTGTCTTTGTTGCTGGATTTATTATCTAGAATTTGAAATACATTTCTGGAAGTAAATTTGCATAATCAGAGAGTAAAGGGGGAAAAAATGGCAAAATATAAAACCAAGTTGGTCTAGTGTATAATCCAAGGGTGGTTTTAACATCTTGCTATACTCTGAAAATTTATTTTCATTTAACAATTCTGAATATGTATATGTAAATATATATAGTTTAAATTATAGCTAATTTCCTTGTAAGAAGCTGAAGGCATAAAAGAGGGAGATGGATTCTGTTTCACTAAACCAAAGCTGACAGCTCTGGTCTGATCCCAAAAATCTTAAAGGCTACAAAGAGAGAGGAAACAGCCCAACTCGCAACTCAGACCATGAATGAGTTTGCCAAGCTACACGTTAACAGCAAGCTCCGCTAGGTTTATAAACTGCCCAAACTTGGAACATACTGGACTCAGTTTTATTTTTAGGCTGTTCACACTTCAATATCATGTTTTAGAATAATCCAAAATATCATGCTTAAGAAAAGCAATATGGCCTACGTAGTGGATCACTGGAAAATAAGATCTCCCAAATGACACCAGGGTGTCCACGTTTTAATTACATTCTACTCAGGGAATAACAAATGCTTCAAAGACAGCAAATAGAAACCCAGAAATAGTGTCCACCCTAAATGTTAAGTAGATATGCTACTAGGCTGAACTGATTTTTGCTTAAACTGTAAAATCAGAATTGCTAACTTTTAGGACTTCTCAAATGTGGGGACAGAAGGCAGTTTGCATTGTTTTACATTTCAAGATTTAACAAAACTTCCAATGTAAAGCAACATATCTAATTTAGCCAATGGCTGCCAGTGCTAGACCCTAGTTAACAAGGCCCTAATGCAGAGAAGTATCAATCAAGACAAAGCATGAATTAAAGGAAAATGAAGCAAATTCTCATTAACAGCTAAGTGCCAATAAAAATGAAAAATCAAAATGAAAATGAATCAGAAGGAAATTGTATGCCTAAAAAAATCACCAGGGAAAAACGGACTATCTGCAAAATCACATTGTCATTTCTTTAGATTCAGCTCTCCATTAGGAATGAAAAATAGTCCAATTATACTAAAAGTTGTTTTGGACAATCTTAGTACCTGTACTTGTTATTTTCTGCA
Organism: Homo sapiens; assembly: GCF_000001405.40. Classification (NCBI taxonomy): domain Eukaryota; kingdom Metazoa; phylum Chordata; class Mammalia; order Primates; family Hominidae; genus Homo; species Homo sapiens. The sequence continues at coordinate 82,597,409 of NC_000005.10, forward strand.
TACCAACCACCTTCCTAAATCAGATTCGTTCTCCACTGTTCCCTGCCCTACTTTGGGCTACAAGACACTGATCCCTAAGAACTCTATGACCTGGGCTCCTTGATGAATGGCCTTGGCCAATGATAAGCAGCAGCAGGATTAAAGAGGGTGCTGTGAGGCATTTTTTTCCTAAATGCTGCCTGCTTTGGAATGGGTTTTCTGGCATTGGGTGTACTCCTTCACCACTAGAGGTCCTTCCAGATGGACTACCCCTCCATGGCTCTTTCTGTCATTGGGCCTCAGCAATGTTAATGCCTCTCCTGCCCCTTCAAGCCTAGGCATAGTAGTGGTTTCCTACTGATAGTTCCTAGGGGATCCAAACATCTTTTTTCAATTTCCAGTTGCTAGTTTCTAGGGGAATCCAAACATCTTTTTGTGTTCCTGAGCCCTGCCTGCACCTCTGTAAATTATCCCTTTATTAAAATCTATTTTACCATGTGAGTTGGATTCTATTTTCCAAGGAAATTCATTGATCCAGTCCTTCTCTGAGCCCTGGGAGGTAGCTAAACTCACTCCGGAAGGATGAAGACACCTACTTTTGCATCCTTAACCTTTCTTTCTTGTCCAAGAAAATCTTAGTACCTGTGCTGTTTATTTTCTGTATACCCCTCTATAAACTGACTTCAGTAATATAAGAAAATGTGCTTGGACTCTAAATACTGCACTGTAGTTCTGTTCCTCAAACTTCATTTTACTCACACTCACTGAAACCGTGTCACCTCTATGTAGTTATATTGGTGCCCAGATCACCAAGCCACTAGTTTTGCCTCAAAGCTGATCTTATGCACAAGATGGTTGGGCAATGGTTGTCTAAAGGAGTTGGAAAGGACATTTTTGGATGTAGAGATAGGGCTTGTGTTGAGAGTGTCATTAGAAGGGAAGGTGACAGGCTGCCCAAGCTGAGAAAACTGCAATGAAATGTTTTTCTACCCCACACTGACATTTGAAAATTTGTTGAAGTGAGATTTCAGAGAGAATAGAATGTTATTGCTGGAGAGAGTAGAATTCATGTAGTCCAACGGCTTCACTTTATAGATAAGAAAACTGAGGGTCAGAAATATTAAGTGACTTTCCTAAAGTTAAGAAACTGCTTACTACAGAACCATGACTAAAACTCCAACTCCAAATCTGTACTGAGCTCTTTGTGTTCACTATACTGTTTAATATGATCTTATTGTGATCCTACACTCCTGGTTTATAAGAGTAAACAAAAAAATGTGCCAAGTTTATAGCAAAAATAATTTATATTAACTAAAGAAATAAAGAATTAGGAATTGATCTTATTTCATTTAAAGATTGAATGTCAGAACTACCATGGAATGAGATAAAATCTCGGTCTCATGGTCTTGCTATATTGTAAGATGGCTTCTGGGGGACTGAGTTTTCAGTGATGCAAATAAGAAAGGCAGGAAGAAAAGAAAAGATGGAGGGAAAAGCTAGTTTATTTAAAATTAAACTTTCTAAGAAATCAAAAAATGTGCATATCTAATAGTCTATATTATGTTGTCTGCCAAGTAGACATTGTCACTCATTCATGATGGGGCATGCTCGGTTTCTTTTTGAGTTCAGAAAGCTCCTGGTTCATTGAAAATAGCTTCAAATTCAAAATAATTTTCAGTCATCCTCTCACATTTAAAGAAGTGTATACACTCAGCCATAAGTCTTCTTTTCATTTATTTAAGGTATCTTGTCCAATTGTGAAATATTTATACCTACTTTCCATTATAACATACATTCCACCAAAGTCTAAGAAGTATTATGCAATGATAACATTCATAGGTTTGCAGTCAGACAGCCCAGACACAGGTTCTCCCTGTGACACTTCTACTAATTATGTAACTCTGGGAAAATACAAAGCCTCTCTGAGCCTCCGTTGCCTGTCCCAGTAGTCAAATAAAGATGAGTACCTACCTTTTAAAAATGTTGAAATAAGATTTTTTTAAACTGTACAGTTCTTAATATAATGTCTGGAGTATAGTATGTGTACAATATAGGATAGCTATTACTAGTAGGAATAATTATTTATAACCACAGTCTACCCTCTTCTTACTTCTTAATTTCTCAATTAATAAGACAAAAAAAGCAAAATCCTATCCTCGTTGCAGCAACTGTTTTTCATTACAGATATAGTATCTTGCTAATAGAATTAATTGCTAAGGATTTAACCTAAATTTTCTAGTTCTATACAAGTAATAATAGTAATTAAAGGGAGAGTTCCATGTTTAGATTTAACTTTTTTTATTGTACCAAAAAAATGAGTCAATTGAAAATATTATCCAGGAGAAAATTATCTTTGCCTCTTGTGTGGCTATGGAAGTTAGTATTTTTTTTTTTTACTTGAAACGAATTCTACAGTTTAACTGGTTTTCATCTTGTGGTGAAAGTTTCCAAAGGCCATCAGGAAAATTGTCTAATAAGTAAAATATTTGCCTAGAAAATTGAAACATGTGTCTGCATAATTCAGACCTATATTCTTTCTCTCTTCCCACTATGTCCAGATAATTGAATAAAAGTTTTGACATAACTTTTTTGTGGTCATTTGCCAACAGAATTATTTAGTTCTTGCTCATCAAATACACTAGATAAAAAACAATGGAAGACATCTTAATATAAGATGCAAAGATCTTGAACATTTCAAAGATAATTTCCCAATAGTTACTAGTTACCATGGAAGTTTAACAAATCATCTTTGAGGTGTCCCTTTTAAAAATATAAATAATACCCTCATTTGTAAGTCATAAAGATCAATGAAGACTATTTCATAAACATTATGAATAACCTAACATTCTAATTTCATTTTGGTTTATGTTGCTCACACCATGAACAATTTTAGTTCGACTCCTGGAATAGAAGTTACACATGCAACCTATGACCAGGTTAGTCTGTTCCAGTTAGTAAAATCACCAAATCAGCCCATCATTCGAAGCCCTTTCATGATTCTCCCACTATGTATGTTTCAATCCTAACTTTATCCTTATTCCTATTTCTAAATTTGTACATGTCATCATATAGCAAAGGTATGACCTCCATTATACCTTTAATATATTAGCCAGAAATACTCTTCTGCATTGAAGCTAAGCATTGGTTGGTGGTTGCGTTGAAGCATTATTGGTGGTTGCATTTATGTAAGAGCTCAACTTTTACTTCAAGCTTAGCCTATGGGATTTGTTATCTTTCAGAATCCATTCCATTATCAACAGCGTCAGCTGGGATTAGGTTCAGCTGGCAATAACAGAATATTCAAACATGAATGGCTTTATCACAAAAAAGTGTATTTTTCTCAAGTTATAAGATGTTCAGGTAGGAATTTGCTGGCTGTTTCAGCACCTCTAAGATGTCTTGGCCAAGATCTCTAAGATTCTCTTTGCTTTTTCCTCATGAATTCAAGATGGCTACTGGAGATCCTGCAATAATTTTCACTTCCCAGGCAGCAGGATGGAAAACTAATAAGGCGGCAAAAATGGTTGGAATATTTCATTTTCCAGCTTTATCTGCAAGGAAGGCAGTAAAATAAACTATGTGTAAGAGAAAAGAAGAGTAGGCAAGAATAGATATTAAGGTAGCAACGAGCATTTTGCCACTCCAATCAGTCTTAGTTGATGTTAATTCTTCTACCCACACCTTCCTAGAATATTAGAATTCTGCAAGTTTTCTTACTTAAAAGCAAGGCCTAAGCCTGTCATAAACAGTCCTTAAAGAGACTGGCCATAAACAGGATTTCTGCAGCAATGTGACATGCTCGTGATGGCTATCATGCACACTGCTAAAAGTTGTTGGTTTACTGGAGCAGGGCAAGGAACACCTGGCCCGACCTGGAGCGGAAAACTGCTCTAACCACAAATTATAGCAGGAGTGGCCTGTGCCTTAGCAATATGCTTTTGCTGCAAATAATCAGCCAGAGTCTGTTTCTCTGCTCCTCACTAGGAATGCTTTTAGTTAATCTATAATCTATAAGAACTATGCTTATCACTGGCTTTCTGTCAATAAATGTGTGGGTCAAACTCTGTTCATGGCTTTCAGCTCTGAAGTCTGTCAGCCCCCTGATTTCCACTTTATACTCTATTCCTGTGTCTTTGTCTTTAATTCCTCTGGTGCCACTGGGTTAGGGTCTCCACGACCGAGCTGGCCTTGGCAATTGCCATATTTTACATTATTCTTACATATTTGTTTTCTTCCTAAAATCTGCTGTCCATGTTTATAAACTTGTGTTAGCTTCAAAATCCTCCAAAACAAAACAAAAATAGAACTGACGTGGAAATGAGGACCAAACATGTTACTTAGTCACAAATGAACAATAAACTGGCAGGGTGACCAAATGAATCCAATATATTATCTAATATGTGTGTGAGAGGAAATGAATGACTATTATAGACACAAAACGAGTTGCCCTACTAGAGCCCCAAAACATGTATTAGGGTAATGGCAATTCCTTGCACCTCTCGTCACACCTGCTTCTCATTTGACCCTGCATTACATGTGTGTCTCAATCCATTTGTGCTGCTATAGCATAATATCCAAGACTGGGTAATTTCTAGACAACAGAATTTATTTGTCACAGTTCTGGAGGCTGAAAAGTTCAAGATCAAGGAGCTAGAAGGCTGGGGGTGAGAGCTGCTCTTGCCTTGATGTGGCATCTTGTTGCTGCATCCTTTGCAGGGGATGAATGCTGTGTCCTCAAATGGCAGAAGGGATGGAAAGGTAAAAATGGTCTTAAGCTAGTTCCCTCTAGTCCTTTTATAAGGCATTAATTCATTCATGAAGGAGGATTTAATCACTTTCCAAAAGTCCTTACCTCTTAATACCACCACAATGGGGATAAGTTTCAACATAAATTTTGGAGGGGCCAAATTCAAACCATAGCAATATGTTTGGAGTTAGCTTGGCTTTAGTATGTAAATCTGCCTGCAATTCCTGAGCTCTATAGAATGATTGAATCTCTCTAGGGTTGTTAAAGTTCAAGCCAGTGAGTATTCATCCATGAAAAAGCCAAAATGAATTCCATGTTGTTTATAAAACAACAAAAATACTTAAATCACTTCTAAGAATCAGAGAACAACATCACATACGTGAAAATTCACTAACATATGATTTACCTGGGAAATACAGGTAAAATGGACAATAGGTCGGTAGAATCAGGAACATTTAACTACTGAGATATTATATTTAACTAAGCTTGAAGTAAAAGTTTAGCCCTTACATAAATGCAACCAACAATTAGAAGTGACATTTGCCATACTGGCTTTATGTACAATGAAAGCCATGTGTAATGCTGAAGTTATGATAGAACAAACATTTATTTCCCTTATATACTAATTTTTAGATTTTAAAATCTGTAGCAGTTAGAGTTTTTGTTTTGCTTACAATGTACCGATACATGTAACAATAAGCTATAGCATTATGGGGGTCACAAGTCTATGCTTTATAGGATATTTTAGAGATTTAAAATTATGCTCCCATAGCTTCCCTCATGTTGGTCTACCTTTTGATGTCTCTATTACTTCTATGAAATAAGAAAGTGAAGTTTCACCTTCTTGGAGTTCTATTATTAAGCTCAAAGATACATATTCAACAGATTAATTTACTTCAATAAACATCCTTGTGCTTGGTGGAGAAGATAACGATTCCTACCCTCCGGAAACTCTCCATAACAAAGTAAATGGCATTGGTCATTTTTCCAGCAGACACATGACTGTATTTCCGAGCAGCCTAGTTTCTTTGGGTGAAAGATTTTGGAGAATGCAGTTATTTTTTAGCTAGAGATGTTAGCTATCACTAAAAATTAATGTGGCTTAAACAGTCTTTAGCATATAAAAAGATGTTCAACTTACTACCCTTTAGGGAAATGCAAATGAAAATCACAGTGAAAAACTTCTGGTTTCTGGTCTGACACGTATAAGGAACTTATAAGTCTTAATACCATCCTAATAAGTAGAACAACTTGTTAAAGTTGAACAACCCGAAAAGTTAAGAAGGCCTCTTGGATCTGTCAGTGAATTGAGGTCACAGGGCAAACCACTACCCCATAACTGGAGAGACACATAGGCAGATACAGAGAACGACAACTTACTAGAGCAGAAACCCTTGAGTAGAAACCTCTGCAGAAACCAGTGTCAGAATAGGAAAACCTGAACTGACAAGTTGCTGGAGGCTCAGTGTGGACAAGTCTGAGAGTTAAAAACTCCAGGGGGGATCAGTCAGAGAGGGTGGCTTCCACACTTTTGTGAGTTTTACCTCCAGAAGCTCTATTCAGTTCTCACGGTGAATATTGAGGAAAAAATTGCCTCATGCTTCTGGCAGGGGGAGGGGAAAAGGAACCATTTAAAAATATGCCAAATCATTCTGTTCTTTTCAACAAAGTTTGCCCACAGAAGAAACTTCAACCAGAGCTTAACCTGTTAGAACTTTATCAGAGACTAATCTACTTGGGGGAAGAAAAATAGCCAACTCTAGCCCCTCTAGACATCTTGTTAGAGAAACTAAGAAGAAACTAAGTTTTTCTTGTAAGAGAAAAACTAAGAAGCACTGGCGAGGTGCACAGGCTAGGGGCACAGGCTCACCGAAAGACTGAGACTTAATATTAGGACGATAGAATACTTCCCCCCAGCACCTTACCACCACATTACTAAAGGCCCAACTACCACAGTTCCTTTTACCCTATATATCAGGTTCATCTTCCAACACAAAGTTGCAAGGCACACTAAAAGACGAAAAACAGTTTGAAGAGACTAAACAAGAACCAGATTCAGATGTGGCAGGCATGTTGGAATTATTAGATGAAGAATTTAAGCAAACTATAATTATTATGCTAAGGGCTTTAATAGAAAAAGTAGACAACATGCAAAAAAAAATGGATAATGTAATCAGAGGTGGACATTCTAAAAAAGAATCAAAAAGAAATGTTAGAGATCAAAAACACTGTAACAAAATGAATAATGTCTTTGGGGCAACATTAATGGACTGGACATAGCTGAGGAAAGTATCTCTGAGCTTGAGGATATAACAATCAAAACTTCCAAAACTGAAAAACAAAGAAAAAATAAGATTAATCCCCTGCTCCGCCCCCCGAAATACGACGGAACAGAGTATCGAAGAATCGTGAGACTACAAAAGACATATCACACATGCAAGGGGAATACCAGAAAGACCAAAAAAAAAAAAAAAAATAGAGAAAGAAACAGATAAAATAATTGAAACAATAAAGACAGATAATTTCTTCCAAATTAATGTCAGACACCAAACCACAGATAGGAAACTCAGGGGACATTAAGTTAACATTAAGGATAAATAGAAAAAAATACACCTAGACATACCATATTAAACTTCAGAAAATCAAAGATTAATACAACATCTTAAAAGAAGCCAGAGGACAAAAACCATCTCACCTATAGAGGAGCAAAGATAAGAATTTTATCTGAAGCGAGTACAGTAAACTATTTAAAGTGTTGAGAGAAAAAAATACACCAACCTAAAATTACATACTCTGCGAAATTATCTTTCAATTGTGAAAGAGAGGAGGGGATTCAAGATGTCTGACTAAAGGCATCCGACACTCATCTCTTCCACAAAGGGAACAAAAATTGTAAAAAGATAATTACACTTTCAGTAAATAATCTGAAAGGACCCTACAATTCAATAGAGAAATGAAAGGAAACACCTAAGGCAAGGAAGGAGAGGGAAGTGAGTGAGGCAACCTGCTTGGCTAGGAGCCTGGAGAAGCTCCCCAGTGTGGAGAAAGGGAAAGAGAGACCCCCCACTTCCCCCGCCCCCTGGCAGTCCACATTCCCACTACAGACTTCTGCAATCCGAGCCTCAAGAGAGGCCCTTGACCCTTATGGGCCCTGACACTAACATAGGGAGCTGCCTGGAGACCGTGTGAAGGCATTGCTCCAGAGAGGGAGCTCATCATGGGTCCCACACAGACACTGAGATCTAAGCAGCTTCAGCAAAGCACCATTTTGAGAGTTCGGCTCCTACCAGATTATATCCTACCTTGAGGCAGAACAGCTCCTGAATAGCAACATCACTGGAACCACATTGATATCCCCCATCTGCAGCTGCCACCACTGCTGGCCACTGCCACTGGGACCAAAGCATAAGCCACTGGCAGTGACCCCAATACCTCCAGCACCAGGATGGTCATACATTTGCATATTCCCTGAGGACAGGCTCCCCTGCTCACAGCTGCTGCTGACTGCTGCCACCAGTGGTGGAGTGGAAGCCACTGACAGCAACCCCACTGCTCCCAGCCCTCCACAGCAGGACAGCCACAGAGCACTTGCCCTGAGTGTAGGCTCCCTGACTCCACGCCTACCACTGCTGCCCTCACTTGAGCACTCTGCCAAGGCCCTGGGGGTCACCCAGTCCCTGCTCACCACAGCCCAGTGCTTGTATGCACCACCAGGTGCTTGAGGACAGGCCTGCCCAGCTGAGCTTCACACTCCATAGCACCTAAGCATGCCATTTCGGAGGTCTTGGGATTAACCACACCAATCCACCACCATAGGCACTTGGACACTTCTCCTGGAGGCCTGAGGTTGGGCCCACCCAACTTGTCACTGCTACTTCACCTGGCATCTACATGCCACCTGTGGGCCTAAGGACTGGCCTGCCCAGCCCCTTCACCACTGCCACCACCAACAGCATGGACTGCTTGGGAGACAGAGGTTTATCACACCATGACTACTGCCATCACCTACACTCTGCCTGCTGCCCAGGGGCCTGTGACTCCATCTGCCTATTCAGCTCTTTGCTACCACTACTGGTACCTGAGCAAGTTGTCTGGAGTCCCAACAATCAACTTGCTTGGATATACTAACACCAGTGCCACTGTGTGCCTCCCTGGGCCCCAAGAACAGGCATACTTAACCTGCTGCTGCCACCACTGGGCACTGGCCCACCTGGGGTCTCCATCACTAGCAAAACATCATCACAGCCTTCACTAACAACTGCACTCTGAAGTCACTGACAAAATCGCAGATACTACCTACACCCTTTATAGCCAAAGAAATTATACAAAGACTACACTACTGCAGGCACCCAGAATCAAAGCCAAAGTGCCCTACATAACCAACATCATAGATACATCTTCATTAAGAAGTACATCCTTATGACTGCAAATCCAAAAAATTGGAAGAAGCAACAGTTATGCCAGGTGCACAGGTATCAGTGTAAGGACACCAGAAACATGAAAAACATGACACCTCCAAAGGAACACAAGAAATCTCCAACAACAGATTCCAATGAAAAATAAATTTATAAAATATTAAAAAAAGAATTCAAAATAATGATATACTACCTCATTGAGTTAAAAGAGAATACAGATAAACAATACAGTGAAATCAGAAAAACAATTCAGGATATGAATCAGAAATTTAACAAATGGACAAATATTGTTTTAAAAAAATCAAGCAGAAATCCCGGAACTGAGGAATTTCTTAAATGAAATAAATATATTCAAGAACTTCAGCAATAGACTAGAGCAAGCAGAAGAACTTCAGAACTTGCAGAAAGGTATTTTGAAATAACCCAGTCAGACAATAATAATAAAAAAGATTAAAAAGAATGAACAAAGCCTATGTAGCATATGGGATACCATAAAGCAACCAAACTTTTGAAGATTTCATGTTCCAAAAAGTAAAGAAAAGATCAAAGGAATAGAAAACCTATTTAATAAAATAATAGCTGAAAATTTCCCAAGTCTGTAAAGAGATTTGTACATTCAGATACAGGAAGTTCAGAGATCCCCAAATAGATACAACTTAAGAGGTCTTCTCCATGGCAAGTTATGGTCAAATTGTCAAGTCAAAGACAAAGACAGAATTATAAAATAGCAAGAGAAAAGTGTCTAGTCATTTATAAGGGAACCCCCTTTAGACTAATGGTGAATTTCTCAGCAGACACTGTACAGGCCAGGAGAGAATGGGATGATATATTCAAAGTGCTGAAACTAAAAAACAAACAAACAAACAAACAAAAAGCCATCAGTCAAGGATAGTATACCCAATAAAGTTATCCTTCATAAACTAAGGAAAAATGAAATCTTTCTCAGACAAGCAAAAGCTGAGGGACTCTATCTCCACTAGACCAGGACTACAAGAAATGCTTATGGAAGTGCTAGACCTGGAAGCAAAAGGAAAATATATACAATCATGAAAATACATGAAAAATCCACTGGTAGAACAAACTCACAAATGAGTAAGAGAAAGGATTCAAATGTTACCACTACAGGAAACCACCAAACCATAATGATAAACAAGAAAGAAAGGAACAAAAGACATACAAAACAATCAGAAGTCAATTAACAAAATGACACGAACAAGCCTTCACATATCAATGATAACCTTGAATATAAGTGGATTATTTTCCATTTAAAAGATATAGACTGCCTGAATTGATTTTTTTTTTAAAAAACCATGATCCAACTATATACTGCCAACAATAAACTAATCTCACTTGTAAAGGCACATATAGACAAAGTAAAAAGGTGGAAAAAGATATTCCATGCAAATGAAAAACCAGGAGTGAGCAGGAGTAGCTATATTTTATTACATAAAATAGATTTTAAGTGAAGAACAGTGAAAAGAGAAAAAGAAAGTCATTATATAATAAGGGGATTAGTTCAGCAAGAGGATATAATAATTCTAAACATATATGCACCCAACACTGGAGCACCAGTGTTGGAAATATAAAGGAAATATTAGATCTAAAGGGAGAGATAGACTCCAATGCAATAAATGTTGGAGACTGCAACACTCCATTCTCAGCATTAGACAGATCATCTAGACAGAAAATTAACAAAGAAATACTGAATTTAAACTAGACATTAAACCAGATGGACCTAACAGACATTTACAGAACATTTGATCCAATAGCTATAGAATACACATTCTTCTCATCAGCACATGGAATGTGCTCCAGGATAGGCCATATGTTAGGATACAACACAAGTGGCAACAAATTTTAAAAAAAATCAAAGTCATATCAAGTTTTTTATCAGACCGCAATGGAATAAAACCAGACATCAATAAAAAGAAGAGCTTTGGAAGCTGTACAAATACATGGAAATTAAATAACAGGTCCCTGAATGACCACTGGGTCAAGAAAGAAATTAAGAAGGATATTAAAACATTTCCTAAAACAAGTAAAATTGGAAACACAACATACCAAAACCTATGAGATACAGCAAAAGCAGTGCTAATGGAGAAATTTATAGCAATAAATGCCTGCATCAAAAAAGTAGAAAGATTTCAAACAAGCAATCTAACAATCATGTCAAGGAAGTAGAAAAGCAAAAACAAACCAAACCTGACATTAGTGGAAAGAAAGAAATAATAAAGATCAGAGCAGAACTAAATGAAATAGAGACTAAAAACAACAACATCAAAGGATTAAAAAAAAAGTCGATTTTTTGAAAATATAAAAATCAATAAACTTCTGGCTAGTCTAAACAACAATAAAGAGGGACAACCCAAATAAAATCAGAAACTGAAAAGGAAACATAACTGATACCACAGAAATAAAAAGATTTTCAGACTATTATGAAATACTTTTTGCTAACAAACTGGAAAACCTAGAGAAAAGGTATAAATTTTTGATCACGTCTAACTTACCATGATTGAAACAGGAAGAAGTAGCAAACCTGAACAATAGTGAGTAAAGAGATTGATTCCATAATAAAAAAATCTCCCAACAAAGAAATAAATGCTCAGGAACAGATAGATTGCTTCACTGCCAAATTCCACCAAACTTATAAGAAGCTCTAACACCAATTTTCCTCAAACTCTTCCAAAAAATTAAGAAGAGGGAATGTTTCTTAATTCATTCTACAAATCCAGCACTACTCTGACACCCAAACCGAAAAGAACACAACAACAACAAAAAGAAAATTGCAGGCCAATATCCCTGATGAACATAGATGTGAAAGTCCTCAATGAGATGCTAGCAAACCAAATCCAACAGCACATTAAAAAGATAAGACCTCATAATCAAGTAGGATTTATCCCAGGGATGCAAGGATGGTTTAACATATGCAAATCAATAAATATGATACATCACATTAACAGAATTATGGACAAAAGCCGTGCAGTCACCTTAATAGATGCAGAAAAAACATTTGATAAAATTCAACATCCCTTCATGATAAAAATTGTCAATGAATGAAACATAGAAGAAACATATCTCAATGTAATAAAGGTGATTTATGAAAAACCCACACCTAACATTATACTAAATGGGAAAAGCTGAAAGCCTTTGCTCCAAAAACTGGAACCAGATCAGGATGCCCACTTTCACCACTTCTGTTCAACATAGTACTGGAAGTCCTAGCCATAGCAATCAGGCAAGTGAAAGAAATAAGGCATCCATATTGAAAAAGAGGAGGTCAAACTATCTTTCTTTGCAGATAACATGATCTTACGTCTAGAAAATCTAAAGACTACATTAAAAAACTCAGAGCTGAGAAATTCAGTAGAGTTGCAGGATACCAAATCAACATACAAAAATCAGCGCATTTATTTACACCAAGAGTGAACACTCTAAAAAGAAATAAAAAAAGCAATCCCATTTACAATAGTTATAAAAATATAAAATATCTAGAAATCAATTTATCCAAAAAGGTAAAAAATGTATACAAGTAGAACTACAAAACAATCATGAAGGAAATTGATATGGATACACAAAAATGGAAAGACATGCCATGGTCATGGAGCAGAAGAATTAAAATTGTTAAAATGATTGATGACCATACTACCTAAAGCAATCTGATCTCCTTTGGTTTAATGAAAAGGAAGGGATCCAAAGGCTTAGGGAGATTGGGATGGTGGAGTGGATTAGTCACTTTAGACCTACTCATCCCAGCTGGGAGGGTCCAGAAGATATACCCCCCTTTTTAAAATTCCCTTTTCCTTTATCATGTGACATAAAATTTATTGACTTCATATCAGCATTTAAGTATTGTTAACTTTATGTAATAGCATTTGGGTTGGGGATTGGTGCATTTCTGGTTTTACGAAGGATAGTTGTATTATGTTAGGCATAATTATGACCTCATTATTGTCTTTATTTGAAGATTATGTATGGTCTCAGGAGATGTGTATGGGTTCAAGTTGACAAGGGGTGGACTTGTGATGGTTAATACTAAGTGTCAACTTGATTGGATTGAGGGATACAAAGTATTCATCCTGAGTGTATCTGTGTATGTGTTGTCAAAAGAGATTAACATTTGATTCAGTAGAATAGGGAAAGCAGATCCACCATTAATCTACGTAGAGAGCTAGCAAAGGGATAGTGACCAACTCAGCATTCCACTGGAGGCTATATGATCAAACAGCAAACTGTTTATCATGAATGCAGGATGTGGGCAAACTCACACTGCGCCTGCCACCAAAATGTTTGCTTAGGGCCATTACTCCCTGGCACCAGGCTCCTTGAAGTTATCTACTGGGAAATCTAGCGCCTGTTGGTTGAAGGATGTAGTCTTGCAAGCCTGCTGTGAGATATCATCTTACCCCAATCAGAATGGCTATTTTTAAAAAGACAGAAATTTATAGGTATTGGTGAGGGTGCAAAGAAAAGGAAACTCTTATACACTGTTGATGGGAATGTAAACTAGTACAGCCAATATGGAAAATATTATAAAGATTTCTTAAAAAACTAAAAATAGAATTACCATCTATTCCAGTAATTCCACTAGTGGGTAGTTATCCAAAGGAAAGGAAATCAGTGTATCAAAGGGATACTTGCACTTGCATATTTATTGCAGCACTATTCACAATAGCTAAAATATGGAATCAACCTATGTATTCATCGATGGATGAATAGGTAAGGAAAACGTGATATATATACATAATGGAATACTATGTGGCCATAAAAATGAATGAAATTATGTCATTTGCTGCAACATGAATAGAACTGGAGGTCAGTATCCTAAGTGAAATAATCCAGGCACAAATACACAACCATTGCTATTCTCACTTAATACTTGGCAGCCAAAATATTTGATCACACGGAGGTAGAGAGTGGAAAGATAGACAACTGAGACTGGGAAAGGTGAGTGGGGGTAAGGAGGGAGAATGAAGAGAACTGGGTTATGTGTACAAATACACAGTAAGATAGAAGCAATAAATTCAATGTTTGATAGCAAAGTAGGGTGACTATACTTAACAAAAATATATTGTACTGGGGTGATGGACACACTAAATACCCTGAATTGATTCTTACACATTATATGCATGTAACAAAATTTCTCACATACTTCATAAATTTGTAAAAAACAATGGCTACTATTAAAAAGACAAAAAATAACAGGTAATTGATAAGGATGCAGGGAAAAGAGAACTCTTATACACTCTTGGTGGAAATGTGAATTAGTATTGCCATTATAAAAAACGGTATGGGGCTGGGCGCAGTGGCTCACACCTGTAATCTCAGCACTTTGGGAGGCCAAGGCAGGCAGATCACAACGTCAGGAGTTCAAGGCCAGCCTGGCCATTATGGTGAAACACCGTCTCTACTAAAAATACAAAAAAATTTAGCTGGGTGTGGTGGCACATGCCTGTAATCCCAGCTACTTGGGAGGCTGAGGCAGAAGAATTGCTAGAACCCGGGAGGCAGAGGTTGCACTGAGCTAAGATCATGCCACTGCACTCCAGCCTGGGTGACAGAGCAAGACTCTGTCTCAAAAAAACAAAACAAAAAAACCAAAACAACAACAACAACAAAACAGTGTGGAGATTTCTCAAAAATCATAGAACTATCAGAAAATCCAGCAATCCCACTATTGGATATTTATCCAAACGAAAGGAAATCACTATATCGAGAGATAACTGCACCTCCATGTTTACTGCAGCACTATTCACAATAGTAAAAATATGGCATCAGTCTAAGTGTCTTTCAATGGATGAATGAATAAATAAAATGTGGTATATATACATGGTGGACTACTATATTGCCATAAAAGATAATGAAAATCATATAATTTTCTGCAACATGGATGGAACTGGAGGTTATAATGTTAAGTGAAATAAACCAGGCACAGAAGGACATATACCACACATTCTCCCTCATCTATGAAAACTTAAAAACTTGATTTCATGGAGATATAGAATGATGAATACCAGAGGCTGGTAAGTATGTATGTGTGTAGGGGGTGGGAGGGTGGTGGAGAGGTGTGCTAATGGGATTAACATACAGTTAGATAGAAGGAATGACCATAGACCACAACAATATGTTATATACTTCAAGATAGCTGGAAGAGAGGACTTGAAATTATCCTAACACAAAGAAATGGTAACTACTCAAGGTGACAGATACCTGCCCCAAATACCTTGAATTGATCACTACAGTCTATGCATGTAACAAAATATCACATGTACCCCGCGAATATGTACCAATGTGTGTCAATGAAAAGATTAAAAGAGAAATACTCCCCCAGGCAAACAAAAATAGAAGGAATTTGCTTCCAGTAGACCTGCTTTGCAAGAAATGTTGAAAGAAGTTCTTCAGAGAGAAAAAAATGCCGTAGATCAGAAATTCTTATCTACATAAAGAAAAAAAAGAATGAGTGAAGGTAAAACAAAAATATTTATTTTTTTATTTTGAATTGATCTAACAGATAACAGTTTATTCAAATAATAATAGCAACAAGGAGGCTGAGGCGGGTGGATCATGAGGTCAGGAGTTTGAGACCAGTCTGGCCAACATAGTGAAACCCTGTCTCTACTACAAATACAAAAAAATTAGCCAGGTGTGGTGGTGTGCACCTGTAATCCCAGCTACTCGGGAGGCTGAGGCAGGAGAATCACATGAACCTGGGAGGCAGAGGTTGGGGTGAGCCAAGGTTGTGCCATTGCACTTTAGCCAGGCCACAGTGCAAGACTCCATCTCAAAATAAATAAATAAATAAATAAATAAATAAATAAATAAATAATAGCAACAATGTATCAATTATGTATGCCTATGTATAAACAAACATTTATCTATGTATACTTATGTGTAAGTGAAATGAATGACAACAATGATACAAAAAATGGAAGGGAGAGATTAGGAATATTTTGTTACTATAAGGTACTTGTATTACCTGTGAAGTGGTACAGGGGTATTTAGTGGACTTGAATTATTTGTTAATGTATATGGCACACTCTAGGACAATCATTAAAATAAAGTTTAAAAAAGAAGTATAATTCATATGGTGAGAAAGAAAAGAAAATGGAATAATATGAAATGCTCAATTAAAACCACAAAATGCAGAAAATGTGGAAGACAAAATTGGGAGCAGAGAACAAGGGAAACAAAGAGAAAACCATAATAAATATAGTAAATATTAATCCATCTGTATTAATAATCACTTTAAACATCAATGGTCTAAATATATCAAGTAAAAGACAGAGATTGTCATAGTGAATCATAAAACAAGATCCAACTATACGTTGATATTTTGCAGTGGGCAGGCCTGTACAAAACTACCTCCAAAGTCTGAGGAAGCCAAGAGGCTGAAGAAAGAGGCTGACACATCCAGCTTCTCAGAAAGAAACATTTAATAGGGACTTATAAACAGAATCCATGTCTGTGTCTTGGGTGTCAGCTAAACAAGATTGTGGATCCCTGTATCATTACCCTCTAGACCTAGGGCTTATGTACCATAGGAAAGGAATGTGTTGAACAATGACTGGGAAAGTCAAGAATGCTCTATGAATCTGCTTAAAGGCAGATTGACTGGACTTATGGTTAAGGTTGTCTTGATCTAAGAGCAGGAATTATGATAAATTCATGCTCTTATACAAGAAACAGTAGATAAAATAGAAATCTCAGAGGCTTTTCCAGAACTGAAGTTAATCAGAAGTCAACATGGTAGATTAGCATCCATGATGGAGTTGCTTTAGCCTCCACTGTTATCTTCAAGAAATCCACTTTAAACATAAAGACATAGATAGATAAAAAGTAAAGGAATGTAGAAAGTTACACCAAGCCAACACTAATGAAAAGAAACCAAGAGTAGCTATATTAATTTCAGAGCAGACTGCCGAGCAAGGAAATCTGCAGAAATAAAGAGGAGCATTACCTAATGAAAAAGGAGTCAATATTCCAAGGAAGCATAACAATTTGTAATGCATTTGTGCCTAACAGCAAAGAATCAAAATATATGAGGCAAAAACTGATTGACCCTCAGAGAGAAATAGATTAATCTATTGCATTGGGCAAAAGTAGTTGTGGTGTTTGCCATTACTTTTAATGGCAAACACCACAATTACTTTTGTGCCACACTAATACTATTATAGTTGGAGACTTTAACATCCTTTTATTAGAAATGCATAGATTCAGCAGGCAGAAAAACAGTAAAGATATAGTTAGCCTCAACAACACCATCAGTCAACTGGATGTAATTAATATCTGTAGTCTACTATATCCAAAAACAACAGATTACACATTCTTCTCAAGCTCACAAGAAACATTCACCAAAAGACCACATTCTGGGCCATAAGACATACGTCGAAAAGAACAGAAGTCATAGAATATCTGTTCTCAGATCACAATGGAATTAAGCTAGATTTCAGTAACCGAAATATAGCTAGACAATTTCCAAATACATGGATATTAAACACCATTCTTCTGAGTAACACATAGGTCAGAAAGATGGATTAAAGACTTAAATGTAAAACCCTAAACTATAAAAACCCTGGAAGACAACCTAGGCAATACCATCCTGGACATAGGAATAGGCAAAAATTTCATGACAAAGATACCAAAAGCAATCACAACAAAAGCAAAAGTTGACAAATGTGATCTAATTAAACTTAAGAGCTTCTGCACAGCAAGAGAAAGTATCAATAGAGTAAACAGATAACCTACAGAATGGGAGAAAATATTTGTGAACTATGCAACTGACAAAGGTCTAATATCCAGCATCTATAAGGAACTTAAACAAATTTACAAGAGAAAAACAACCCCATGAAAAAGTGGGCAAACAACATAAACAGACACTTTTCAAAAGAAGGCATACATGTGGCCAACAATCAGATTAAAATAAAAGCAGCCAGGTGCGGTGGCTCACGCCTGTAATCCCAGCACTTTGGGAGGCCGAGGCAGGCGGATCACAAGGTCAGGAGATCAAGACCATCCTGGCTAACACCGTGAAACCCTGTCTCTACTAAAAATACAAAAAACTAACCTGGTGAGGTGGCGGGCGCCTGTAGTCCCAGCTACTTGGGAGGCTGAGGCAGGAGAATGGCGTGAACCCGGGAGGCGGAGCTTGCAGCAAGCTGAGATCGCACCACTGCACTCCAACCTGGGAGACTGAGCGAGACTCCGTCTCAAAAAAAAAAAAAAAAAAAAAAAAAAAGCTTGACATGACTGATTATTAGAGAAAAGCAAATCAAAACCACAATGTGATACCATCTCACACCAATCAGAATGGCTATTAATAAAAAGTCAAAAGATAACAGATGCTGGCAAGGTGGCAGAGAAAAAATGACGCTTATGCGATATTGATGGGAGTGCAAATCAGTTCAACCACTGTGGAAAACAGTGTGGCAATTTCTCAAAGACCAAAAACGGAAACACCATTCGACCCAGCAACCCCATCATTACTGAGTATACACCTAAAGGAATATAAATCATTCTATCATAAAGATATATGCATATATATATTCATTGCAGTACTATTCACAATAGCAAAGACATGGAATCAACCTAAATGCCCATCAATGGTAGACTGGATAAATAAAATGTGGTACATATACACCATAGAATACTATGCAGCCATAAAAAAAGAAAAAGATCATGTCTTTTGCAGGAACATGGATGGAGCTGGAGGCCATCATCCTTTGCAAACTAACACAGGAACAGAAAACCAAATACCACACGTTCTCACTTAAAAGTGGGAGCTAAATGATGGGAACACATGGACGCATAAAGTGGAACAACACACATTGGGGCCTATCAGAGGGTGGAGGGTGGGAGGAGGGAGAAGATTAGGAAAAATGACTAATGGGTACTAGGCTTAATTCCTGGGTGATGAAATAATCTATACAACAAATTCTCATGATGCAAGTTTACCTATATAACAAACCATGTGTACCCCTGAACTTAAATGTTAAATAAGAAGTAAAATAAATAATATTAAATAATATAAATGAATAAATAGATAAATAAATAGATAAATGCAGAAAGCACCAGGCCTCAATGGGATTGCTGGTAAATTCTACTAAACAGTTAAGGAAGAAATTGTACCAGTTCTCTACAATTTCTTCTAGGAGATATAGGCAAAGGAAATACATCTTAACTCATTCTATAAGGACAGCATTACCCTTATACCAAAGCCGGACAAAAAGTTACAAGAAAAGCAAACTACAGACCAACATCTCTCAGGAACATGGATGCAAAAATTCTGAACAACATAGCAAATCACATCTAAAATTCAAAAAGAATCATAGAACACAATGAAGTGCTATCTTAGTCCATTTGTGCTGCTCTAACAAAATACCTGATGTTAGTCAATTCACAGTAACCAAAACGGCATGGTACTGGTACCAAAACAGAGATATAGACCAATGGAACAGAACAGAGGCCTCAGAAATAACACCACACATCTCCAACCATCTGATCTTTGACAAACCTGACAAAACAAGAAATGGGGAAAGGATTCCCTATTTAATAAATCGTGCTGGGAAAACTGGCTAGTCATATGTAGAAAGCTGAAACTGGATCCCTTCCTTACACCTTATACAAAAATTAATTCAAGATGGATTAAAGACTTAAATTTTAGACCTAAAACCATAAAAACCCTAGAAGAAAACCTAGGCAATACCATTCAGGACATAGGCATGGGCAAGGACTTTATGACTAAAACACCAAAAGCAATGACAACAAACGTCAAAATAGACAAATGGGATCTAATTAAACTAAAGAGCTTCTACACAGCAAAAGAAACTACCATCAGAGTGAACAGGCAACCTACAGAATGGGAGGAAATTTTTGCAACCTACCCATCTGACAAAGGGCTAATATCCAGAATCTACAAAGAACTCAAACAAATTTACAAGAAAAAATCAAACAACCCCATCAAAAAGTGGGCAAAGGATATGAACAGACACTTTTCAAAAGAAGACATTTATGCAGCCAAAAGACACATGAAAAAATGCTCATCAACACTGGTCATCAGAGAAATGCAAATCAAAACCACAGTGAGATACCATCTCACACCAGTTAGAATGGTGATCATTAAAAAGTCAGGAAACAACGTGCTGGAGAGGGTGTGGGGAAATAGGAATGCTTTTACACTGTTGGTGGGAATGTAAACTAGTTCAACTATTGTGGAAGACAGTGTGGTGATTCCTCAAGGATCTAGAACTAGAAATACCATTTGACCCAGCGATCCCATTACTGAGTATACACCCAAAGGATTATAAATCATGCTACTATCCAGACACATGCACACGTATGTTTATTGCAGCACTATTCACAATAGCAAAGACTTGGAACCAACGCAAATGTCCATCAATGACAGACTGGATTAAGAGAATGTGGCACATATACACCATGGAATACCATGCAGCCATAAAAAAGGATGAGTTCATGTCCTTTGCAGTGACATGGATGAAGCTAGAAACCATCATTCTGAGCAAACTATCGCAAGGACAGAAAACCAAACACCACATGTTCTCACTCATAGGTGGGAATTGAACAATGAGAACAGTTGGACACAGGGTGGGGAACATCACACACCGGGGCGTGTTGTGGGGTGAGGGGATGGAGGAGGGATAGCATGGAGATATATCTAATCTAAATGACAAGTAAAGGGTGCAGCAAACCAACACGGCATATGTATACATATGTAACAAACATGCATGTTGTGCACATATAGCCTGGAACTTAAAGTATAATAATAATTAAAAAAGAACAGAAATTTACTTTCTCACAGTGCTGGAGACTGGGAAGTTCAAGATCAAGGTGCTGACACTTTCAGTTGTCTGGTGAGGTCTGCTCTTCATCTCCAAGATTGTGGCCTATTGCTGCATCCTCTAGAGGAGAGGAACACTGTGTCCTCACATGGCAGAAGGTTGAAGGGCAAGTGAGAGATGAATGCTCTGTGAAGCCTCTTTGATAAGATCCATAATCCCATTCATGACTGAAGACCTGTGATGGGCATGGCATCCTCCAAAGTCTCTGAAATGCCTTCAGGGTCATTCTCCCATTGTCTTGATGAACAGCACATGGCTTCCTCCTATCTGTACCAATCTCCTTATCAAATGATCACTTGGCCATATCCTTTTTTATTCTTTACATGGCCAGGCTGAGTGTTTTCCAGATCTTCACATTCGGTGCTTTCAATTTGAAATTCTGTCTTTAAATAATTTCTCCCTTCTCATATTTTACTCTAAGCAGGTAGGAGAAGCCACACAGAATCCTGCACATTTTGCTGCTTAGATATTTCTTCCACCAGTATCCCAGTTACTGCTCTTAAGTTTGTTTTCACAAAGTCCTAGGACATGGACATAATTCAGCCAAGTTACTCACCACTTTATAACAAGGATGGTCTTTCCTCCAGTTTCTAATATCTTGTTTCTCATTTTCATCTGAGGCCTCCTAAGAATAGTCTCTGCTACCTATATTTCTAACCTGTATTTCTATTTTGGTTACAACCACATAGGTATTCCCTAAGAAGTCTGAGGCTTTTTTCTACAGCTCTTCTCTTTTTCAGAACCTTCACCAGAATCACTCTTAATTCTACGTTTATGGCAACACAGGTTTTTTTTTTTTTTTCAGTGTTCACTTCAAAACTGTTCCAGCCTCTACCCCTTAGACAGTTCCAAAGCTGCTTGCACATTTTCAGGTACTTGTCATAGCAACACCCCACTCTCAGTACTATTTCTATCTTAGTCCATTTGTGCTGTTCTAACAAAATACTTGGATTGGACAATTTAAAAAACAAAAAATTATTTTCTGATAGTTCTGGAGACTAGAAAGTCCAAGATCAAGGCACAGTAGTTTCGTCGTCTGGTGGGGGCTTCTGTCTGTCTCCAAGGTGGCACCTTTCTGCCATGAAACACTGTGTTTTTATATGGCAGATGGTGGAAGGGCAAGTGAGAGGTGAATGCTGCATGAAGTTTATTTTACAAGGTTGTGAATGCCATTCACAAGGGAGAAGTCTTCATAGCTTAATCACCTCTTAAAGCTATCACATGGGCAACAACTGAATTTTGGAGGGTATTCGTTCAAACCATAGCATGTGGGTTTTATCCAAGGTATGCAAGGCTTGTTCAACATTAGAAAATCAATTAACATAATTCATCACATCAGCAGGCTAAATAGGACAAATGATGTAATCATATCAATAAATGCAAAAGAAGCATTTGACAAAATCCAACACCCATTCATGATAAAAACTCTCAGAGAACTAGGAATAGAGGGTAATTTCCTCAACTTGAAAAAGAACATCTACAAAAAAGAACATCTACACAGTTACCATCATACTTAATGGTAAGGAACTTGAAGCTTTTTCACTAATATGAGAAAGAAGGAAAGGATGTCCCGTATCACCACTTCTTTCCCACATAATACTGGAAGTCCTAGCTAATAATACCAGAAAAAAGGTATACAGATTGGGATGAAATAAATAAAACTGCATTATTCACAGATGATGATTGTCTATGTAAAAAATCTGAAAGAATAGACAAAACAAACTTCTGGAACTGATAAGCATTTATAACAAGACTGTAGTATAAAAGAGAATGTGTAAAAGTCAATTGCTTTCCTATATGCCATAAATGAACAAGTGGAATTTAAAATGAAAAAACACATTACCATTTGTATTAGCACTCCCAAAATCAAATACTTATGTGTAAATCTAACAAAATCTGTACAAGATCTGTATGAGGAGAACTACAAAACTCTAATGAAAGATATTGAAGAAGAACTAAATAAATAGAGAGATAGAGATACTCCATGTTCATGGATTGGAAAACTTATCGTCAATATGCCAGTTCTTCTCAATTTGACCCACAGATTCAATACAATCTCGATCAACATTCCAGAAAATTATTTTGTGGGTATTGAGCAACTAATTCTAAAGTTTATATGGACAGGCAACAGATTCACAATAGTTAACTCAAGATGGAAGAAGAACAAAATTAGCGGACTGACACTGACTGACTTCAAGACTTACTATAAAGCTATGATAATCAAGATGGTATGGTATCCACCAAAGAATAGACAAAGAAACTAATGGAACAGAATAAAGGGCCCAGAAACAGTCCCTTTTAAACACAGTTAACTAATCTTTGACAAAGGAGCAAAGGCAAAACAATGGAACGAAGACAATTTTTTTCAACAAATGGGCGCTGGAACAACTGGACATCTACATACAAAAAAAATCTATACACAGCTGATGCCTTTCACAAAAAGTAACTCGAAATGTTTCATAGACCTAAATGTAAAATGCAAGATGAAAATTCCTAGAGGACAGCATAGGAAAAAACCTAGATGACCTTGAGTATGGCAATGACATTTTATATACAACATCAAAGGCATGATTGATGAAAGAAATAATTAATAAGGTAGACTTCATTAAAATTAAAAGTTTATCTGTGAAAGACGATGTCAAGTGGCTGAGAAGACAAGCCACAGACTGGGAGAAAAATATTTATAAAAGACACATCTTACAAAGGACTGTTATCCAAATACACAAAGAACTCATAAAACTCAACGAGCAGGGTTGCAGTGGTTTGTGGTTTGTGCTTGAATCTCAGCTACTCAAGATGCTGACACAGGAAGATCTCTTGAGGCCAGGAGCTCAAGATCAGCACGAACAACACACTTTTTTAGAGTCAAAAAGTGTTGCTTTTTGTCTCTAAAAAGGTCAGAGAACAGTATAAATCCACATTGATATAACATCACAAATCTAAGGCATCACCCTGGGTGGTCATGGGTCATGGTTAACCTTGCTGGGGGTGCCCCCCCATTTCACAAGTCAGTAGAGGCAAAGATAAACAAAGTTTCTAATAGCACAATTTTGGCTTGAGTTTCTCTATGTAGCCACACCTCACTGATTCTCCAAATCCAATTTTATTGAGAAATCTTGCTATGAATGCTTCCTTTCTAACTGACACCAGTACTATATTTCATTCTATGTTGTCTGTGCAATTTCTGATTCTGAATTTGCTGAGTCTGAGCACAGTTTCCCTATAACCTTCTTTATTCCCTTTCCAAAAAGATTGAGAAAAGTGGGTGACTCGATGTGTTGGTGACACCATTGAACACATTAAAACTCTCTCACTAAGTAGACCTAAGAACAGCCCTGGAATTTTTTTTTCCAGTGCTGGGTCACTAGTTGCTGTTGAAGACGTTCTCAAAAGCAGTTATGACAACCTGGAGAAGTGCAAGCTGCGGGAAATGATGTGTTTCCACAGTGGCATATGAAAGGGAAGTCTTTCATTCAAGAGCACAGAAAATGGCACATAGGTATGAATAGGGCGCCCTGCTAAGAATGCCATTAAATAAGCTTGCTATAGACTTTCAGAAATAGAACATTATTGCTTGGCACAGCCACCATTATACATTGGAGAGAAAAAGAATACATTTTTCACTATATGGCTTCTGTGTCCCTTCTATTAAGAGGATTAGAAGACTTTCCGCCGCTTGTGTTAAGCACTTCACCAACTTCCCATTAACAGAGAAAACACACAGTTTATATTGCCTTTCAGGACCCTAAGCATTTCTTCACACTTCTACAATTCAAAATTTCATGAAGACCATAATTTTTAAAAATATTTTCTGCGAATGGGTAGAAATTATTGACAGTGAGTCTCACTCAGCATCTCGGGGCAAACTGCTCTGTGTTCTGTTTTGCCCTAGTTTGTGGAATAAGCCCTCATAAAATTCACATGCCTAGGACCTGTGGTTGCCTGTGGAATTATTTCATCCAACAATGAAATATTTGGATGGCTGATGTGGGCTACCAGCTGGCTAAACATTGGTGAGACTGGGTGTATTGAAATGCTCTCAGTAGTAGAAGTTGGCAGACAGTTCATGGAGATACCAACCGCTATGGCAGGACTGTGTCCAGCCAATAACGGGGAATATTATAAGAGTGAAGGCAAAACCTCAAGCCTACAATATTTATAAAGTGTTTTGCAATTGCAAATAGATTTTCTAGAGTCATTTTTCTCACACTTAAAAGTTTGCTTGTATATCTAACATCATCCATATCCTGATATAAAAGTAAATATTCCTTTAAGGAAACAATGGTGGCTTGTTCAGGGCCCCAGACCAAATTTCTGGAGAGACCATCTCACTGTTATTGTTTAAGTCATGTTGACCTGCGGCTCAGAAAATGCATTCTCAGCAGCTGTCTTTATTCTTCTTACATGTTAGCTGTCTCCCATGACAAGCCTTTAGGGTTACCAAAAAAAAGATGTATGTTGAAAACTCTTATTGTTTGTTTTTCCTGCAGTTCCCTATAAAATGTCAGTATTTTTGAAGAGGTTCTCCTTAAATTGAACCCCTGAGGCTGGAGATTTACCAGGTTGATTTAGGAGTTTGAAATCCTGGAGTGTTTCCATAAAATGAGGATTTACAGTTCATAAATATAATGACAAAAGTGTGAAGATACATTTTTGTCCTTGAAAAACTACTGGAACAAAAGTACTTTTCATAAAAGGCCCACAAGCTGCTATTTCCTTCAGACAGAGGCCTATCCTGGCTAGGAAGAGTGAAGTGGCGTTTTATTGCCACTTGTTTAAGATGGTCTCCCTCTCTGCTTCTTGGGGAGCCACTTTCTCCTGACAGGTACACAGGTGGACATCGGAATTGAGCACTGCGACATTTAAGCAGCGACAAGTATAAAGAAATAACAGGAAAACATGTTAATAGGTAGAGCACATTTCTTTTATTTGCCCTGTTCCTGCCTGGGTTCAGCTTCTGGATCACTATAGTCTGGTTGTGATCTTTGCTCTCAGATCGTTAGCTGAGTTCCTTCTTGCATATGGCACCAAACAACCTGGTTAATAATTGACATTAAATTATCTGCTGTGACAAACTGTTTAGGGAAAATATATGCCATGCTTTGGCTTTATAAAATGTTAAGGGGGGAACACTAAGGAAACTGTGTCACTAATGGACCTTGTTTTTTTGTTTTTTTTTTTTTTTGAGATGGAATCTCTCTCTGTTGCCCAGGCTGGAGTGCAGTGACACAATCTCAGCTCACTGCAACCTCCACCTCCCAGGTTCAAGTGATTTTCCTGCCTCAGCCTCCTGAGTAGGTGGGATTACAGGCGCACACCACCATGCCCGGCTAATTTTTGTATTTTTAGTAGAGATGAGGTGTCACCATGTTGGTCAGGCTGGTCTCGAACTCCTGACTTCATGATCCGCCCGCCTCAGCCTCCCAAAGTGCTGGGGTTAGAGGTGTGAGCCACCATGCCTGGCAAATGGACCTTCTTGATAGATGATAGAAATGGTGTGAGGCTAGCAGTTATGTAGCTCTGCAGAAAATGGCCTAGGTTGAATAGCAGCAGTGGATTCATGAGTTTGGGGAAAACCTCTGGATTTTCTTTCAATTTAGTTGTGAATTGAATTGACATAATTTTCAAACTTAGGATGAATGTTGGAGCTTACCCTGAGGTTAAAGAAGGGACAGCCTTCCAGATTTGCTTACTTTATCCCAATTCTTGGAAAGGCAGAATCATGTCTCCATTCTACTCTGACTAATTCACTTCTATAAATGTCTAGTAACCTAGAAGGAGGGAGGAAGTGTTGTGCCCACCGCACACCTACTTCCCTTAATGCTGATGTTTGGTTATAATTAGAAATAACTTTATATTGTGGAAAGAGCACTATGCCATGAGTCAGACAAACTAAGTTCTAGTCATGGATTCACAACTGATAATAGTTTCCTGAGCAAAGCAAGATACATTGAGATTGAAAGGGAGTATTATTAACACTTATACTGGTCCACAGGCATTAACCAGGACTGTTGTGAGGAAACTGGGATGTATGGCCATTCTTCTACTTCCTGTGTGTTTGGGCAAGATAATATTCTAAGGGAATATTGAAGGAACCGAAGTAGAATGGGCTCCTTTTGGTAGTCTTTTCCTGTAAACCAGCATAATTTTTAAGAAGTAAGACCTAATGTAAGGAGAGGGCTGTGTTTGAAGAGACATTAGGGAATACTGTAGATCCCGATGGTGCAGTTAAGCAAGCCTATAGCTGTGTATATTTGGCATCTGACCAGAAATATACAGTTCTGACATTTTGGGGAATTAACTTTGCTGTTAAGTCATTGCAGCCCTGGAGACTAAAACTCAAGGACTCTTGGTCCTCCTCATGTCATAATTTGACGTTCCTTGGCCTAAATCTGGCGATCAGCCTCGGGCCCTCTGCCTCATTGTTTTTTGCAGAATTAGAAGGAATCAAGATACTTTCTGTAGAGCTCCTGCTACCACACTGACAACTGTGTTCATGGCCCATGTAGCCCAAACCTCTTCAGCCATCTGCTCAGCCTACTGGCCACAGTTCTGAATTAAGCAACTGGAGGCCAGTCATTAACAAACACCTTCTGTTGGCTTATACACCATGACCAAGAAACTTCAATTGGCAGTTTGAGGTCATACAAGACACTTAACTTGAATATGTTTTATGCAGGAAAATCAACTCATAGGTACTGCCATGTAAGCATTATACATATTGATTAAATAATATTAATGCAAGGTCCATGGGCAGGTTATATACAAAATGACTCTGTTGCCACATAAGGAGGTTGTGGCTGTATGAGCATCCCTTTAAATCATGCAACAATATTTTGGAATATCTTTCAAGTAGGTAACAGGGCTAATTAGGTCATCAACAAAGATTTGTGTTCCCCTTCCATAGAGTAAAGCTGGGTGCTAGGAGGCTGCTGTCCACCTAGGATCTAGATTTCCCTGAATATCAGGCATAGGTGGAGCCTAGTGTCTAGTTTCTTCACAGTGAAACATGAAGAGATATCTTTCTGTAGTCTTGTCTCCATATACCAGTGGAATGTGACTGTCTCCAAGACCCTGGAAGAAGAACCCTGGGTCCCTACATAATCATGTGAAAGGCTACTAGCCAAGGAAATTAATGTGTGAGAAATATAACTCTATTGTGTTAAGATTTGAGGGGTGATATGGTTTGGCTGTGTCCCCACCCAAATCTCATCTTGAATTGTAACTCCAACAATTCCCACATGTCATGGGAGGGACCCAGTGGGAGGTAATTTAATCATGGGGGCATGTCTTTATTATGCTACTTGTGATAGTGGGTAAGTCTCATAAGATCCGATGGTTTTATAAATAGGAGTTCCCCTGCACAAGCCCTCTCTCTTTGCCTGACACCATCCATATAAGGGACTTGCTCCTCCTTGCCTTCTGCCATGATTGTGAGGCCTCCCCAGCCACATGGAACTGTAAGTCCATTAAACGTCTTTATCTTCCCAGTCTCGGGTATGTCTTTATCAGCAACATGAAAATGGACTATACAGTAAATTGGTACCAGTAGAGTGGGGTGCTGCTAAAAAGATACCCAAAAATGTGGAAGCGACTTTGGAACTGGGTAACAGACAGAGGTTGGAACAATTTGTAGGGCTCAGAAGATGACAGGAAAATGTGGGAAAATTTGGAACTCTCTAGAGACTTATTGAATGGCTTTGACCAAAATGCTGATAAAGATATGGACAATGAAATCCAGGCTCAGATGGTCTCAGATGGATATGAGGAACTTGTTGGGAACTGGAGCAAAGGTGACTCTTGTTATGTCTTATCAAAGAGACTGGCAGCATTTTGCCCCTGCCCTAGAGATTTGTGGAACTTTGAACTTGAGAGAGATGATTTAGGTTATCTGGCAGAAAAAAAATTCTAAGCAGCAAAGCATTCAAGACATGACTTCGGTGCTGTTAAAGGCATTCAGTTTCATAAGGGAAGGACAGCATAAAAGTTTGGAAAATTTGCAGGCTGACAATGTGATAAAAAAGAAAATCCCATCTTCTTAGGAGAAATTCAAAGTGGCTGCAGATATTTGCAGAAGTAATGAGGAGCCCAGTGTTAATCCCCAAGACAATGGGGAAAATGTCTCCAGGGCATGTCAGAGGGTTCTTCATGCAGCCCTTCCCATCACAGCCCTGGAGGCCTAAGAGCATAAAATGGTTTTGTGGTCTGGGCCTAGAATCCCTGTGCTGTGTGCAGCCTAGGGACTTGGTTCTCTGTGTCCCAGCTGCTCCAGCCATGGCCAAAATGGGTCAATGTAGAGCTCAGGCTGTAGCTTCAGAGGGTGTAAGCCCCAAGCCTTGGTAGCTTCCACATGGTGTTGAGCCTGCGAGTGCACAGAAGTCAAGAATTGGGGTTTGGGAACCTCCATCAAGATTTCAGAGGATGTATTGAAATGCCTGGATGCCCAAGCAGAAGTTTGCTGCAGGGGTGGGGCCATCATGGAGAACCTTGGCTAGGGCAGTGCAGAAGGGAAATGTGGGGCTGGAGCCCACACACAGAGTCACAACTGGAGCACTGCCTAGTGGAGCTGTGAGGAGAGGGCTACCATCCTTCAGACCCCACAATGGTAGTTCCACCAACAGGTTGCACTGTGCACCTGGAAAAGCCACAGACACTCAACCCCAGCCTGTGAAAGCAGCCAGGAATGAGGTTGTACCCTGCAAAGCCACAGGAGTGGAGCTGCCCAAGACCATGCGAAACCACCTCTTGCAATATGTGACTCAGATGTGAAACGTGGAGTCAAAGGAAATCATTTTGGAACTTTAAGATTTGACTGCCCCATTGGGTTTCAGATGTGCATGCGGCCTGTAGCCTCTTTGTTTTGGCCAATTTCTCCCATTTGGAATGGCTGTATTTACCTAATGCTTGTACCCCCATTGTATCTAGGAGGTAACTAACTTGCTTTTGATTTTACAGGCTTATAGGCAGAAGGGACTTGCCTTTTTTCAGATAAGACTTTGGACTGTGGACTTTTGAGTTAATGCTGAAATTAGTTAAGATTTTGGGGAACTGTTAGGAAGGCATGATTGGTTTTGAAATGTGAGGACATGAGATTTCGGAGGGGCCAGGGGCAGAATGATATGGTTTGGCTGCATCCCCACCCAAATCTCATCTTGAATTGTAGCTCCCATAATTTCCAAGTGTTATGGGAGGGACCCAATGGGAGATAATTGAATCATGGGGGCACTTTCTCCTATACTATTCTCATAGTAGTGAATAAGTCTTATGAGATCTGATGGTGTTATAAGGGGAAACTCTTTTCACTTGATTCTCATTCACTCTCTTGCCACCGCCACGTAAGAAGTGCCTTTTGCCTTCCACAATGATTGTGAGGCCTTCCTAGCCACATTGAACTGTAAGTCCATTGAACCTCTTTCTTTTGTAAATTGCCCAGTCTCAGATATGTCTTTATCAGCAGCATGAAAAGGGACTAATACAAGGAGTTATCTGTTAGAGAAGCTAATGTGTTATTAATTAATACAGCTAAGCATGGTTGATTTATTTATAATTTACTTTGTTTCACAAAATATTTGAGATAACCTACAAGATTACATACATTTAAATGAAAATAAATATAAGAAAATAAAAATTAGAATATAAGGCTAAGATCAATGGACATTTGGAGCAGAAATTTTCAGGATATGCAGAAATATAAAGTTGAGCCACAAATTTGGTTCCTGACTTCCTGGAAACCAAAGCGATAATAAGAAATTCTGTTTCATGTATATAATTCATATTGCCCATAAGGAGAAAGCATACTAATTTCTGAAGCACAGAAAAAAATTTCTGGCACTTCAGTTTGAAAGAAATTTATCTTACAGGGTGTCATATAAGAAATACTGAGGAATATGATAAACAGTGTCCTCTATCATATTTCTTAGTAAATACAGATAGTGACGTTTGTAAAGACATTTCTTGTAAGCTATTGGCATCCACCACGGGTCACTTGTCAATGTGATTATGGTGGTGGTGGCTAGACACAGAGATAAATAAGATCTATATCCTGAACCAGAGAAACTCAGTTTCTAGTGGGAAAGAAGGATATGTTATGCAGAAAATGATAATACAGAGTGATAAGTACTGGGAGAGGAGAATTAATTAGCATGTTCTGGTCAATTTTATAAAGGTTTTTGTTTCTTTCCTTAATGATTCAAAAAAAAACAGCCTTATTTTTCTTGGCTGTATTTTATTTTAATAACATAAATTTCCAAGATAAGAGTAGGGGACTAGACTTGTGAGTCACTCTTAAGGTGGTAGCTCACAGTTTCTGATTCCTGTAACTGGAAAACATGAGGATGGTAGGCAGAGGCTACAGAAAAAACACAGGTTTTGGGTCACATATTCCTGGGCTTGAGATCCAGCTTTCATATTTATTGGCTGTGTAACCCTAGTCAAGTTCCTTCACATCTCTCAGCCATCTTTTGCATTAAAATAAGACAATAGAGGACAAGTGCAGTGGCTCATCCTGTAATCCCAGCTCTTTGGGAGGCCAAGGCGAGCAGATCACTTGAGCCCAGGAGTTCAAGACCAGCCCAGGACAACAGGATGAAACCCCATCTCTACAGAAAAATACAAAAATCAGCCAGGTCATATGGTTTGGCTGTGTGTCCCCACCCAAATCTCATCTTGAACTGTATCTCCCATAAATCCCTCATGTTGTGGGAGGGACCCAGTGGAAGATAATTGAATCATGGCAGTGGCTCCCTCATACTGTTCTCGTGGTAGTGAGTAAGTCTCACAAGTTCTGATGGTTTTGAAAGGGAAAACCTCTTTCACTTGGCTCTCCTCTTCTCTTGTCTGCTGCCATGTGAGATGTGACTTTCGCCTTTTGCCATGATTGTGAGGCCTCCCCAGCCATTTGGAACTGTGAGTCAATTAAACCTCTTTCTTTTGTAAATTGCCCAGTCTCGGGTATGTCTTTATCAGCAGTGTGAAAACAGGCTAATATAATGGGCGTGGTGGCATACGCCTGTAGTTCCAGCTACTCCGGAGGCTGAGGTGGGAGGATTGCTTGAACCTTGGAGGCAGAGGTTGCAGTGAGCCCAGATTGCACCACTGCACTCCAGCCTGGGTGACAGAGTGAGACCCTGGCTGAAAAACAAAACAAAACAAAACAGAGAGACAATAATACCTACCTCAATGATAATGAATGTGAAGAGTCTGACACTTCATCCGATCTCAAGTCCAATCATCTGAAAGCCTACTCTGGTTAAAATATAAATCTAAACTTCAATATTTTCCCAAAATTCAGCCTTCAACTTCCTTTTAGAAGAAAGAAGTGAACTTCCTTTGAAAGATGCAAATGAGTTTACATCCCTTGAATCTACATGTCTCCTCTAGTCAGTTCAAATCCAGCAGTGTTTCTCAAAGTGTGCTCTTCACATAACCTGTATAAAAATTCTCAGAGATGCTTGTTGGCACATTCTCTTAAGCTTCACTCTCTCTTAATGAATCAGAATGATTAGAGACAGTCAGAGAATCTGCATTCTAAACAAATTCTCCAGGAGATTTTTATGTGTATAGAAGTTTGAGAACCACTGCCTTAAACATTGAGAAATGGTAATATCTTAAATTGCAAAAGAAGAATCTTTATGGTCACCAGTTCATATGAAAATAGGAAAAAATTTTTTCATATTGTTTTAATATCAGTATTAAATATAAGATATAAAGGTATAAGTGGCAGAAGGATAAGCAGTTATTTAAAAAGTTGATTGAAAACATTTGAATTTTTAAAGAAATTAATCTGTCACATAGGCATGCCCTGAGGTCATTGTGCATAAGTACTCCTCATAAATAGATGTAATTAGGTTTACTTTTCTATAGCCACAATTTTAACCTTTCTCCTTTCTTTTTTTTTTTTTTTTTTTTTTTTGAGACGGAGTCTCGCTCTGTCGCCCAGGCTGGAGTGCAGTGGCGGGATCTCGGCTCACTGCAAGCTCCGCCTCCTGGGTTCACGCCATTCTCCTGCCTCAGCCTCCCAAGTAGCTGGGACTACAGGCGCCCGCCACTACGCCCGGCTAATTTTTTGTATTTTTAGTAGAGACGGGGTTTCACCGTTTTAGCCGGGATGGTCTCGATCTCCTGACCTCGTGATCCGCCCGCCTCGGCCTCCCAAAGTGCTGGGATTACAGGCGTGAGCCACCGCGCCCGGCCAACCTTTCTCCTTTCTTTCGTAAGTCTCCAGTGTCTATTAGGAACATGAAAATGAGTTGTTTTCCTTGGGACCATGTATAGTTTATTTATTTTTATTTTTTATTTTTTTGAGACAGGGTCTCACTTTGTCACCCAGGCTGGAGTGCAGTGGTGAAATCTTGGCTCACTGTAGCCTTGACCTCCCAGGTTCAAGCAATCCTTCTTCCTCAGCCCCTCCGGATAGCTGGGACTACAGGTGCATGCCACCACACCTGGCTAATATTTGTATTTTTTTGTAGAGATGGGATTTCACCATATTTCCCAGGTTGGTCTCGAACTCCTGGACTAAAGCCATGCACCCACCTTGGCCTCTCAAAGTGCTAGGATTACAGACGTGAGTGACCGCACCCAGCAGTTCATTCTTGCCATGTACACTGAGAGTTATACTTAGTTACTCAGTGAGAAGGCCTGCCCTTGGGAAGAGAAGTTTTAAGACTCGAGACTGCAGCAGAAGAAAAAAGTTATTGTATGTCTCAGTCACTCCACTTTCCCCAGACTTACAAACCAATTTCTCATCACCCTTATGTTTACTAACGTAGATACTTCAGATATGGATGCCTCATCCATGTCTGAGCTTTTCTTCTCTGCTACCCTACCACTTGACTGAATCTAATAAGTACAATACTGAATTATTTAGAAGAGTTCCAACACATCTCTCTAGGAAAACACACAGGAAAGAAGACAATATAACATTTATAAAGAGCTAAAGTAAAATATTTCCAACCTAGATTTCTATCCTAGAAAAAATGTCTTTCAAAATTGAAGGCAAAATAAAGATTTTTTCAGACCAACCAAATAGGAAAGAATTCATAGCCAGCAGTCTTGCTCTATGGGAAATGTTAAAGGAAGTTGTCTTTTTTTTCTACTAAAAAGAAAATGATACTAGATGAAAGTTTTAATCTCCACAGAGGAGTAAAAACCTGCAGAAGTGGTAACCATGCATGTATCCATGTATAAAAATATTTTGCTCTCATGTTTAATCTCATCAAATGGTTTGACTAAAGCAAAAATAATAATAATGTATTGCAGGGCTTATAACATATGTAAAGTTGAAATATATGCCAACAATAGCACAAAAGAGAAGAGGGAGGAAATGGAAGTACACTGCTGGAAGTTTCTCATAATACATATAAGTTGTTATAAATATTATTGGAAGGCAGACTGTGGTATGTTAAAGATGTATACTGTAAACTTAAAGCAACCACTAAAATAACACAACAAGGACTTGTGAGACAGATTTCTTAGGACACAAAATTGTGAACTATAAATAAAATGGGCTGGGCGTGGTGGCTCACGCCTGTAAAATGCACTTTGGGAGGCTGAGGTGGGTGGATCACCTGAGGTCAGGAGTTTGAGGCCAGCCTGACCAACATGATGAAACCCCATCTCTACTAAAAATACAAAAATTACCTGGGCGTTGTGGCGGGCGCCTGTAATCCCAGCTACTTGGGAGGCCGAGGCAGGAGAATCATTTGAACCTGGAAGGTGGAGGTTGCAGTCCTCCTTCCTCCACCGAAAGGATCGTGCCATTGCACTCCAGCCTGGGCAACAAGAGCAAAACTCTACATCAAAAATATAAATAAACATAAACAATAAATAAAATGGATAATTTAAACTTTATCAAAATCAAAATTTTTTCCCTTCGCAAGTTATGGTTTTGAAAATGGTGAGTAAGCCACAGACTGGAAGACAATGTTTTCTTTTTTTTTTTTTTTATTATACTTTAAGTTCTAGGGTACATGTGCACAACGTGCAGGTTTGTTACATATGTATACATGTGCCATGTTAGTGTGCTGCACTCGTTAACTTGTCATTTACATTAGGTATATCTCCTAATGCTATCCCTCCCCACTCCCCCACCCCATGACAGGCCCCAGTGTGTGATGTTCCCCACCCTGTGTCCAAGTGTTCTCATTGTTCAATTCCCACCTATTAGTGAGAACATGCAGTGTTTGGTTTTCTGTCCTTGCTATAATTTGCTCAGAATGATGGTTTCCAGCTTCATCCATGTCACTACAAAGGACATGAACTCATCGTTTTTTATGGCTACATAGTATTCCATGGTGTATATGTGCCACATATTCTTTTCTTTTTTATTAAGACAGAGTCTCACTCTCGCCCAGGCTGGAGTGCAGTGGTGCGATCTCGGCTCACTGCAAGCTCCGCCTCCCGGGTTCACACCATTCTCCTGCCTCAGCCTCCTGAGTTGCTGGGACTACAGGCGCCTGCCACCATGCCCGGCTAATTTTTTGTATTTTTAGTAGAGATGGGGTTTCACCATGTGAGCCAGGATGGTCTCGATCTCCTGACCTCATGATCCACCCACTCGGCCTCCCAAAGTGCTGGGATTACAGGCGTGAGCCACCGTGCCTGGCCTATGTGCCACATTTTCTTAATCCAGTCTATCATTGTTGGACATTTGGGTTGGTTCCAAGTCTTTGCTATTATGAATAGTGCTTCAATAAACACAGGTGTCATGTGTCTTTATAGCAGCATGACTCACAATCCTTTGGGTATATGCCCAGTAATGGGATGGCTGGGTCAAATGGTATTTCTAGTTCCAGATCCTTGAGGAATCACCACACTGTTGGAAGACAATGTTTTCAAAACACATGTCTGATAAAGGATTTGTACCCATAATACATACAGAATACTTAATCTCAATAGCAAGCATAGAAACAACTCAATTAAAAAATAGGCAAAGATTTGGATGTACACTTATCCAAAGAACATATACTAATAGAAAAATAAAGATAGCAAAGGATGCTCAATATTATTAATCATTTGGAAAATGCAAATTAAAATGACAGTAAAATATCCTGACTCATGCACTAGAATACCTAAACTTAAAAAGACCGACAATACCCATTGTTGGCTAGGGTATGGAGCAACTGGAATTCTCATATGTCACTGGTAGGAATGCAAAATGGCAGTCAGTGTGGATGAAGTTAGGATAGTTATTAGAAAGTTAAACAATCACTTGCCATATATATCTTACCAAGAAAACTAAAAACCTATGTCCACATAAAGACATGTATGTGAATGTGCATAGCATTTTTATTCATAATAACCTTGAACCAATTGAGATATGTCCATATAACAGGATACTATTCATCAAGAAAAAGGAACAGACCACTGGTGTATGCAAGAACATGGACAAATCTCACAAGCATTATGCTGAATGAAAGAGCCAGACACAAAAATCGGGTACTCTATGATACAATTTACCTAAAATTCTACAAACTATAGTGACAGAAAGCAGATCAGTTTTTGCCAGGAGCCAAGGAGTGGGGAGGATTAACGGCAAAAAGGTACAGGACAAGCCATGAAAATGACTTGACTCGGGCCATGGTTACAAAACTGCGTACACATTGGACTGTACAATTAAAATTGGTAAATTTTATTGTATGTGAATTATGACTCAGCAAAGCTGATTTTCTGAAAAACTTGGAGAAATGGTGAATCCAGTACTATGCAAGAGAAAGTACAGAATAAATCTAGAATATCTCTTTGTGTAAGAATATAAAGAAGTGCTCAATAAATAATGGGGGAATGTCAAAAGGAAAAAGGGGCCAATTTGAAGGGGCTCCCACTGAGCAGATCAGCGATAATTTTAGCATCAAGATAAATAATAATATAATGAATTATAACTCATTGAACAAAATAAGAATCAGTTAATCCATACTGTTATAAATAAGTCAATGAAAAATAAGTCAATGGGAGCAAAGAGAATGCCATTAAAGTATAGAAGGAATGAAGGTATTAGAAAATCATCAGCAGAGAGTAAAAGTGGTAGGTTAAAGTTTTACAACCAACAGGCTGTTGATGTAGTCTCAAAGTATCCCACTGTTCATAATTCTTAGATATAAAGGGAATAATAGTAACTTTACAGTGAAGAAAGCTGGCTAACACTACCTTAACCAAGTGATCAAAGATAACAGGTGAGACATGAGAGAAGTACCAACAGAGATTTGGAAGGCATGGAGACTCCTTGGAGCAGATGGCTTTTGAGATGTGCTTGGAGAGTTGAATGGTATTTCACCAGGCAAAGGAGGCACAAGAGGCTTCCAGGCCGAAGGTGTACCAAATGCAAAGAAGTGGGAAGTATAAGGATACCCTGCGTTTAAAGACATGCAAGCAGTTAGTTGTGAATGATAGGGTAGGTGTGAAGGGAAAAGAGATGAAGTATGAACCTAGAAGAAGGCCAGTGTCAAATTGTGAGAATTCACAGTGCCATTTGTTAAAGGTTTTTCACTATATCTTGAATGTGATGTATTTGAAGATAGTCAAGTAGAGATGTTTTCTCAAGGCAGAAGAGTCTGTGGCTCAGGAGGAAGTTCTGGGCTTGAAATTAGATGTTTGGAAGTCGTTAAAGTACAGTTGTTAGTGAAGCCAGTGGGGTAGATGGGCTCCACAGGAAAGAGGGAGGCAGAGCAAGAATAGAAAAAAATACACATGCCCCTAACATCAGCATTTATAGGACACTAGAAGGGAGGAAGCAAACTCAGAAAATAAGGCCAAGGAGTTGGAGGAAAACCAGGAGAGAATAGGATGTCAGAAACCAACCAAAGTTAACAATTTTATCCCCCAGATTAAAATTCTATATATAATGTATAAACTAAATATCCATTTTTTGTCATCTGCACATTCCTTGCATGTAATTTGCTGAGCTATATAGATAAGTAGACCAGTTACCATGCCTCTTTGTCAGTGGATCTTTAGCAGGAAAAATGAGGAACTATATGAGCTGATTTCTGAGGTCTTTTCTGCTTTAACTCTCTCTGATATTATTGATGCTTGGTCAGAATTCAGAACTCAGGTTTTCAATGCTAATAGAAAACAAAGTTAAATGTGTTTCATTTATACTATGATGTGGCAGGAACTGCAGCTGGGTATGACTTATTTCCAAAGAAGGCAGAGGCAAGCCTTTGGAAACATATTTCAAATCATTCTAACGCTGCAGTCATATGAAACTTAAGTGTTTAAGGCAACAGAAGAAATAGCACTGCTATTTGTTAGAACTGCTCGACCACATGGCTTCATTTACATCGTTACATTGGGCTGAGTTGTGGGGCTGAGGTTAAAAGTTTAGTCTTCAGACAAAACAGGTGATTCAGACACTGTCACAGCTGAAGGGCCCAGCCACATACCCTCAAGCAGATTGTTTCTGGTTTTTCATAAGGAATCTAGTTATTCATTGACTTGAAAGTATTTGTACACATGTGTCATTTGTGTGTTTTTCCTGAATCAGTTTGCTCAGCAAAGAGCCAGTGAATAGGTACTTTGTGTAAACACTGTGCTATCCACTGCTGAGGAATAGAGAGATGAAAACAACATAGCCCCAGACAACAAGAAACTTACAGTCTAACAAGGGCAGACAGATATCTAAATATGTGTACTCTTTAAGGTAAAATAGAACTGATGCTATGGTAGATGAAGAAAAAAAAATCTTAGCTCATCATTTTCTGCTACAGGCACAAATGGTACACCAAATCTCTTGATTTGTATTGTAACAGTAGAGGCCTTTGAAAGCAAGGGATATCGAACATTTGAACTTGGCTCTTAGCTACAGCATTAATGGGATGTGATTAAAATGTACCTGAAGACCAATATTTAAAGCAGGACAAAATTCTGTTTCTAATTGTTCCCCTTCTCAAAAGAAGAAAGAAGGAGCTTCTAGAGGGATAAGGTAGTTGTATGTTGAGGCTTTAATATTCTGGTAAACTGCGAGATTCTTTAGCACCCTTGTTTACATTGTTTATACGGTAAGGAAGGTTTGGAAAAAGTAAAACATATATTTATCAGTCACTTAAATAGTACTTACTTTGTGCCAGGGCTGTTCTAAGTGATTTACAAATATTATCTCAATGGTCTTAATAGACATGTAAAACCTTATTCTTTCCATTTTGCAGATAAAAATGGAGATGCAGAGAGGTCAAGTAATTTAGCATGGTCCTATTTATTTTCTTTCATTTTGTTGAAAGGTCTCAGAGGTACAAATGGCCTACAGGACTGTTCAGAAGGCAAGTGCAGCACCTGACCAATGGCATTACAGATCATTCAGTATGCAGGATCACAACTTTGATGCCATCTTCAATGTCTCTCTCTCCACTTTGTGTGCAATCTTCAGAGCTTATTACTCATACCTTATGTTCCTCAAAGTGCTTCCCTTCCATCTGGGCAAGTGGGACTCCTGCTCTGGGTCCCATACAGCAGAGCCTCGTGCTTAACAGTGGCCTCCTCAACTTTCTGTAAGTCTCCCTTTGGTTCCTGGAGCTGTCTGCAACTATTAGTGCTATTCCAGGAGGTGACCCAAGCCCTGTAGAGGGCCCCTATGGTACCAGCTCCCTATTTCTCCCCACAGTGCATTATCTGACCCTCATTTGCCAGGAATCAACACAATGCCCTAAGGAACTTCAGGACTTCTGAATTTGGAGTCACCTTAGGGAAGATATCACTCCTGCCAGTTAGCATGATATTTCTTTCATGAAATCATACAAGTTTGGCTACAAGAATGATGCTGATGAACTGATTTTGAGTTATTCCTACCCATGAAATACACAAGATGAATTCTGGCCTCTGGCCCAACACCAAAATGTGTGTGAGCCATGCATTGGCTTTCACTTATGCCTGTTCTGATCATGGCGCTGCAGTGGGAATGGTGGCAGCCCCCTTCTCCCTGTGTGTCTTCCACTGCTGGCACTCAGGGTGGTCCCTCCATCCATCTACAGCTTGGTGCTCCAAGTCAGAGATCTTCTGGGATGGCTGTACCTGACACATTTGAAGGCTTTCAAGATTACTGCTCTACAATGCCAACAAACCTTTCTGACTGACATCCTTTCTTGCTTGTGATCAAGGTGGAGACATTGTCTTCTCCTGAGACAGTCTTAAGCCAATGTAGATGAGGGATGTATATTTCTTGCAGGAATGGAAGAACTATTCTTGATCTGTCCATGAGCTTCTTATTTGTCTTTTCGATTGCTGTTCATGCAAAAGGAAGTTTGAAAGAAATCACATTCCAAGAATAAAATTATTATAAAGAATTCAAGAGAAAAGTATGGTTGAAGGACAAATTGTTCTACATTTATAGTATAAAATCCAAATGGTAATTTAAAATGACCAGGACACGACTTATTGCTAACATTTTCCCACAAACTAACTGAAATTTGCACCATTAACAAAGAACAGTAACAATATTTGAGATTATCATTGGAATCCATTATTCTCAGGAAGCACAATGGATGGTACAGCATCTTAAATAATGATCTAACAGCATTAAATAAATGGTGCTAGGAAACCAGTAGCAAGAAGGGCAATATTGTTTCAATATAAATAGATTCTGTCTGGGCACAGTGGCTCACGCCTGTAATCCTAGCACTTTGGGAGACTGAGGTGGGCAGATCATGAAGTCAGGAGTTCGAGACAATCCTGACCAACATGGTGAAACCCCATCCCTACTAAAAATACAAAAATTAGCCAAGCGTGGTGGCACATGCCTGTAATCCCAGCTACTCAGGAGGCTGAGGCAGGAGAATTGCTTGAACCCGGGAGGCAGAGGTTGCAGTGAGCCAAGATCACACCACTGCCCTCCAGCCTGGGCGACAGAGCGAGACTGTCTCAAAAAAAAAAAATATATAGAAAAAAGATTTTGAAGAGCTCTGGCTTTGTATTAACAATTTGCCTCCTTTTCATTATAGTGGGAGGTAAGAAATTAGGTAGGAACAATGTCTATGACAATAAAGAACATGAAGAAATGTTTCCTGAACACTA
This sequence comes from Homo sapiens, assembly GCF_000001405.40. Classification (NCBI taxonomy): domain Eukaryota; kingdom Metazoa; phylum Chordata; class Mammalia; order Primates; family Hominidae; genus Homo; species Homo sapiens. Next base: position 82,638,403 of record NC_000005.10, read on the forward strand.
CAATCTCTATATGCATTGACTAGACAATTAACAAATGTATATGTACCTCTTCAATACATGGCTATATTTCACGTAGGTCTATAAATTTTGTAAAACAGTTTTTAAAGATCGGTAGTTTACATAGAGAAGGGCCTTGCAAAAAAAAAAAAAAAAAAAAAAAAACTGCCTGTGACCCCATGCATCTTAGGAGTGGCTCTAGTCCCATATTTCTATTTTTAAATTTTCACTCTCTCTGCCTTATTACCTTTCCCTTATCCCATTGCAATACTTTTTCTAACTGGCTGGATGTTATCCTTTCTTCCCCTTATAATCTTCCTTAAACACATCTGCCTAATTGCTCTGGATGTTTTGGAGTTACTTCTATACTTTAAACTTCCACTGACTCTCCATTGTTCTCTGGTGAAGTACAGACCATTCATTCATCCTCTGCAATCTAACTACAAACCACCTTTCCTACTCCGTCTCTCAGTATGTAATGTTACCACACAGTAAGTCTGTAACGAAACTGAACCTCTGGCTGTTCTTCAACATGTCTTTCTCCTTCTCATCTTTACACATTTGCTTTTAATATTCCTGCCCCACTTCTGTCTCTCCCATTTCTCTCCATTACAATTATACCCAATCTTGAAGGCCTCAAATGCCTCCATTTTCCCAAGCCCTAAGTCAGATGTCTCCTTCTTTTCATCTACATGCTTATTTAGCTGTATCTCTTTTGCAGTTTTTTTTTTTTTTTGCCTCTTTACAAGCTGACTTAAGTGACATGAAGATGAAGGGACTTGGCCAGGGTTAGGGTTCAAATTAGTCAAATAATTGTTCATATTGGCAGAAACATATTTTTATTGCTTCCAACCATTGGCACTTAGATGATTAGTTTTATTAAAGAGAATCACAGACATTAAAGAGAACACAGACAAGACTGTGCTCTTAGTGGAAGCTGATAACAGAAATAAGCTTATGGTTTGCAAGATGAAAAGCCCAAATGCTACATTGAATAAAAACTAAGAACAAAAAAGGTCTAAAGCAAGAAGGTCTAGAAATCTTGTTAAACGCCATGCATTCACAAAGACATTTTTTCTTTTGAAAAAGAATAGAGTCAGAGGAAAGCAAGATTTCTATTTATTGCCTTTGTTGTCTTTAAAGAGCAGACCTTGCCAAAACTACAGCAGTCATGCAGATCTTGGCATCTGCAATCTCTAACAGGTTTCAGATTTCCAAAACTGACTTGAAAATCACATGTCAGCAAACTAAAGGGGCAAGGGGAAATGCTGATAGGAAACAAGTGAGTTTTATGTGCTCTTGAAATTCTATGAAAAAAATATGCTAAATGCTAATCAGAAAGCCTGCAATCTTTCATTTTCTCTTTATGACAATGATTAAGCTCATAATGTCTTTCAGAGACTTGAGCAAAGAAAACAAGCTGGAAAATCAGTGCAGTAAATGGCAAACATGCCACGGATGTGGATTAGACTGGGAACTAGAGTCAGTGAGAACATGGTATTTGAGTAACACTGTCCCTGGATTGGCAAATCTGTCTGAGATCTGTTATATTTTGAGTCTCAAAGACACTGAAACACAGATGTGGCCATAAAGGCCATATGATTAGAACAGGAAGTCTGCAGATGAAAGTTCAGATACTTCTGATTTAATCTAGGTCTAGCCCACCCCATCACAGATGAGGAAAAGATGTCTCCAGAATAGTAAAGTGACTTGCTCAAGTTAACAGCTTAGCTGGAAACAGGCCCACAATTAGCATCTAGGTCTGTTGACTCCTAGTGCTGTCTGCTCCTTCATATTGCCTCTCCCTTTAAATTCCTTTTCACTCGCTTAATGAGTATTGTTAGAGCCTAAAAGCCTGTGTATGTGTTGTGGTTATATTGCTGTCAGGAAAGGACAATTAGAAAATAGATCAAAGTTGTATTTATACTTCAACTGTGAAGAAACGCAACTTGATGGTTTAAGGACGGCCTTATGCCAACAATCAATCAGGTAAGTCTGTGATGGTGCTCTTGGGGGCTGGTGTGCTCCATGGGTCATCACACTGAGCCCTACTGAACCGCTGCTTTAACAACAGAAATTTAAATAGAGGACATTTTTATGTTTTGCAGACTTATTATGTGTGTATTTGCATATAAATATATATAATTTGCACATAATCTATAATTACAAAAACTTTTTTTTTTTTTTTGTAAAGGTCAGGACCTGATATTTTCTGAAATTGGTAGTGGTTAGGAGGTGCCTAGAAACAAAAGACTATCATCACTTAGCCAAATTGCTTTGGGGCATGGACCAAGGGGGCGTGGAAACCAGCAGGGAAATATAGATCAGATTGGGATCAAGTGAAACATTTGAGTTTTCCAGGTAAACATATCACAGGGCCTTGAAAATAAATTTTAAGAAGATAATTTTACATTGTATTTATTTGTCTGAAATGCTTTGGAACTGATCTCTAACAGGAATGCTTTCAGACCTACACAAACATATCACTTGCAAAATTTAGACTCTTATAAAACACAAAAGGTGTTTATGAAGTTGAATATAAACTGCAGAGTTATCAAAAACTATCCCCCAAGGCACGTTAGTTTTTAACTGTAAATCAGAATTCAAGGGAAGGTGTAAAACAGGGAATGCAGAGATGTTTCTTCCTTGCTCACAATGCCCCTGGAGTCCAACATCAGATCCATGCTGCAGCAAACTCTCCATCAGAAGGGCCAGCCAAGGAGGAGGGTGCTTTACTATATGAATAGACCAGACTGTCTCAAAGAGATTAGCCCATGCCAGTAACAGTTCTTAGACTAAATCGCTCTATTTCAGAAGTTCTTTCTAAAACCCTTATTTCTGAATCAAAAACATGCCCTTTTATTAATTTGTATCCGTGTTCTCCTGAAATAGGAACAATTGACAAAAACCATGGTCAAGGATTGCCATGTAACACTGACTTCAATCAAGCATAGGTTCGGGAGGGTGTGTTTCATATGAATTTCTTTTCATTAGGTCATATAGCTAACATTAGATGCTAGAAAAGTCTGCAGCTCCCATAGAGGAGGGAGATGTGAAAATCTGGTGCTGGCAATGATGGCAACTTGCCATTCTGACAGAATTGCACAATCAGCTTCCAGGACACGTTTCACCAGTTTATTTTAGGAACCAGTGAGCTACACTAGAGGGCAGACTAACCTAGACCTTTTTATTCCCTTCCAATGAGAGTCTAATCCATTGTGTCTGACATGAAGCATTACAGAAATAGAATCCTACAAGTGAATAAAACTGTGACACTGTTTCATTATCGTTGATGAGGATTGTGCCTCAGATGGTTTCTCCTTATTTAACTTTGTACTGAGGGCATTTAATATCTTAAATACTTAATTTAGAGAAGGTTTAAGGAAAACAAAACAAAAAGCCTGTGAAAATAGTGGAGGGTGTACGATTATTACAGCTATGTTATTGCAAAGACAAGCATCACTGTGAGAGTGTGATAATGACCAGGAACACACAGAAACCTTCTCCAGAGGAACATGAAATCTATAAGACATTGTCACAGTGAGATAAATTAGATCCATAATGGCAATTTTTGCTTAGTATGGTGCTTTGTAATTTCTCATTTTTAAAACTATGAAATCTCATTTTCTTTTCTTTTGTGTGACTGTGAAGCAGTCTAAGGGTCAAGAGGACAAGCTGTGTGGAAATGGGTTATCCTGGAAATAAATTCAGCATTGCTCTAGCTGGGATTGTCCTATACCACCTTGGAATCTTTAGTCCTTTTAGTGATTTTAGGATGTGGTGGAGGAGAGGGGTATGGAATTTTCAGGATTGTCATTGGGCATAGATGTTGTCATGAAACTGGTTGATTGACACAACTGCCCACTAGTCATTCTTTTAAATTATCCAACTCACGGGTGTAAGAAATAAATATTTTTCATAGCTAGTGTATTAATCAAGATTCTTCAGCGATAAAACCAATAGTATATTTATTTATTTATTCATTCATTTTAAAGAATTGGCTGATGTGATTATGGAGACTGAGAAGTCCCAAGATAGTAGTAGTCAGCAAGCTGGAGACCCAGAGAGTCAATGGTATAATTCCAGTCTGAGTTCAGAGGCCTGAGAACCAGGAGAACTGGTGGTGCAAGTTCCAGTCTGAATTAGTTTAAACGCAATAGAAGATCCGTATCCTAGTTCAAAGACAGTTAGGCAGAGAGAGCATGCAAATTCTCCCTTACTCAAAGGATTGGGTGAGGCCCACCCATATTGGGTAGGGCAATCTACTTTACTCAGTCTACCAATTCAAATGTTAGTTTCATACAGAAGCATCCCACAGACACAACCAGAACAGTGTTTGACCAATTATCTGGGCACGTAATGGCCTAGTCAAGTTGACACATTAAATTAGCCATCACAGTTAATATCTTGTTTGTGTTTACTTTGTGCTTACAGATTATAAATCACTTTCATAAACATTATCTCTTTGTCCTCACTACAAGCTAGGTAGGGCAAATTTTCATTAACGTTATCACAAGGGGTTATTATGCATAAGTAATTATTAAGACACTGAATGGTCTTCATGTCTTTTATGAAAATGAAGCATAGAAAGATTTTGCAACTTGAGTAACAAGCAATTTGTATTACTTCTTTCAACTCTTAGTCCTAGGCTCTTTTGACTACATTTTACATTTATTTCAAAGTCTAAGCAACGATAGCTACAGCAACTGCCAAATCTCCAAAAGATGAATATTCTGACATACAATGTAAAAATTTCCCTTGCCAAATTTGTCCTGTGTTAAAATATACATAGTGCACCTGTAGTAGGCTTGGCACATTAAAATAAATGCAACTTGAAGTCAGTGGTGGCAGGGGTTAAAGTGGGCAAGAAATAAATGGAATAAGTATGTCAGTATAATTAATAATCACAGAACTCCAGAATGCTCCCTGCTCAAAGACTTCTTCCCCGTTAATGATTCAGATTTGTCAGCCCCGTTAATGATTCAGATTTGTCAGAGATTTCCTTTTGTTTGTTACTTTTTCCAGACAGCATTGCCTCGCCCCCAAATAAAACAACCTGAGACATATAGCACATTAAGGTTATTGGATGTTTTCATTTGGTGACCAGGGACATCAGGGCACTTTAGCCACTCTGATAGCAGAGTGATAAAAAGGGACAAAGAGCCCAGAAAGGAGAAAGGGAAGGAAAGCTGACTTGGACAGATTTATTTACGCTCTTGATATTATGACTATAGACTAGCCATCAAGACAATAATGTTAACTCACTAATTCATGTAAATTATTTCTTCATCCTGTGAGAGTTCACTGGAGTCACATCTTACTTAGGGACAAGATCTAAATTTACCATGTAAGGCAAAAATCACATACAACCAAAATCACCCTTGAAAACCTTAAATCACCATTGAACTAAAGTGTACAGGGCTCTATAACTGTGTTTAACAATTATATAATGTATAGCATGTAATAAAGACGCATATGCAAGATTTTTTTTTTTTTTTTGAGATGGAGTCTCCCTTTGTTGCCCAGGCTGGAGTACAGTGGTGCGATCTTGGCTCACTGCAACCTCCGCCTCCTGGGTTCAAGCGATTCTCCTGCCTCAGCCTTTTGAGTAGCTGGGATTACAGATGCGCGCCACCACACCCGGCTAATTTTTGTATTTTTAGTAGAGATGGGGTTTCACCATGTTGACCAGGCTGGCCTTGAACTCCTGACCTCTAGTGATCCATCCGCCTCAGCCTCCCAAAGTGCGGGGATTACAGGCATGAGCCACCGCACCTGGGCAAGATTTTTTAAATACAGTTTTATACCACAAATACATATTTTGAAACAGTAGAGTCATACTGAGCATGGCATGATGCTCACATTATAAGGGACACATTAACTGTGGCTAACTGAAGATCTCATTTCCCATCTTCTCTTATTCCATGGCCTATATTCATTTAGTAGAATGGCAGGCTGAGTTGCAAGGTAATTCTTTCTTTTAATTATTTATTGTGACACAATTTGAGACTTACTGAAAAGTTGCAAGGACAGCACAAAATTCCCAGTGTTAACATTTTAACCACATTTGCTTTATTCTTTCCTCTTTCTCTCTCTCATGTCCTTTTATAGCCTATTTTCCCTCATTTGTGCATGTATTATTAAATTTGCATATTTTAAATGTACAAATGATGCAAACTTACTCTAACTACATCTCAGAGGAATTATGAAATTGGTTTAATCAATGTTGCTGTGCATTAGGAGCTGATAAAAATGGATAAATATGAGTTAAGTGAAATAAAGATGTCCAAAATGTTGACCTGGCCAAGCAAAATGAATCCTAGCAACAGTAAAGAATAAAAACAGGCACTTCACTAAGGATGCTGTGTGGACCGAATTATGAAAATCATCACTAAACCAGAATAAAGTCTGCCTTTTGGTAATTTGCATCACTAATGTGCTATTACACTCTAGTGGTTTTTTTTTAACATACAGATGAGAGTGACATGTATGATCTCATGAATAATTCAAAGATTCACTGCAAGTTCTCACCTCTGGTTTCTATTGTTCCTCGGCAGAGAAGGACGGCTTTCAGTTAGTGTCGGAGCTGGAAGAATTGTCACCATGCAATATTATTGTTATTAACATTTTGCCAGTGATTATTGTGATTACAAGTGATTATTCTTACAACTAATTATTAAGATCCTGTATTATCTGGTCTTCAAACACCAAGACACAACTCATGCATTTCAAAACATAACTCACTGCATCTTAATGTATGTTAGCCAGTGGGGCTGGTTAGTAAGTTACTACCTGATGGAGAATTTGACTATGTTTGTGTCCTTGTACAGGCTTAGCATGTAAATTACACTTTCTTAAACAATTCGTTTCAGATTATAGAAAATGCTAAAACACTTCTGATAGCATAGTAAGAAATATCCAAAAGAAAAGGGAACCCCAGTGAATGAAACAAGTCAATTGAAATCTACTGCATCTCTAGAAATAATAGTTTGCCAGCTGGTTGCCTTATGGTTTTAATGATATTCTCACAGTATAGTTCCCAAATCTGAGTACTTATCAATAATCTCCAGGACTTCCTTTGTTTGTAGAACATATCATTTTATTTCAGTTAGCATGTCTCACCCTTATCCCCCTCAAAAATTAAAAAAAAAGTCATTGGTTGTTCCGTAGCTTACAGAGAAAGTAGCTTTTCAAATGAATGTCTAGGGAATGTTGAGGAACACCAGCTTCTTGCTCTTCTCTATTACATAACAACGCCTTTGGGCATATAAGTAGTGGAACTGCAATAAATGTTATGAACAGAAGAAAATGCCTATTGTGATTATTGCGCAGCACTGGCATATTGTGGAAGAGACTTGTGGCAAGCTAAAAACATAGAAGCAGAGGACATAGGTCTTGGCACTGGATCTACCATTTGTTAGCAGCATAACCTTTAGAAAATCCCCCAAGAGAAAGCGGGAGAGAAATAAACATCTTTTATGGAGTATTTACTGGGGCAAGAATTTAGTAAAAGTCATGCCATTTAATCCACATAATAGTTGCAGAGATAGATGTTGTTAGCTGCATGTTATCCATGCGGAAACTGAAACTCAAGGAGGTTAAGTCACCTGCCAAAATTCATAGAGCAGAGTATATGGTGGAGGGTGGGCTACTGTAATGGTTAAGATCATGGTCTCTGAGTCAGACAGAAAGAGGGTCAAATTCTGCATCCGGGTGCCATCACTTATGGGCTGGGTGTCCTGAAGCAAGTTATTGATAAGCTTTATTTTTCTTATTTCTAAAATGGGAATATATTTGTATTTCTATCTCATAAGGTTGTTTTAAGCTGTAACTAAGATATTGTACGTAACTGCTTACCTCAGCACCTGATTTTATTGTTTAATCCTTTAGTTATATTATTTTACAGAATAACTGAAGGTTTTCAAGCCCAAAAGCCTGCATTGTCTCAGTTTTGCCAACTAAAAAAGGAAGATAAAAATAATGGCTCTCCTCTCCTTCCATATTATACGAGAATTACAGGACTAGTGAAATAATGAGAGGAAAGTATCTTGCAAGTGGATGTGTGTGCACGTCTTTACAATTGCTCTGAACTTGTTTCTTGTAGGTCTTGAGTCTCCAGATACAATGTAAGCTACTGGAAAACAGAGGTCATATTTTCACTTCTGCTGAATGCTACATTTCTAATTCAGATTTCTGAAACATGAAGTGCCCAATAAACCCTAATACAGTAACTCTTACAATCATTTATTAGCAGCACTTTCACTCAAATTAGAAACTGTTTTTGTGTTTATTATTTTTTTATGGAAAGCCATATAATCCATTTTGTCTTATATAGAATGAGGGTATTATTGAGACCCACGAATGCTACTAGAGTCCAGCAATCACATTTTTATGATATTATAAATCTCCCTCTTCCATGTGTCGTGAATATTGTTCCTAGCAACAGAAATAATTTTAAAGGGGCATGTTACCATTTTTAATACCCACAGGTGTTTCATTCTTAAACCCCTTTCTTGCCCACATTAATTGCTACCCTTATCCAGTACTGAAATAAATGCATATTAATTTTTAGTGTTGTTTATTTTATTTCTGCAGGTGTGTATTAATTTCAGAGTTCAGCTAAGCCTGTCTAGACCTTAAATGCCACCAGATCTCTTAAGCACACATTTATTTTTTATTGTTTTTGTTACATTCTTTATTATCAGAATTCATGAGTGTAGTTTTTATAAAGCTTGTTACTTACCCTGAAGACTGGATTTGAACGTGCCGTTCTGGTTGGCTGAGTAAATGGAGATTTAATTACAGATATTTAATTGCTTATTATGAACTTGATGGACTGGAACTGAATGAGCCCTTCTTCCCCATTTTCTGCCTTCAACTCCACTACACGAACTCATCGTGGGCTGGCTGCTATTCTGTACAACTTTCATTACCAACTTATGGATCGTCACTCCTTCGAGTTCAGTGTAAAAATTTATGTATGTCTGACAATAACAGGGGGTAGTCTCTAGCTTTCTTAAAATAAATGAAGGAGGAATATTTTATTTGAAAATAGAAAATGAGGTTAAGCTTAGGAGAAATAAATTCATGAACTAGCATGAGAGATAATCTTCAATTTGAAGAAAGCCTGATTGGAGTTTAGAAAACAGAAAGTGTATTCCCGGATTCAAGTAAAATGTAGAAGAAAATGCAATTCTAATATGTAGCTATATTTATTCTCTTAAAAGTCAAATACAAAATGGGGTATAATGGAATAGAGGAAGTTTAGTCGTACTAGGACATACGAGAACATGTAAAAAACTAACAGTGATTGATTAAAGTTTGGTTACAGTTCCCTTTCACATTATTTTTTGATGCAATGTTTTGAAGAAAACTATAATACAGACTTACCAAACTTAATTTTAGTCAAAAACTTTTTTTTTTTGCGCTAGACATATGTTTATCCTGCTGTATAAATAAACTTAAAATGCTTATGTGATCTTGCTGGTGGATCAGCATTTTAATCTGAAGGATTTTGTTATTAAGTTTTCACTTCAAATGAGAGCAGGTATTCGTATTTGTACTTAGAATTTGGGTATTGTTTATGTTGGTATGAGAGTAGGGAGTTTAAAAAAGCTGGTTCCAGCAAAATTGTCTTAATCAATATGACTCCTAATGTAGTGCCAAAAATATTGTAAATTTACAAATAGTTTTTTACTTTAGGTGTTCCTTGAGTATTATGTAATGTTGTTGTTCCTTTTCGCGGTCAGGGATAATAGGCTGTGTGGAGGTTTCCTTTATGAGAAAATTTGTCTCCTCCCCTTGCCCCTCGCCCTGGTATGTCCAAGAATCCTTCAGGATGCTAACTCATGTTTTCTAAAGGGTAACCTCTGGAGCTGGATCCAACCTCAGCTAGGTCCGTGCACCCATGAGGCTGGAGAACTCCACAATCATCTTTAAAGTAGTTGTTTCAGATGGAGCTACTAAAGTAGACCTCAGCTCAAATCCAGATGGTCAGGGAATTGTCCTGCTTTCACCACTGTGGCCACTTCTAATATTGAAGAGCATCGCTGCTTCCTGTTACACCCAAAGTGCTGATGCTGGGGCTGAGTTTTCTGTTCCAGTGGTTGTCACTGAGGCTAGTGCAAATTCCTCTCTTGGCTGCAGTAGTTCAAGGAGATGATACTGGCCTAGGGCAGCAGTGTAACTCTTTGATTTCATTACACAACCACATTCTCAGCATACAAGCTGGCTCCCTCTTGGCTGCTGAAATATGTTCTGGGGTTCAGTAGTTCAGAAATGTGGAACTTCCATCCCACCTTGACCTCCCTACTGATACATGGTTAGATGTTATCCCCTCTCTTGGTGATTTTATTTCAGGACTTTCATTGCCCTTCTTTGCCACTTGTCCTTTGTCAGGAGTATCCCATTTCACTCTGTTAAATTTCAATAAGATGAATCTTTTGAAACTTTATGAAGATTTACCAACTTCTGTCCACTTACCAACTGGAAGAAGGACAGAAGATTTACCAACCTCTGCCCTTCAAGATCTCTATCCAGCACCTACAAAATATCAGTTCTGCCTCCCTGGATTTTCCTCTGTAAATGTTTTCATTGAAGCAACTGTTTTCATAAAATATATTCTATTTCATGAGCATTTGAATTTATGAAATTATAGTATTTTTGGTTTTCAGATCATGGACAAGATTCGAGTTAAAGTTACCTGAAAGTGTAGTAACTTAGTATAAATGATTTTCATTTTAAAAACCTAGTACAGTTTTAAAAAAACTTAATTTGTCTCATTGAACAAATTTTGTAATTTTTCCACAAAAAGAAGAAACATTCATAAAAATATGTTGATTTATATTTGAGGTAACATCTTTAGTTATTACTACACATTTTCTTTCTCACTTCCTATGAGGGTAACAAAAAGAATTTAAACAGTACTCACAATATTTAACACTGCTTTTAACCTTTGAAAATTCAGATATACACAATAAACTTTAAAAAATAGCTCTGCATTACTCATGGTCTACTGGGCACAAACCCAAAACCAGTTGACGGACTTCACCTATCCAGTTTGGGATGTAAAGGAATTGTAGACTGAGACATGGAAGGGGGCTCTGAATGTGGTGGGCTGGAGCAAATGGGTTGAAGTATGCAACATCATGGTGACTAAGGGTAAAGATATAAACACTTTCCTTCTTGTGCTATCCTAAAGGACAGATGGAAAGCTATTTGGATATAAGACAAAAGATACACCTAACTGTCACAAAAATATTCAACAGTATTTTCTGAGTGTGGGGAACAGGAAAACATTTTCTGTTTCATCTTTGACCCATCCTTAAAGAGTATCATGACAATGATTAGAGCATACGATGGGCAGTCAATGGCTGAAAAGTCCTGGGACATTCTCAGTACATTGGGGTTACAGTTGGTGATCAGCAAATACAAGCAAAGTCAGTATTAAGGACAGTACTTTTTATTAAACTAAAGCAGATTAAAAATGTATATGCTTTCTTTCTCTTGAATAATACTTTTATAAAGAATTATCTGCCAGACCCTTTGAGGGAAGGAAACATCAAGCATTCCATTATCTCAGGGATTATTTTGAATGATCAATTCAGTCAATTTGTTGGAGATATCAGCAGGGGAAGGAGGTCGACCTTCACTATATCCAGTTCCTATTGGTGGATATGTTATCGTGGACTCAGAATAATGGGAGTGATTTGCAACTCATATTTCTTCAACTCTGCACTTGGATGCAATTTTAGCTGATTACTCTTGGCTCTCTGACAGCCCAACACGTCAAAGTCACAGCCATGGGAATGAAATCCCATCATTTTTTAGTAGGATGAGGTCCCTTATAATTGTTTAGTCCAGCACTTTTATTTTAGAGCTAAGACCCATACAAATGACTGGTAACAAGAATAATAATAGCCAATGTTTATGGGCATTGTGTTAAAGCAAATAACATTTATTATTTCATTTAATCCTCATGACAATCCTGTGAGGTAGGGACTGCAATCCCCATTTTGTAGTGATAAAGTCACAAATACATTAAGAAACTTGCCCAGAGTCAAGTTATTAATAAGTGCAAAGTGAAATTTGATCCCAGTAGTCTGGCTTCAAAGGCCAGACTTAACTACTGCACCTTACCACCCTTTTATTTTAAAAATCAAATTACTTAGAAAATATTAATAACAGTTTAGTAGTACTGCATCCTAGATTTTCTGCTTCCCAGCCCTCTGAAATTAATGAATTGCATTGAACAATGGTGATAGCCACTGACTTTTAATATATTCAGTCATATATATGTATACACAGACGTACATTCACGCACAAACATACACACATACATACGCACATGTATACTCTCTCCCTCTCTCTCACACACATACACTTGTATAACCAGTAGTGCCTACTTCATTGTCCTGCTCCTTTCTCATTTCACCAGTATTTAAAGATCTTTGCTGGGAGCTTAATTTACTCAACCTTAGGAACTTTGTACAACCCTTTTATCTAAGTAGCTGCAAACTAGCAGCATCTTTCTGTCCTTTCCCAGCCCAATTTCCACATACGAGTTATCTTTTCATTTTTTCCCCTTTAAACAAAAGGCTGTTTCTCCTCTGTATTTCCCTATTGAAGAATTATTCTCCTCCAGTTCAAACACAAATAAATTCCACACCTTGCTAGTATCTCCAGGAATTGATTAGATGCTTTTTGTCTTACTTTTGAGCTTATCATACAGAAAAGTGCATGAACATATGACCTTCACAGATTAATTACCATGCAACGAAGCCACACAGGTCAAGAAATCAAACACTGCCACCATGGAAAAGCCCTTTTTGGGGACTCTCCCTCATTATAAGCTCCTACCTCGCAAAAGGCAAACTCTGTCCTTGAGGTTGTGTTAATTATTCCCTGGATTCTTTTTTTAACATATAGTTTTACCAGCCATGTATGCATACATTGGGTTTAATTTGATCAATGTAATCTTTGTTTTTTCTCTTTTCTTTGTCTCCTACGTGATGTCTTATGTTCTTTATTTTGTCACCTTCATATTTCCAGTACAGAAACCCATTAATTAACCTTTCTGTGGTGCATATATCTTTTCTTTTTAAAATTTCTGTGGGTACATAGCAAATGTGTGTGTGTGTGTGTGTGTGTGTATATATACACACACGTATATATATATACACACACATATATACATATATATGTATACACATACTATATATATATATATATATATTTTGTTTTGTTTTGTTTTGTTTTGTTTTGAGACAGTCTAGCTCTGTTGCCCAGGCTGGAGTGCAATGGTGCAATCTCAGCTCACTGCAACCTCCGCCTCCCGGGTTCAAGCGATTCTCCTGCCTCGGCCTCCCAAGTAGCTGGGATTACAGGTGTGTGCCACCACGCCCAGCTAATTTTTGTATTTTTAGTAGAGATGTGGTTTCACTGTGTTGGCCAGGCTGGTCTCAAACTCCTGACCTCGTGATCCACCCACCTCAGCCTCCTAAAGTGCTGGGATTACAAGCATGAGCCACTGCACCCAGCCAGTAAGTGTATGTATTTATGGGATAAATAAGAGACTTTGATGTAGGCATGCAAATACATAATAATCGCATCATGGTAAATGGGGTACCCTTCCCCTCAAGCATTTATCCATTGTGTTACAAACAATAAAATTATTCTCTTTTAGTTATTTTTAAATATAAAATTAAATTGTTATTGACTATAGTCAATACAATGTTGTGCTATCAAATACTAGGTGTGGTTCATTTTTTCTAACTACTTTTTGTACCCATTAATCCTTCATTTCCCTGCATCCCCCAACTACCCTCCACAGCCTGTGGTATAACCATCCTTCTACTTTCTATCTCCAGGTGTTCCATTGTTTCTTAGCTCCCACAAATAAGTGAGAACATGCAATGTTTGTCTTTCTGTGCCTGGCATATTTCACTTAACATAATGACCTCCAGTTCCATCTGCACTGTTGTAAATGATAGGATTTCATTCTTTTTTTATGGCTGAATGATGCTTCATTGTGTATAAGTATCACATCTTCTTTATCCATTCATCTGTTGTTGGACACTTAGGTTGCTTCCAAATGTTGACTGTTGTGAACACCAGGACAACAAACATGGGAATGCAGATGTCTCTTCTACATACTAATTTCCTTTATTTTGGGTATATACCCAGCTGAGGGATTGCCAGCTCATATGGTAGCTCTATTTTCAGTTCTTTGAGGAAAATCCAAACTGTTTGCCATAGTGGTTTTACTAATTTACATTCCCACCAACAGTGTCCAAGGGTTCTCTTTTTTCCACATCCTCACCAGCATTTGTTATTGCTTGTTTTTTGGATAAAAACCATTTTAACTGAGGTGAGAGGATATCTCACTGTAGTTTTGATTCGCATTTCTCTAATGATCAACAATGTTGAGCACCTTCTCATATTTGCGATTTATATGTCTTCTTTTGAGAAATGTCTATTCAGATCTTTTGCCTATGTTTTAACTGGATTATTAGATTTTTTTTCCTATAGAGTTGTTTGAGCTCCTTATATATTCTGGTTATTAATCCTTTATCATATGGGCAGTTTGCAAATATTTTCTCCCATTCTGTGGGCTGTCTCTTCATTTTTTTTTTTTTATCATTTCTTTTGCTGTATGGAAGCTTTTTAACTTGATGTGATCTGATTTGTCCAGTTTTGCATTGGTTGCCTGTGCTTCTGGGGTATTACTCGAGACATTTTTGCCCAGACCAGTGTTCTGGAGAGCTTCCCTAATGTTTTCTTGTAGTAGTTTCATAGTTTGAGGTCTTAAATTTAAGTCTTTGAGTCATATTGATTGGATTTTGTATATGGCAAGAGATGGAGGTCTAGTTTCATTCTTCTGCATGTGGATATCCAGTTTACCCAGCACGATTTATTAAAGAGACTATCTTTTCCCCGGTGTATGTTCTTGGCAGCTTAGCAAAAAATGAGTTTACTGTAAGTGTGTGGATTTTTGTTCCTTTGGTCTATATATCTGTTTTTATGCCAGTACCATGCTGTTTTGGTTACTATAGCTCTGTAGTAGTAATTTGAAGGCTGGTGTCTCCCTAGGTCATGTACTCCTCTAGTTCACTGGCTCTAAGCCCAACACAGCACTAGGACTTGGATAAGATTTACAGTCCTTGTGTCCTAGGCTGCCTTTCAAGTTGACCTAGGACCCCAGAGGCCTTTAGCCTGCAGTGTGGAGACTTGCTGAGAAACTCAAGTTCTGACTGTTGGGATGGGAAATTGCCCTCTGGCTAGGACTGGTCCAAATGCTCCTTTGGTGGGTGCACCCCGGCTGAGCCCAGCATGGCTTTGTCCTCCATTGTGACAGGGCAGCACTGAGTTCAATGCCATGTTCCCCATTCACTTTGATCTCCTTCCCCTAAGTGCATAGATTCTCTTTGCAGACTTAGCTCTGCTGCCAGGATATGGGGGAGGGATGGTGTTCATGATTCAAAACTATCTTTCCTACCCTCTTCAGTGTCTCTTTCAGTGATATGAAGCTTAAACCAGGTACTGTGATTGTTCATTTGACTTTTGGGTCTTATGATGGTGCTTTTTTGTGTGTAGTTAGTTGTTGAAATTGGGTGTTCCAGCGGTGGGGGGAGGTGGGGGTGGCGATCAGTAAAGGCTTCTATTTGGCCATCTTCCTCCACACTCCTGTGTTGCATATTTAATCACCATTTTAATCAAAGTTTGTCATAATCTCTGTCATAGTAGTGTACGCTCATTTCTTTTGAGTTCTCTGCTTGCCTTTCTATTTATTGCTTCATTTTTTTTCTCAGTACATCCCATCATTCCCTAACATCCTGAAAATAAAGCAGAAATTCAGAAATGTTAGGGAAGAAGAAGTGGCAGGGTTTGGCATTACTGCTTCTTGCCTTTGGAGACAATGGCTGGAGAGTAGAGTTCCACATATGGTGAGCTCAAAGCTCTAATCTGCGGAAGACTACAGATCAGCTTTTCCTACTCCTCAATGAACCTGCTGAATTAGGGCTTCTTCCACCATCCTACCTCAGAAAATTCTTAATGAAAAAATGAAATACACAGAATAAAATCTAATAAGTACATGTACTTATTAGAAAAGGCCTATGATCTTATCCAACTTAAAATATTTCAACCTTGTTCCATTAAAGAAAATGACTATTCCACCATCCCAAATTGTATTTTGAAGACTACTTAGTGATCTGGGGAAAATGCTTACATTATAGGAAATTTAAAAAGCAGGGCCCTAAACTACATGGAGCATAATTCCAATTTGTTCACATAAATGCATGGGAAATAGATGATGGAAGAAAACACTTCACAATAGTAACAATGTTTATCTCTGGGTGATTTCTATTTTCTTCTTTGCATTTTTCTGTATTTACAGAATTTTCTATAAGGAGCATGTTACTTTCATAACTGAAGAAAAGGTTATATTTTTATTTCAAAAAAAGCTAATGGCTTCCTTAGATAGTTTTCTGCCTTTTAACCGACAAAAATAAAGGCCCAGAAAGGGTTGCAGACCCCTCAGTTTTTGTCTCAGAGTCCGAGACCTGGTACATCTCAGTGCCCACCACAGCTCACCCAGCAGGATCAAAGGGTGCAGCCTCAGTGAACAAAGTGCCAGAGCTGTCAAAGTCTCAACCTGGAGAAGATTTTTGTTTTGATTACAAGCCTGTGAACTGGCACTTCTTGCCCTTTCACTCCCCTTTTCTGTATGCCTTGATCTCGGGTGCTTTCTAGTCCTGCTCACCTCCCGGACTTTTCACCTTACACACCTGCAAGTGTTTCAGAGGGACTGGAGAGTCATGTTTCCCTGATGAGCGAGGAGACTCACAGAAGAAAAACCTGCCCAACCTTGTCATCCTCTCCAGGCCAGAGCTGCGTTCTCATGACAGTGAGGGACACAAGGGGCTCAAGGGCACTAGAGCGACACTGACTGGGAAGGCTCTTTATGCCTCCTCTGAGCTCCTGCTTCCCCCTTCACCAGGGACTGCTAGGCGAGTGGCACCACCAGGAAACAACTAAGAGCACTGGGTCCCCGTGAAAATGGGAGTTTGGGTTGCAGTATTAATTACAGTTTTCATCAGGATAAAGACATCCAGATGTGAGAGAGAATCAAGTTCTTTCTCTGCCGTGGAACAGATGATTGAGCTAAAAGAAACATTAATTCTGTAAGGGAAGAAAATGAATACACCTGCACTATCTTTTTTCTACTCTCACATTCCCTACATTAAATAAAACCATTAAATTGGTCATACTCACTAATGGAACAAATGGTATATTGTACTCAAGAGCTTTTGATGCAAATTTCTTAATGAGGAAAGAAATATATTTATATGGTATTTACGGATATTGTAAGCCTAGCAAGAAGTATTTACAAATCCATATTTCCAAACCTACCATATAAATGGGCTGAATCCATTCCGTACATTTTATGTACAGAATATTTGTAAGATATTACAGGTGAGAACAATTTTCAGATGTGGCTTGTGTTTCATTACTTTATAGTAATGCCTTATAGAGTTAATGACTGAATCAGAGAATTTTGAGGTTGGATCTCAGTGATTGAGATCATGTACTTAATTTTTTATTTGAAAGAAAAACAAAAAAAAAGACACTACCACCAAAGTCCAGAAATAAACATGCATATGTAATGTATATGTGTGTATGAGTTAAAAGTTAAAATGAAATTATTAGATTGTTTTTTAATATAAAAAATATGCCACAAGTTCAACACTATAATATTTATATTTGTCGACTGACTAGTTAATATCTTTTAACCATGATGAAAAAAATAATATTCAGCAAGAAAAGTAAGAAGGATTGAAATAAAAATTATCCATCTTGAAAGTGGAAACCATGACTTGGCATATGAAAGAAATAACATGTTATTTTTTGCTACTAGTTACACAGTATAATTTTTAGCAGTGTTCTCATCCCAGATGACAGAAATCACCATCACACCCTAAATAACAAACAGCATGGACTGTGGATGAAAAAAAGATACACAGAGAGATGAAGTTTGGGCCAAGTCTGCAGAGAAGAGGTTCAAATATCTTATAAAGTATCAGACCAAAATGAAGTCTTTCAAAATTTGGAGTGGTTTATTTTTGGCAAAGCCCAACTTCCTGTTCACAAGAGTGATGGCTTCAGATTATTTTTTTGAACATCAAACAGGCTTTTTGCAGGGCTTCGTTTTGATGAGTTCTAATGGGCAATCAGAAATACATGGATTAATTCTACCTTCAAATAAACATGGGTTTAGCAATTGCAGAGACAAAAGCTTGGCACAGCATGTTCTGAGTCCCGCCAAACTCTAAACATGGGAGTAGTCAGTTCAGGATATTGGATGAGAATATGTGGTTGAACTTGGCCTCCTTTAGTATTATCTTAATAAGCTTCAGGTCACCCTGTTTTACTCAGCTCCATCCTGGCAGGTGGGGACTGGGGAGACTATGAGCTGACTCTCTCCCCACCCTCTCTGCTTTCAGCAAGCGGCTCATTATACCTGCGTCCCACAGTGACTGGAGGGTGTGGAGACTGCATCTGTGGGCTGGTCTCAAGATCTGTCCCTTCACCTTCCCTGTAGTCTTCTCCCTGGCTGAGCTCCTCTGGACAATAAAGTGCGTTTTTGTTTGTTTGTTTGTTTGTTTTGTTTTGTTTTGTTTTAACTGCTTGTGCTACTTTTCTCATCTGAGTTTCGAGCTTCTTAGTTTATATGCCAGAAAACCAGCTGACAAGAAGACACCAGATAGATGGCTCTTTGTAGAGTGCCATGTTGTGAATCTGTGGGCATCATGTCAGGAGGCTTGCGTTTTCTGACAGCTCTGTGCTGAGCTAAATGCAGAGGTCACATTGTGCCTTTATAGAGTCCTAAAGACATTGCACTAAATTCTAAATTTGAAATGCCTCAACTTTTTGCTGGAATATTGCATAGGTGCGAACTTCAGATCTAGTGCATTTCTATCTTACCATGCAGCACCTCTTTCCTAACTTGTGAGATCAATTCTTCCATCTCCTTTTCCTTGTGTGTTCTTTGTTGTCCTGGTGACTCTCAGCTATCAGCACTTCAAGCACCCACTTGGCAGTGGGACACATGTGGATTTCCTCCCCAGTCTCTCTCTTCTTTCCTGTTACGTTTTTGGATCTCAGGTTTAGAAAGCTGAATGAATCATACTACCCAATTCAGGGTACATTACATTATGATATTTCTTCCTTTTTTTCTCTTCTTCCTTTCCAACCTCCCTCCCATGGCCCTTCCCTCCTCTCTCTCTTCTTTTGCCTTATCCTTCATATCCATTCTCCTTCTGGCATAGTTAACCACTGATGCACATGCTTGAATTTTCCTGTGTCCATAAATACATGCAGTATTTTTGTGTGCATGATTTAAAATTTTACACAGAAGCTATAGTGCTTATTAACATTCTTGTTTTTTATACACAGCTCTATGTTTTAAGATGTATTTTTTGTTACTCTGTGAAAATCTAGTCCTGAGTCTCCAAATGCTGCATACTATTGCATATTCTGTATCTACTGGCTTTCATATATCCTTTCTGCCAAAATGGGCCTGGTGTCCTTCAACATGCTATGCATGCCCTCATATGAATCTGTGTTAGCCGGGATATCTTTCTGTTCGCTTCTTTCATGACATATTCAGCTAACTGGTTAGTTCGGAAGGAAACTAACACATGAACTTGTTCTGAAATATTAATATGGATAAACATAAAAAATGGAAATTTGGAAAGAGCTCACTCTTAAATCATCATTCTCCACTTGCAAATTGTGGAAATTTGGGCAAGTTATGTAAGCTCCCTTGAGCCTCAGCCTCTCTGTCAATCATAGGTAATAAAACCTATCGAACAAAATTGCTGAAAGAAGAAAAGAGATAATGTATGTAGATAATCTGGTACAATTTCTGGAATATGGTAGGCACTCAGTGAGATTGTAGCTATTACACATTAGCTATTGCAGCTAAAAAGAAGAATACATGATAGCTAAAAAATAATAATGATAATAAAAATGTGTCACACCTTCCAAGGGTTTTTCATTTTAACAATGTACAATGCCTTAATCTAGATGAAAAATTGCTAACACTGCAGTGGTATTTCAAATACTTCTCAGGGAAAGCTTTGTGGGGCAGAAGATGTCCTAAAAAAACACACCATATGGGCATTCACCTATGATATCTTTCAAAAGGCACTGCTTTTGACCTCTGCCAAGTTATAATTGCTAACTTTCTTAAGGCTGCTTATAAGAAGGAAATTCATGCTGAGAAAACTCTTGGTGCCGGTATATTAGAGACTATCTATTGACACCTATATGGCAGAGGTTCAGATAACTGAGACTATGCCGTCAGCTATCTACTTTTAGATATATGCCTACAAACCTTCTTAGGTTTTTTTCACTTCACACGACAGTACAGAATGGTGGATAAGGGTGTAGTTTCTGGAATAAGACTCAAATCCCAGCTCAACCACTTTCTACCTGTGTGACCTTCAGCATGTTACTTAACATCCCTCAGCTTGTTTACCTATAAAATGGGAACAATAATACTGCCTATTTCAGTGGGTTGCTGTGGCCATTTAATATGGTAATAAACAAGTGCCCAATACGTGTTAGCTATTGTCGCCATCTGACTGAGGAGTTGACTGTGATTTGTCAAAAATTGTGTCTCAGGCTATTAAAACTAGACAGCACTGTTAACTGTCTAATGGTGTGATATTTCCAAAGAGGGCTGGATGAGAAAAGGGTTAGTGTTCTTAAAGGCCACATTAGGTAAGAGACAGATATGGGAATGCTGTTATTCTCAGCACTCAGGGCTATGGATTTATAGTCTTCAGGAAGAAACCACATTAACTAGGTTGTGCATTGTCAGCGAAAGTACTGATAAAGTACTGAAAGTTGACAAGGAGGACAGTATGAATTTCTCTTAAAGGCTGATCTACATGAGAAAAGTAAACACTTGCTGCTGTAGTGGGTACTCGGTGAAAAAATAAAAAGAAAAAAGAAAAGTAGACACTTGAGATATGTTTAGCTAAGCATTTCCCAAAGTAAGTTCAATTGAACACTGGTCCTTTCAGAAGCACCTTGAAAAAAGGGTTCTGTGGCCCAATCTATTTGGGAAATGCTGATTTCCATTTTGACACCTTAGGAATTCATAATGTATCTTAGCTTATTAAAGGCTTTGATTAGGCCTGCTGTAAGGAAACTTATTTAACTTTAACCCAGTATTTCCCAAAGTTATCTGACTACAGATCCCAGGGAAATTTTCCACGCAACACATTGTGGAACATAGTGGTATATAATAGCTAAAGGAAAAACCATTACTTTGATTGTGCAAACCCAGACATGGTGGGAGAAGGCTGGAATACTTTGAAATCTTTCAGATTGTTACCTGAATGTTTAAAAATTGAGGAAGAAATCTGAAAAATTGTTTGGTAGAGTAGTCCTGCTTTGTTCGACCAGAAAGCCACACCTTAAGCTGCTTTTCCTCAACTGAGATTACAGAGAAATGGAAATTTCTGCAGGTAACCTCCAAATAATTGTACTTCTGTACTTTCAGAGTCATCCACTTAAATAAGCATTCTGTGTCCACTCTGCTTCCTCAGCTTTTGAAGTAATTTGGAGCAAGGGGTTACATATTCAGACCTTTATAGCTTTGACCAGAAAGCTAGTGGGTAGAAATCTACTGGGATTACAAACCGAAGACCATAATAGGAAAGACAAAGTGCCAGCTGCCTCAGTTACTCGGAAGAAAGGGCCCTAACTCCCGTTGCCATTATAGCAGATGGAACTCATTCCTAGATGGGAGACTTTGGGGACCCCACAGGTGAGGGACCATTGCTCTATAATACAGCAGAAATGCTCAGATTTTCCTCTTTCCAGATTGCAATCAGTGCCAGAGTCGTTGGGAGAGGAAGCAGCAATGAAAACCAAGTCAAACAAATTCTGAGCCTCAGAATATCTGAA
This sequence comes from Homo sapiens, assembly GCF_000001405.40. Taxonomy (NCBI): domain Eukaryota; kingdom Metazoa; phylum Chordata; class Mammalia; order Primates; family Hominidae; genus Homo; species Homo sapiens. The sequence goes on from NC_000005.10 coordinate 82,660,381, forward strand.
TAAGGCACTCTGCTGTTAGACCTGTTCTGCAGATTAACAACTGAGTGCAACATTGGTAGGGAACAGACCTAGGCCTTCCCCTTCACTCTGTTCAGAGCTGGAGATGATGGATGGGAGAGGGGAAACAAAAGGTCATTCACGGTGGAGGAGCAGCATTTCATAGATGCTCATAGCTTTTCCAAGCTATGACTGTAACAAGGGCGAAGGGGTCTGGGTTCTCCAGATGTTCTTGTACTTAGATCAATAGGGATGGTTGCATGGGGGAGAGTGATCTGGCATCAAGAGCGCTGTGAGAAGGGGCAGCAAATACCCTTGAGACTTTCCCACCACTGAGCCAGGGAATTAAACTGATCTCACTGTGGGGATAAACCATAGATTTAATGACTGTCAGAGTTCCTTCCTGGCAACCCAAGAAAAATCCACTAAATTCTTGCTAAACTACTGTTCACTTGTTCACTTTCTGTCTTCTATCCTACTTATATGGGTGACTCTACCTTCCCCACTAACTGTATGTGCCTTAAGGGCAAAAGCTATACCTGATTTCCTTGGGTAATGCCTGCAGCTCTGAGCCCAGTGCCTTTCAAATAGCAAGTACTCTAGCCAGTGCCTACCGAGTAAGAGTCAGTAGCACAGATCTTTCTGATCCTTAACTGATCCTAAGTGAGTCAGTACAGCCACTGAAAGGATCATGCTCACAGTAATGGAGCGTTGGGCCTTCATGGGGCTAGAGAAAGGTGTGGCACTGAGTGGGGTGTGACAGATGGATTCCCATGTGGCAGGAATGGAATGGCAGTCGTGCAAGGTGGACGGTGGGAGACAAGCTGTAGAAGGAAGTGCTGCAGATCCTGCAACCAAGCCTGGTTGTGAAATCATTAACCTTGGTTTTACTGTGGGTTAGGCTCTAATTCTAGAGTTTGATGGGAACGAAGTGGACTCTGAAGTCAGACCTGGGTTTGGATCCCTGCTCCATTGCATATGAACCATGTTCAAGGCACTGCAGTAGAGATACCGGGGCTCAGACACGGTTCTTGTCCCCGAGGATCTCAGAGCTGAGAAGAGCGAAGCAGACACATAAACAATAGCCAATAGTGGCACATAAAGAGGAGAGGTCAGTTCTGCTAATAGTGTATGAGGAAGAACAGGCTTCATTAAACTCAGCTTTTGCTGAAATAGACAAGTTAGTGGGTAGCTTAAATAATTTCGGGGTGAAAGGGCATTGTAAACAGAAGGAACATCATGGACCAAGGCAAGGAAGTAAATTACGTCAATGAGTGGGGAAGGCAAGTAGTTGAGAGGGCATAGGCATGAATAGGGGTGGTTGCAAAAGGCTGGAAAAGTCAACAGAGGCAGGGGTGGTTGCAAAAGGTTCTTGGAGGTCCTGGCATGTCTCCCTAAGGAAAGATTGGGAAGTCACTTTTCAGCTGGATTTGAAAAGTGCATTTGAAAATGACCACTCAGCCACAAAGGAAAAATATAAAAGGCCAAGACTGCAAGACTAGAGACAGGAAGATCGGTTAGAAAAATCTGACAATAACTGATATAAAAGACAACAAGGGCCTGAAAGAAGCAAGAGAGAGAGAGAGAGAGAGAGAGAGAGAGAGAGCTGACACAGAAAAGTTAAGAAGACAAGAATATTAGAATTTAATTATCTATTGGTGTCTTGGCATGAGCATCTCTCTGATCAAATGTCATCTCTTCTAGAACATCCTTGACCACCCTTTCTAAAATAGTGACCTCGACCTCTGCTGAGTCACTGTCCTTATCTTGCTGTGTTTTCTTCATAGCTCTATTCACTCTCTGAGAGAACATTTTTGTCTTCACTTGTTTATTGCCTATAAGGTCAAGGACTTGGCCTGATTCTTCATCTCTGTCTCCCTAGCACTGAGAATAGTACCTGGTAAGAATTAGACACCTAATAAATATTTGTTGAAAGAGGAAATAAATGATACTGTTGTCCTTATTGAGACTCCTACTAGCAGAGGAGGAGTACGTTTTTAGGAGGAAATAAAACAGGTTTAGTGTTTTCCATAGTGCTTTTGAAGGGAGTCATTAGACACAAATATTTGTGGGAGTAATAGGAATGAGACCTCCCATGTTAGCTGTGGGTCTGGAAGAGGGCCAAGTACATCATAATAACAATAGCAGCAACAACAACAGCAGCAACAACTCTGTTTATTGAGGGCTTACTATGTGCCAGGAATGATTCTAAGCACATTCCACATGCAAATTCATTTCATCAGCACAAGAGCCCTTGGAGGTAGGTATTATTATTCTTCCCATTGACAAGGTAGAAAATCCAAGGCTTGAGTGATTGAAGATACTCATCCAAGTTTGCAGAGCTAGAAAGTGATGGAATGTGAATCCTTGCTATTCCCTTAGAAAAACTATCATTTAGGAGTTGGACAGTGGAAGGGGGAAAGGGTAAAGAACAGTGGAAGGAGGAGGCCAGGGGCATCAGTAGGCAGGAGAGTTTTAAGAAGGAAAAGTTGACACTATCAAATGCTGCAAGGTGAGAAAAAAGAATAATTTCTTAATTTGGAAGTTTTATTTACTTTCTTTAACGGCTCTTTTGGTGGTATCATTATCTGGACAAGGCAGTGGCAGTGGTTTGCAGAATAGCTGAGGGCAAGTTGGTCTATTAGACTATTCTTTTGAAGAGCTTGGCTGTCAAGGGTGGGAGAGAGATGGGGAAGTAACTAGAAGTAGGTATAGAGTATGGGAAGCATCTTCAGAAATATATAGAGTAATGGAGAATACGAGTGTGTGATGCAGGGGGGAAAACTGTAGAGATGGAAAGAATGAAATTACAGGAGAGAGAGAGAAAAGCCCTAGTTCTGAAAATGATGGAAAGAGATGGGACAAAGAACCTGAGTAGCAGATAGATGATAGCCAGTGGGCTTGGAAAATGTGGTTACGATTTGGAATAGATACTCCATGAAATAGCAGAGAAAGATGACCAGGACCATGTATGCAGAAGAACTACAGGCTTCTGTGCTTTTAAATAAATTTCTCATGAACTCCATCTGAACCCGTGTGTGTTTGTGTGTTAATACATAATACTTCATACTATGTATGTAGAAACTAAAAGGCCAATAATGAAATTAAGCCAAAATAAAGAACAGGGTGGCAGAGGACGTGAGAATTATTATTGAAGTGATATTGTGGGGTGTCTGAGGGTAGAAAAGGAAATGAAGGCAGGGTTAAGGACTATGAGAAGGCAGAGGAGGGGTTTTGAAGGTCTTCGCCTGAAGTGCAGTTACATTGGAATGGAAGAGGTGAGGCCGTGGGGGCTCAGGGTGTGCTCAGAAATTTCTAGATAGAGCAACCCTGGGTGATCTTGGGGCCTGTGATGTGTCCATGGGAGCCGGTGGCTGTGGTGGAGTAAAGGTGAGCATTGTTGGCTTGAGGAAGAGAGAAAGTATGCAGGTGGGTGGATGGATTTGCCATTCACGTATTTTGGAACCTGTCCAGGACGATAGTAGGCCTTGGAGCGGAGAGGAGAACTGTGACCTGGGGGCTGTGTTTTCTGTGAATGGGGTCTCTGGGAGATGTGGGGCCTGATAGGTGCGTAGATGACAGCAGCAAGGTGAGCGGAGTGGCTGGACGGCACTGACTGCACGGATGAGTGGTCATTCTGTGAAGGTGAAAGTGAATGGTCTGGAGGTGATAAGTAGAGAACTGGGCAAATGCTGTAAGCTATTTCCCCATTCTAGCTCTTGCTTCAAATCAAATTTGACGTCTTTCAATTCTGTCAGTTTAGGATACTCTGAATATATCCATGAGGACCAGGCTTATGCGGATAGAGTGTAAGTGCTCTGCCCCTTACCTCCACCTCCCTATATAACAAATACAAGTTTTCCAATGCAAGTGTCTCCAAAGACAGCTCCTATTTTAAGCTTTTGTTGACTAGGAACTAAATTCTGATCAACTTGGCCGCTTGGCTAGAGAACAAGGACCTGAGAGATGAGAAGAATGATGAACAAGATTTTCCAAGAAGGCACCAACAAGAAAAAGTCAGGCACAGAGTGCATTTTCTGGCCTCTCCAGTGATACAATCTATAAATATGAATTCTGACCCTGTAGCGTGCTGACATGGAGCTCTGGGCTACTGAAGGGCTGCATAAGTGCCCAGGGAAAATTCGAGGCACTTGAAAAGTGGGTGACAAGAGGTGAAGCCTCAACCATTCACAATATTGACTAAGCCTGTGTGGAAGCTTAGGGCTTCCTAGTTGCAGTACGTATGGAAGACAGTTTCCTTATAAATACAATGTTTATCTCACATCTACCCTTTCTTACATCTATATCTAACTTGTAAAGACAGGACTAAATATTGTCTGCACAGACGAGGTAGCAGCTGTGGGGATGGAGTTGGCAGAGTTTTTAAGTTCCTATTCTTTTGTGTGTTTCATTTGATAAAGAGATATGAGGTTCCAGGCCAGCCTCAGCTCTCCACCCACTGCTTGCTGCGTGCTGAGATCTCTGACCCTGTGTCCTGGGGCCTCTGTTCAGACACCTCTACAGTGCCATTCTCAGTGAGCTCAGGGTTGTAGTGTGGCAGTGTAGCCCTCTATCGGGGCTCCAGGAACAAACTGCTCTCCTCCATTGGTAAGCCTCTCTAGTCCTCACTCTTTGTGGGTAGAATCAAACACAAGATCAGTGTTTGCACAGGTGCTGTGGTGAGATGCGGGTCCATTGTTAAAAAACACACAAAGATATTCAAGCACTGGGGCTCAAGAAAAATAGTCCAGCCAGAGACAGGCTAGAAAACTTCTCTCTAAATGTTCCATTATCATCCCTGTTATTTTTAATGGGTTACCCCAAAACAGGAGTAGGCAAACTGAGAGGTGGCAAAGCAAAAATATAACTTCAGAGTGCCTGATTTTATTGGGTGACAAATACACTGGGTAGCGAAAAGTGTCTTGGATGATTTGAACACTGAGCAGATACCATGAATATTTTGGTCGCAGGGCTTTTTCCTAGATGAGTAAACAGCTGCTTCTTGGGGGTAGAACTATGAGTAGCTAATACTCAAGCACTTCCTTGCCCTTTCACCTCTTGGAGATTCACCTGTTGATTTTGATTAGGGTCTCTCTCCCCGTCTCAGCTTATAAAAGCTTCACATTTTAAAGAATGCTCTAACAGGTGGGTTCACATTCTCACAGATTTCTCCATTACTGACAAAACAGGTCAAATTTCAAGTTTCTAGCCAGAGGAAGCAATCGTTACTTCCATTACTATGGGAGATGTGGGAAAGGGAAGTGAGAAGCAAATTAGAGTAGGTGGGCTTTCAGGTTCCTTCTAGTCCTGCTAGAATTCGCTTGATGTTTGTCCATTCGGAAGGCTCATAGATGCATTTTGTCACAATGGAGACATTTTTCTCTTTCATATTATGTGGAACATTAAAAAAAATAATAGTCTGGCAATGCTTTGGGGAGTTACGCTTTTCCTAGTGTGTGGTTCTTGGCTGAAGGTATATGATGGTTGGGAAAAAATCAACAAAGGACTGCTCTGTATAATATTATGTCTCTGGTAGAAAGTGGTTTGGAGGGTTTTATGAAGCAAAGATTCTAAAGGTAAAATCTTTAACAAGTCACAACTCTGAAAGGCTGATCAAACCTTACATAAATAAACTAAAAATCTCCAAAAGAAGCAAGTCACCAAGTGTTCACATTTGATTTGAATATTTCATTTAAATATTTTCCAAGTTTGATACTTCTACCCTTTCTTTTATAAGGAATCAAATAAACAAATATGTTGGAAATGCATGCATCTTATTTATGTGATAGCTTCATGTTTGTTAGAATTTTATTATTCCCCTTCTAAAATTATTTGTTGCTCTTTAGTTTTCCCAAGGAGACTTAAGGCTAGACTCTGAAGCAGAGTTTGCTGAACAACACTTCCTCTACACTAAACTTCTATGATTTTTATATTTAATGGTCTTCATTTCACCTATATCTTGGGTTTCTTTCCTCTTACACTATATCAGAAATGTTCAGGGTAGTCCATAAAGCCCATTACTAGTCTGTGACACAAAATGATTATCAGGCACATATGGTTTTACATAACCCTGATGGTTTAAAGAAGGACTGAGGAAGAAATAACAGATTCAAGGGGTGTAGCATGACCTTAGCCTAAGGTGGCGGATGTGGTAAGGAGGGTATAACACTTGATTCTGAGGCTAAATTGGTAAAGTGCAAGACAAATTTGGCTTCCTGAAGTGTTATCTCCGCAAAGAAAGGGGTTTATTGGGAAAAATTTGGGAGTCATCCTTGACTCCTTCCACTTGCTGTTATCCCCCAATATCCAATTATCTCCAAATTCTTTTGTTTCATCTAAAATATCTCTTGAGCCCATCCTGCTCAATCCACCTGTGTAGCCACTGATCTAGCTCAGGTTGTCATTCAAAGCTGCATTGCTTCTAAGCTCACTTGGCTGCCTTGGTTTCTCTCCCTTTCTACCTTCTCCTGTCACAATGAAATCTCAGTTTTATCAGGTACAGGTAACATCCCTGATGAGATATGTCACTTTCCTCCCAGTGCCTACTGACTAAAGGTAAAAAAATCTTTATATGTCCCACTAGGTCCTATGCGATGTGCTCCTCGCCAACCTACAGCTTCATCCCTCATTATCCTCCCCTCTTACATCCATTTCCAGCCCTATCTCTCAATTCACATTTCAAGTCACAGCAACACAAAACTGGCTGTGGTTTCTGCCCAGTAATCAGGCCACTTCCATCTCTGGGTGTCTGCTAATGCTGGGATTTCTGTTTTCTTGCCCTTTTCTGTAAGTTTCTAGGCTCACTTCTTCCCCCTTTGCCTCCCTAACTCATTTCTCATTACTGGACGCTCCACCATGGGGGCTGCTTCACTAGGAAGGCTTCTGTAAGCTCCTCCCTGCCCATTGTCCCAGGCCAGACCAAACACCTGTGCCTTATGCCCCCAGTGCTGTCTGTGAATCTCTCACCAACATGTTCTCCTTCTTTATATCCCTAGTACTGTACCTGGCACAGAGTAGGTATTTAAAATGATTTGTGGGTGGGCGCAGTGGCTCATGCTTGTAATCCCAGCACTTTGGGAGGCCGAGGCAGGCAGATCACTTGAGGTAAAGAGGTCGAGGCCAGCCTGGCCAACATGGTGAAACCCCGTCTCTACTAAATATCCAAAAATTAGCCAGGCATGGTGGTGCAAACCTATAATCCCAGGTACTTAGGAAGCTAAGGCAGGAGAATTGCTTGAACCTGGGAAGTGGAGGTTGCAGTGAGCTGAGATTGCGCCATTGCACTCCAGCCTGGGCCACAAGAACAAAACTCTGTCAAAAAAAAAAAAAAAAAAAAAAAGATTTGTTTGTTACATAAGTGGAAGAAAGTATACATAATGAGAAATTGGTGAATACTTTTGATGCTGCCAAACAGTGGTTTAGGCAGGGTTTGTCTCCATTTAGCCCATTTTGACCCTGCCCCTTTTTTAAAGGAAATAAAATGTTATTTGAAGGTCTGGGTACCCTTCCCTGATCCCTCTCTTTCCAAAGGTAAGAGATATTCTAAATTTTGTTTATCACGTATATAAGAGATAGCTGTAAATAATGTATTTTCTTGCATATCTTCAGACTTCACATAAATGGTATCACACTTAAATGCCATTCTCTGTTCTCTTCAATCAGTATTATGTTGTGAAGATTTTTAAATATTAATACATAAGACTCCAGTTCATTCATTTTAATGCTATGTCATATTGCATTGTATAATATACCACATTCTTATATTGATTAGAGTATTGCAAACACTGCTGCTATGAACATTCTTCTCCATGTGTCTAGGGTAAATATTCAGAGGAAGAATTGCTAGGTTGAAACGTATAGTATCAACTATACTAGATATTGTTAAATTTCCTTCTCAGTTGTGCCAATGTATGCTTCCACCAGCAGCTTATGAGAATATCTACGGCTCCAAATTCTTTAAAATAATTTTAATAAAATAATTTACACTTGAAATAATTTAAAATAATTTTAATTTGATGAATTTGAAATGCGTTTCATTTTCTTTGGTTTAATTTAAATAACCCTGACTACTGATATTAAGCATCTTATGTTTATTGGTCATTCAGATTTTGTTTTCTATGAATAGATTTATATAATAAATAATAAAAAGTAAAAAATCCAATAGGTTGAATACTTGGTCAAAACTGGGGTATTGTTGAAAGGGAGAAAGGATAGAAAGTGTTTAGTAACCCACAAAGTCTGCTACCGCCATTAGAGCATATCAATTACCAAAGACCTCTTGTGGTGGTGGCCCCTGTGAATCTCTCATGTTTTCCTGGTTTCCCTGCTTTAGAAATAAGGAGGAAGAAGAGCTGAAGATACATTCATATTTCATATTTCTATGAATCAAAGTGTCTCTAGTTAGAAAATAACTAAGCCTAATAAGGGAGAGAAGATACTTGGATAACAAAACCAAAAAATAACAAGACTGATATTTCCTTCATGTACAATGCAATCAAAGAAACAAATAGATGCAAATACAAGTACATATTTTGGCATGAACCCATATAGCTCCAGGCACAGCGATTAGTTTTTTTCCCTTCCAATCTGCTTCTATCTTCCCTCTACTTCCAGCCCTACCCTTCAATCTCAGTCTTGTTTCTTGGCTATGCAATAGGGAACAGAAATCCTTCAGGGTCCATGTAAGGTCAGCAAATGTCTAAATCAACACCACCTGGTAAAAATGCAGGGTGAGCCACAGAAGTGATCTTAAATTTTTGAAAAGGCACATTTTTAAAAAGTAAAAAGAAAACAGTAAAATTAATGTTAGTAATATATTTTATCCAAAATATAATCATTTCAACATGTAATTAATATTGTTATTGAAATATTTTCCATAGTTTTTTTATACAAAGTCTTCAAAATCAATGTGTATTTTGCACTTATGGTTCATCTCAACTCATACTAGCCAAGTGCTTAATACCCAAGTGACAACTACCCGCCTTATTGGACAGCTTGGGACTAAATAATTTGTAGCTCATTGCGAAGTAATCCAACATAATTATCCATTCTTTACTTCTATTGTCTCACTTTCTCATAATCTACTGAAATTCTGTGTTCTGCATTCTGAGTACCTTTTCAAATCAAGACAAGGGCCCAGGGTTATCCCCCAAGAAAACTGTGGAACAGTATTTCTTCTCTTCAACAAAATGACCCCTATATTCATTGCCCATCAGTCATTAATTTAGCAGTTCAAAGACTCCTAAAACAGAATGTGGGGTCATCACTCTAATTTTAGTTGCCCTCAGAACAACTGCATTCTAGTGTGCATGAATGTTATTCATTCAGTGAGAGACTTAAAAATGATTTATTTACAAAAGATATTCATGGCTCCTTGTAAAAAAAAAAAACTCTAGAATGTAGAACTATAAAGGATCATAATTTTTATCTAATCCAACTCTGAGGGAGACACAGCCAACAAGCAGATACACATCTAGAACTTATGTTCCTGAACTCCTGTACCAGTGTTTATTCTGTTACTCAATATGAATAATAATGATCTATAATCAGGACTCTGAGGCCCAGTAAACAGTGTCCCTCTTACCTCTCTAATTGCCCTCAGGGCTATGCAGCTTGATTTCTTCTTGGCAAACATGATTGGGAAATGTGAATGTCACATAGGTTAGATTATTAGGCACCCTACGTCAAATGCAATATTTCTTTCAGTATAGCTGAGTTAAATCTATAGCCAATCTTTAACCAAAATGAAGACTAAAAATTGTTCCTTTTCTAGGGATAAAGATGCTCTTTCCTCATGCATTCCACTACATTCTCTTCCTCCCATTTAGCTTCCAGTGAAGGGTATACATAAAGAATGGGATTTCCTTTTTGTGAGACTTAGCTGATAGACTCATCCCATGAGCCACACTGAACGACCTTGTCAGAGAATGAGAAGCATTCAGCTACTTCTATTCAATTTTTGCTTTTATTTCAAGTTTTTTTTTTTCTTCTGTTTGGAAAGCACCAGACTCCTTATTTGTTCCACTTTCAAGTAATGTGTGAAAAATGCCATCATTACTGGCAATGGCTTCCCTGGGGCTTTTTTTTTTTATCCTGGTTCAGCAGCTGCAGGGTAACTAATCTGAAAATTACTTCCATGTTAAGTTCTCTCTTTTATGTTAAATAATAAAATAATAAACAATCAAGCATGCCTAGGAACTATTTACTTATTTTAGAACAAGCTTAGTGGACACAGCATCTTTAAAAGATGTGGGTTATGTTCAGTCTATGCTTGACTTATTCTAAATCACTAAGTGGGGAGAGCACAGTTACAGAATTCAAACCTGAGCTGTGATCTATCTATGTATCTATGTATCCATCTATCCATCCATCCATCATCTATCTCACATACTTACGCACACATGAAATTTAATTATGCAGTCTGAAAGGCACAAAAATCTCTTTATGAAAATAACTTGGGCAATTATTAAAGAGGTTTCTGTAGTGTGCCAGTTAAAACAAATAGAAAGGAGGCTTGGAGCATTAAACCATAAAACAGTCATCGGCACTGTCCTCTAGGCCAGATGTTTTTCAAAGATGGCTATGAAGATTTCTCCCAAAGAAAATTATCTGATGATTGACTATTTAGCCACTTCAATAAGTGGAAACATATTTCTTTGCAGGCACAATTTTCTTTGGAGTGGCACGCTTAAGATCCTAGAATGTTATAATTTTCCCATTGCAGATGGTAAGCTGAGGGACACAGCAGTTTTGTGACTTGAGAAAGGTCACTGTGTGAGAGAGTGGCAGAGCTGGGACTGAAACTCAAACCTGTTTATAACATTTCCTCAAAACCAGAGGGTCTGTAGTTTGCTTCAGTTTGTTTAATTCACTCATCAGAGATATTTTATGATGAGTGACAAGAGAAAATATACCAGATTCTTCTCATTGGAAAAGCATCTAAGTTTATACTAGGCATTATTCCTATCCACAGTCTTTGTTGAATGAAACAGAAAAACCATTTAGAATTCATGTTATTAATTCTGTCTTTATGCTTTCCCACTCTAGAAGACAGGTAAGCCACTGAAGCCACTGATGAGAAATCAGTTTTGTTCCAATCCAGCCAATTTAACCTGGGGGTAAACTAGATCGGGAGAATTATAACATGGCAGTATTTCCTGGCTCAGCTGTCATCTAAAAAACTGTGGAGACTTGATCTTCTTAAATTTCTCAAGTATTTCAAGAAATCCATATGTGGTCATGTAAACAGTCCTCCTGGCCACTAGCTGAACTCTTCAATTTTCTCACATATGTACTTGGGAATGCTGGCCTCTTATTACCTTATTGTACCACTGTTTTCTCAATTTTTGTCTTTGGCCATATATCTGTTATAGTGATGTTGAATCTTCCTCACCCCATCGGATTCTCCATGATGCAGTATGTCCTCTGTCCTCTGGGACTTCCAAACAACTCCAGATATAGACTAGTCAGAGTAGTCTGGCTGTTATGACCTCTCCTGCTTTGCATCTTACGTTAGATTCATCTCCCAGTTCAAGATCCTGCTGAAGTAAAGGAAAATTTTCTACCCTTGGCCATGGTACACCATTACATGGGCCCCAAAGCTGATGCTTTCAATATCACATAGCGGTTTTAGGAAAAATTGCATATTTGCTTCTGCTCTTGCCCTTTCTTCTTCAGAGGCTTCATTATGCAGGACTCTGGCACAAACCTAAAGTGAAAGAAAGAGAAGTAGAGAACAACATACACCCAGCTGTGCTCACAAAAGTCATCCCCTCTCACACCCCTGCCCTTGAACCGTACTTGTGTGAATCACATTTTTCTTTCCTTAGGACGTGTTATTTTTCATGAAATTCTTCATTTCCTCATGCAAACATTGTCTTTGAGGCCCTACCCACCTTGCTCAGACAGGTGTGGATTTGTATGGTACATAACTCAAGTTCCTAAGTTGAGTACATTTCCTTCTACAACAATGAAAGAATGCATTTAACTTAAAGATGTTTCTGATTTCTACCAGAGTTCAAGACACAGAGAGGCTTTTTGTCAAGTAATTAATTTATTTTGATTCATAGTTATTCATAAAACTTGAAGTCAATATGGTATCATTTGTAGTACAAATGACGGAAAACTTTAGACACTGATGTGCTAATAAATGATCAGCAACCACCACTCTGGAGGGCAAAAACCTTGATTTATAGCAATTATTGACTTCTGCTCCATAAATGCCAGTGTTGATTTCTTGCCATCAACGTAACATCAGTGAAAGTCGAATTGGGAAGAGATGATCAGTAGAACACCACTATAGAGTATTTCCACCACATAGATATAATAGTTGTAAATAACCTTCAGGGCGTAGATACTAGTAAAATATAGTAAAATAATTAGGAAGTAATGAAATTTGAGTATTTGTTACTTTTGCTTTGAATATATTTAATTGTAAATTTTTGGAAGGTAATTTTTAATAATGGCTGTGTTGAACAAGCACTCACCAATTCCTAAAAATTTGACAATCGGCTCTCACAAGCCAGCACATACCGGCTCCGGCACTCCACTGGGCATAATATAATGAGGCAAGTCTAACGCTTATCTTCCACAACTGTGTAAGCTTGCATTGCAGCTTGTTGGGGTGCACACATAAAATGAAAATGCTTATTATAATGCCTGGCACATCAGTGCTCAATAAATTCTGGGTAAATCCAGAAGGATAGTCTGGATGTTAGAAGTGGCAGGAAATAATTGGTAAAATGTATGAGTACTTGGTTCTCTGAAGCACATCAGAGCTCTCACTTTAATAGTTCTGAGACTGTGTGTATAGTTTTTGTTTCATTCAGGGTGGATCAAATCCTGCAGTTAGACAGGGAAAGGGAGGAGAGAGAGACCAGATGACATCATTTCACTTATGTGTCTCAAATGGTCCTCATTAAGTTGACTGCACAGACTATAAAGAGGGATTTTAAAAGCCTGGAAAGTTGAAGGCAGACAATCTCTTGCTCAGAGGATGAAATGGGGTAAACCATAACATATGTACCAAATAATATAGTCTTTGTTTCATGTAATAATTTATTTTCCTCCCTCTCCTTCCTCTACGTGGAAGAGACCTAACTCAAGGTCAATTCTCAGTACCCCTGAAAGGCTGAAGAAAGAGCTGGACTGATTTGATGGCTTCCTTGGCAGGCATACGGCTGGGGCCCACTGAACAGTGGCAGCCTCCCCAGTTAAATTACGATGACTGCTTTGACGAGACGAGGTTTCATGCTTTATGAGGTTGATAGTAGTCAACGTTTAAACCATTAAATTTGCATCTGGGAAAGCCCTGGTCAGGAAGAGGTAAAAAGGTCAAATTTTCATAATGGTTCTTAGAGCCAAAATGGTATACTTCCTGAGGGGCTGGCTGGAAAACATTCAGCTTTTTGTTGTAATAGAGGTCCTGCCTAATTGAAAATAAGTGAGATAAAAAGATCTTTTAACAAGATTACTTAAATTCATTGACAGATATTTTCCTACTAATCATTAGGACTAGTGGCTGAATACAGTGTGCTTCTGTGAACAGAATGAATCTTCACATTTAAACTTTTCATTTCCCTCGAGTTTTGCCAATATTGTCAAACTAAGCAGATAATTCCAAATCGGAATGAAAGTGTAGTACAAAACCAAGAAAGACAATTTTTCAAACTTGTTTAGACACAACTCCAGAATTTAATTGTGTTTTCATAATTTTATTGAGTCAATGACATCTTATATAAAGATGATAAGCTTGCTGTCCCAAGAGTTCTTAATTCAATTTCTCCCAAGTACAGTCAGTTCTGCTATAATGTGACATGTGTGTGCCTAAAAACCATCATGCTATGCAAAATCATGCAGTGGACACCAAAGCATGAGCCATAAAAGGAAAAATTAATAAACTGGACCTCATCAAAATGAAAAACTTTTCATTTGTGGAAGACCCTGTTAAGAACATGAAAAGACAAGCTGGGAAAAAAATTTTGCAAACCACATATCTGACAAGGGATTAGTATCTAGAATATACAAAGAATTCTGAAAACTTAACAGTAAAACAGCAAACAATCCAATTTCAACTTCCATAAGGCCTGGCAACTTCACTCCTGGGCATTTATCTAGAGAAATCAAGACTTATGTTCACACAGAAACTTGAACATGGATATTTATAGCAGCCTTATTTGCCATAGTCCAAAACTGTGAATAACTCAGGTATCCCCCAACCCTGAATGGTTATTTGTGTACCACAAACTATGGCACATCCATACGACAGACTATTACTCAGCAATAAAAAGGAAACAAACCATTGATAATGCAGCAACTCTAATGAATCTCCAGATAATTACACTGAATGAATAAAGCCAATACCCAAAATATTACATACTATAGATTTCATTTATATAACGTTACTGAAATGACAAGACTATAGAAGTGGAGAACAGATTAGTAATTGCCAGGGTTTAAAGACAGGGAAGGGAATCAAGAGGGAAGTGAGAGTGGCTATAAAATAGCAACAGAAGGAATCTGTGTGGTAATGAAATTGCTCTATATCTTGACTGTCTCCATGCCAATAGACTGGTTGTAGTATCATCAGGGAACTAACTGGGTAGAGGATACACTGGATCTGTCTGTATTATTTCTTACTACTGCATGAGAATCTATTATTTCAAAATTAAAAAGTTTTATTCAGAAATTATAGGGACTATATGAAAAATGGGTTTGGGGTACAGTATTCAAAAACTTTGTCAATAACATTAAAAAATAATAGGAACCTTATAAAACTGGTGGCATAGGTTTACACACATTAAATGATTAAGAAACACAGAAACACTTCACTAAATACGGCCCTTTGCTTTGGAAAGACCTGTAGTTTGCTTGTGGAAGTGGGCATTAAGAAGGTTGCAGCCTGTGAGTTACTATGAGGTGGTGAGGGAAGGGTTATCTGAAATAGGATGGAAAGTTTTATCACCACATGAGGATTGATGGAGCTCGTAATACCCACAGTGAACTGAAGTTAGCTGGTAGATGTTTGAGAACTGAGGTGTGTGCGTGTGCATGTTTTGTGTATTCTTACTCATCTTGTTGTTGATCTAGGTGCAGCTTTCTGTGCTCACCTACTTCTTCTTGCGGA
Source organism: Homo sapiens (assembly GCF_000001405.40). Taxonomy (NCBI): domain Eukaryota; kingdom Metazoa; phylum Chordata; class Mammalia; order Primates; family Hominidae; genus Homo; species Homo sapiens. The sequence continues at coordinate 82,675,502 of NC_000005.10, forward strand.
AAAAATCACATATATACAAACGCAAAATCCATATTATGCTAAAATTATTTCCTAATATATTAGTTGCTTTAAAACAAATTTGCATCTTTCAAAACAGATATTAAAACACAACTAATTGCATACTCGGTATACTCAAACAACATACTGCCCAGATAATTGCTGGAATAGAAAGAAAATTCCACTTCTAATAATAGGTAATGCCATGGAAGATTTCAGAGACTTTTGACCATAATGATCCTAAACAAACTACTCTTTACACCTGGAAAGCTTGTTAAAAATTTGGCAAGATTTGTTCGCCTTTGTGTTCCTGTTGGAAACAAAATTGATTAAATTTAAAAATAAACTTAGTAACTCTTCTAGACTTTGACTTAAAGACAGTTATTATAGCCAGATATAATCTAAAAGAAAGTCAAAAAACATAAATTTGCCACAATTTTAGAAAAGAGAGAGGGCACAAAATATTTATGCTTTTCTTCCATTTTGTTGGTTTTCTTACCTATATTCTAGTCTAAGAAATAAGAGAGAAAAATGTGTATGTGTTAGAAAACAATAAATACACTTACATTGTTTTTTAAAAGAAACTGAGAATGTATTATACATATTTGTTATTAGAAGTATTATACCTATTAGGGTAGATGGAAAGATAAATAGACTGAGTTATTAGAATACGTTACTTATGGAATAGGAAACTGAGTCTGTGGTTGATTTGCTCATTTGGGTAGAAACATAGTGCTAATAAAATAAAAGTTATAGGTTTGATTCCTATGGCCTAGTGAACTATTTTTATTTCTGTTGATACAGATGGCTCACCTAGACCTGCCATCTTGCTGTATGATCCATTGGTCACAAAGAAATTTATGAAATTATACATTAGTTCAAATCTGTTACTACGTGGAAACTCTATTGATATAGATCAATATTGTAAAGGAATTCAACTTAGAAATCCAGACAACGAGGCAGCTCATTAGACATTTCTATAATCACAAATTATTTTTGTATAACTGGCCCCAGAGCTCAGACATTGAAATATGATGTGATGATACACATATTATGGGGAAAATGGCACTATGGGATTTTCCTGTTTTTAATTTAAAGTTACTAACTCCCATACATAGTGGGAGGAAAACTGGTTGTGGAGAAAAATTCTGAGCCTAATGCTGAAATTATTTCAAAAGGTGCAGTATTTTCTAGAAGTGAGAAGATGACAGCAACAATGTCAAAAAAAAGGGGATGTATGTGGGCAGGTTCGGCTCCAGAAAGGAAGAGCACTATGGGTCATAACACACGCTCTCACGAACCCAATGGTAAATAACAAGTTAGTCAAAAATAAAAAGGAAAAGATCTCCATTTTCAATATGAGAAAGAAACAGCCACAACCTCAAACCACAAATTATAAAGCAAACTTTCCGGTAACTGAGAGGTCTATACCAGTGAAAATGAGAGGAAGCTGAGTGCCCACACAAGCCCCTTCAGACATCAAGCAGGATACACATTTTCTTAAAAGTCAGTGTTACAGTCCTGAGAAGTCCAGCTGAAAATTCTTTAATTAAAGAGACAAGATCTCCAGATTGTGAGCAAACCTGAAAGGAAGTCTACTGCTTGAATATACCCAGTTCAAGCAGCTCGGAATGACCAGAGGGGTCATTATTTCTGATCTAGCCTCCTAAAGACAGGGCAAAGTGAAACATCAATCCAAAGATTCAGAAATCTTAACAAATCCCAAGAAGAATAAATTTAAAAATTCCTACCTACACACATTGATGTGAAATTGCAATCAAACCGAGGGAAAGATTTTGAAAGCATTCAGACAGAAAAGACAAGTTATCTGTAAAGGAAAGACAATTATATTGATGACTAGGTTTTCAACTACAACGGAAGTCAGGAGATAGTGAGATAACATCTTCAAATTGCTGAGAGAAAATTATTGTCAACTTAGAATTTTTTCCTGAAGAACAAAAAATAGGCCATTTTCAGACAAATCAAAACAGAGACTAGACTATCATGAACTCTCGCTATAGGAAGTTTTAAATGATGAACTTCACACACACACAAAATTGAACCTCGAAAGGACTCAGATTCAAGAAGGAAAGATAAAGAAATTATTAAACACATTGGTAAGTCCTAAAAAATATAAAACAATAACGACTTTTATTAAAAAAAGAGTATAAATGAATAGAAACATGAACAACAGTGAAATGTAAGATGAAATGGAACGCTTGTGTTCCAAGGTCTTTGTATTGTATGAGAAGAAGGTGGAAATGATTAACTTTAGGTTTTAAGTTAAAAGTCAGTATGATAGTTTTATCATAAGCCAAATGCTGTGTATGACTTAAAAACTAATAGAGGAGGAAAAATGGTGGGGTAAGCAGGGAGGGATAGCATTAGGAGATATACCTAATGTAAATGACGAGTTAATGGGTGCAGCACACCAACATGGCACACATATACATATGTAACAAACCTGCACATTGTGCACATGTACCCTAGAACTTAAAGTACAATAATAATAAAAAAAGAAAAATGGAAACAAAATAACAGAAACAAACCAAAAGAGGGCAGAGAAATTAGGGGGAAAGAAAATCATAGTGAAAATAACACAAATTATAATACAAAATGACATGTGAGAAGTAATAGCAAATAGATAAACAATCAAAATAAATTTAAACAGATCAAACTCCCTGGTTACAATATTGATATTATCATATTGGCTTAAAAAATCTAGTTCTGTGAGGTCTGGGAGAGATATACCCAAGGTAAGAATATAGAAAGGCTACAGTTAAAATATAGAAAAGAATATACAGCATGAGGCAAACTCTAATCAAGAGAAATCTAATGTAAAATTAGTACCAGACACTATTTAGGAATATGTCTAACAAAAGATGTATATGACTTTAACTGAAAAAGCTATAAATGCTTTTTTAGGACATCAAATATCTCAATGAATGTTAATAGGAAGACAATATTATAAAGATACCATTTTCTTCTAAAGTCATTTGTAAATTCAATAGAATTGTAACAACAAAAAATGTCAACAGGAATTTTCATAGAACTTTATGAACTGACTCCAAGAGTTATGTGAACCTTAATGTAAAGAACAACAATTTAAAGCTTTTTGAAGACAATATAGAACATATTTTTATGATTCTGGAGAAGGAAAAAATTTCTTGATAAAGACACACAAATAACCATTATTAAAGAAAAAGCCTTGAATGTAAAAATAATTAATATTTTGAATATTTATAAGTGAAAGAACAAGTTACAGACTGGAAGACGTGATTTATAGCAATGTAACTGACAAGAACTTACATATAATTTAAAAGGATATATAAGTTGTATAAAGAGCTTCTAAAAATCAAGTAAAAGTAAAACATCTTAATACAAAAATGAACAATGGAAGCTTATGTGTTCTGTTGATGGAAGTATAAAGTAATACAAGCACTTTAAAGAATAAACTTTAACCAACAATTTCACTACTAGGTACAAACCTGCATAAGAATATATATGCACAAAAATTCTATAAAGCATTGTTAATAATTAGAAACATTTGTAAAGAACCCAAAGTCCATCCACAGAGGAATGGTTAAATAAATTATCAACTAGAGACAACAAAAGATACAAAAATAATAAACTCTCAAGTAAATCATTTGTTTATACATGGTGTCATTCTACAAATACTTGTTGAGATTTACAATGTTCTCCCCACAGTACAGTTGCCATTACAAGGAGCTAACACCTGGTAGCAGGAGGTGGGTACCACAAATAAACACAGTGAAGTGTTGTGTAGCCAGGATAGGCATGTGCACAAGTTACAGTGAGGGTACAAAGGAGAAAGTGCTTGGTTTTCTCTGAGTCAAAAAGGGCTTCATATGGAAGGTTTTCTTAAGTCAAGTATATCTAATTATTATTGTTATTGTTGTCATCATCATGATTAAATCATACAAAACAGAAATTAATAAACATGGTAAAAATTACCAATTAATATTGGTAAAACTAGTAACTTGGAAATTATATATTTGAACATATATTAGAGCAGCTTCAACAAATGGTGAGAACCAAGACAGAAAGCCAGGGAAGAAATACAAAGAATGGATCATTTTGGGGGCAGAATCTTCTATTCATGACTTTGTAGCTTGAGTTTGTATTTGTTTACTGTGACCCCACTGTTGTGACTTGGCACTGAAACCCGACAGTTTTGCAGCACCACTCCTGCCTTACTGCCCTCCCCACCACTCCTTTTGTTAAAGCATGAGTAGACCCAGTGTGCACGCCTGTGAGATCAACTTTCCAGTCTAAATATCTTATATAAAATCTTTTGAGAGCAACGGGGTGCATTCACTTAAAGCTTTAGGACTGGGAGCCAATTTTTAATTTGTTCCTCCTGTTTGCTGAAAATACAGTATTTCTCTTTTAAAGACTTTATTAGAAATCTGGCTTTCTTATGGGAATATAGACAAGCAATTTACAGTGATGCATTAGTGATGACGGTTAGAGTCAAGAGGTTCTTTAGTTATTAGGAGTTGTTTTTCTGTTTTTTTATTTTTTAAGAAGGCTTTAAAGTTGCATAAAGATTTTCAGATTTTAAAGGAGCCAGTTCCAAAAAGAGAAAAAAGAACAATTAATGACAACCATGATGACAAATAAGGATGACAGTGACTAATACCATATTTGATGATATGCCAGGCACCATTCAAAGCATTTCACATATAGTTTCTTATTTAAGGATAAGTGCAAATGAATGGCATAGTGTCATTACAATTAAGTCAGGAAGTCTATTACAAAAACGTTGATGTCTGAAAAAAAGAAAACCTTACTTTAGGTTATTTTTTGAAACCATAAAAGCAAATAAAAAATAGGTCAATAGGCACCCAAGGACAATGGTGCCATTTTGGAGGACACAAAAAGCCAAAATCCGCGTGCTGTTTTCATTCTCTCTTTTCCATCAAGGAGAATGATCTTGGGTTGGAAAATAGTGAGATGAATATAGAGAAGGGGAAGTAAACCCAATATAACAAAATGGATCTAAGAGGGCTTCTAATATCTCTAAAAGACTCTACCTAATGGCTGGAATGAATTCAACCACAAGTACAAAAACAGCTTTCAAAGAAGAGCAGCAGAAGTTAGGGAATCTTGGAATACAGAGGGCTGCTGAGAAACTAGGGATACGTGTAATTCTGCTCCTTTACAAAAGGAGAAAAATGTATTCCACAAAGTACTTTGAGATTTTAAGAAAGAATATTATATTTTCCTGATTTTAAATCACATTTTTATTTTTAGCATATTAACATTTTGGAAAATCAGAGGTGTCTAATAACAAATGACAAAATACACTCTTCAGCTACCATATTCAATATAAATTGTTACTGCCTACAAATGCTTTAGGGATGACTAGCTACCACATGTTCTTCCATGAAGTTATTTGCATTTAACACATGGGGTTGAACTTAAATTTGGATCCTTTTTGTCATATAAAATATCTTAAAAACCAATATAATGTAGCATTGGAATAAAAAGCTCTGGGGCATTTAGAACATGCATTACAAAGGAATGTAATTATGAGTGGTAGGAATGGTCACATTTTCTGGATTAGATTACAGAAATTTCAAAGTTCAAAGACCTTGGTGTGACCAGTCCAGGTGATGTTTCAAAAACCTCAAGATATATTTTGAAACGTTATTAATAGCCAATTCTAACAATAATAAGAGATCATGATCATGAGTGTGGGTTTTGAAAAGAAGAATATCATAGCAAAAATTATTCCAAAGAATCCTTCAAGGTTCTGAATGTAAAGAAGTCTAAGATTTTCTAAAGTGGTATATAATTATAGGGTAACTATACATTTTTCAATAAAAAGAAAACAATTCCTCTCAAAATGTAATTAAAAACCTTAGAATTAGATTTAAATGGCATTACAAATAAATTCTAATATTTATGGCCAAATGGTTTTAGACAAAAGGATCAAGACAATTCAATGGGGAAAAAAGTCTTTTCAAAAAATCATGCTAGTACAAGTCACCTACGTAACAAAGAATTAATTTAGGTATGACCCCTACCTCATACCATGCACAAGCATTAACTTGAAGTGAATTATATACATACATGTAAGAGTTACAACTATAAAACTGTTCGGAGAAAGCACAAGAGTGAATCTTCATATTCTGGGGTTAATCAATATTTCTTAAATACAACACCAAAAGCACAAGATAAAAGATTGATAAACAATGCAGTATTACTAACTATAGTAACCATCCTATGCATTAGGTCCCCAGAACTTAACTCATATTATAATTGAAAGCTCGTACCCTCTGACCAATATTTGCCCATTTCCCCCACCCAGGAGCCATGGCAACTACCACTCAATTTTCTGCTTCCACAAGTTCAACTTTTTTAAATGCCACATATAAGTGAGATAATACAATGTTTGTCTTTCTGTGTCTGGCTTCTTTCGCTTAGCAAAACATTCTCCAGTTTCATCCATGTTGTCAAAAATGATAGGATTTCCTACTTTATGGCCGTATAATATTCCATTGTTTATATACACCACTTTTTCCTTATCCATTCTTTCATTGGTGGGCACTTGGGTTGTTTCCGTATCTTGGCTACTGTTACTAATGCTGCAGTGAACTTAGGAGTGCAGATATCTCTTTGACATACTGATTTCAATTTCTTTGACTATATATCCAGTAGTGGGATTGCTGGATTCTACGGTAGTTTCATTTTTAATTTTTTGAGAAATCTCAAAAAGTTATGTTTTCTATAATTACTGTACCAATTTACATTTCCACCAATAGTGTATAAGAAATCTAATATATAGCATAGCAACTATAGTTCATAATTCTGTATTTTTACTTGAAATTTGATGAGAACAGATTTTAATTATCTTTACCACACGCATGCACAAAATGGTAACTATAAGTGGCTATGGATATGTTTATTAATTTGACTATTGTAATTATTACACAATGTATACATATATCAGATCATCTCATTGTATGCCTGGAATTTATAAAATTTTTGTCACTTAAAAATTTTAAAATTTAGAAAGATTGATAAATGGGACTTCATCAACATTAAAAACTTTTGTGCTCCAAAGGGCATTACCAAGAAATTGAAAAGACAACCAGCAGACTGAAGGAAAATATTTACAAATCATCACCCTGTTAAGAGACTTCTAGTTACAATATTAAAAAGACTGTTACAAGTCAAAAGTAAAAAGATAAATAACCAAAGTTTTGAATGTACAAAGGATTTGAATAAAGATTTCTCCAATAAGATATATAAACAGCTAATGAGCACATGAAAAGATGCTCAACATTTTTAATCATTAGGAAAATGCTAATTGAAACCACATGATACTACTTCACACCCACTAGAGTGGCTATAATAAGCTACAGGCAATAACAAGTGTTGTCAAGGATGTCGAAAAGTTGAAATTCTTATATATTCTTGGTAGAAATGTAAAGTGGGTCAACCACTTTGGAAAACAGTTTGGCAGTGCCTCAAAATGTCAACTGTAGTGTGGCACAGCAATTAAACTCTTAAGTATTTTATTCCCCTAGGGAATGAAAACACATGTTCACACAAAAATTTGTACACAAATGTTCACAGCAGCATTATTCAGAATAGCTAAAAAGTGGAAACAACCCAAATGTCCCTCATCTGTTAAATGGATGAATAAAATGAGATGTATCTATGCAATGGAATATTGTTTCACCATAAAAATGAAGTACTGATACATGCTACATAACATGGATGAATCTCAAAAACATTATACTAAATGAAAGCAGCCATTCACAACAGAACACATATCATATGTTATTCAAAGGAATTATCAAGAATAAACAAATCTGCACAGACAGAAAGTAGATTCGCGGTTACCTGGGGCTGCAGGGAAGGGGAATGGAATTGGGTGGGAAAGGATGGGGAGTAACTGCTGTCAGGTACAAGATTTCTTTTGAGGATGATAAAGATGTTCTAAAGGTAGATTACAGTGATGGTTGCATAATTCCGTAAATATACTAAAAACCATGGAATTGTTCATTTTAAAAGGGTAAGCTATATCTCAATAAAGCTGACTTTTTTTAAGGCAAAAAAAGTGAATAGGTCTTGAGCAGCTAGAAGAAAAACCAGGGGTTACCAGGACCCAGACTAAGTTTACTAGAAATAAGTCATATTGGCCTAACTCACTTTTTTCACAGATAGGATTACACATCTACTATATCCAGAAATGCTATAAGCCTAGTGTATCTGGATTTCATTAAGGTATTTTATAAAAATAACTCATAATGTCCCATTGGAAAATTGGGGAATTTTGGGAAATATGATTTAAAATCATGGAGAATTTGATGGATTCATAACTGAACAAATGTACTAAGAAGGGGTTGATTGATGAATATATATTATTGCTAGAGGAATGCTTCATTCTGAGAGTTAGCATTATGTATCAAATATTATTCTGATTAGCATTTTTGTTAATGACTTGGTACATGATAGACCATGGAAGAGAACCACTTGTACAATACCAGGAGCAAAATGCTAAATATCATTGAAAAAAGATCTCAATATGTTGGCTAATAATTCTTTAGATGCACCTAGTGAAAGAAGCAAAATGAAATGAAAGGCAAAAATTATTTCCTGTGATTAAAGTTTTGCAGCTTATCATGTATTTATATGTTCCAAATAACTATAAACAGTTAAACTTCAGAAAAACAGGATCTCACATTATTTAGTTCTGTATTTCCCAGTGTGATCCCAAATTTCAATCCTGAATTGAGTAATCGAAGCCCCTGGAAGTTACATATATATGGAGCAACACTGTTAGTTTTGGCCAGGCACAGGCCCCCATGGACTGGAGCTGTGCACGGGCCATGACTAAATTGGGCTTTATTTCCAGACAGAAATCACTTCCTAAGCAAGAAGAGGGTAAGAGAGTCTTGGGGAGTTAACATCCTAAAAGAACCTATCAAGTCAACCTTCTCCTCATCCAGCCAGTTTGAAGCAAAATTGATGGTTCCATGCATATGTTTTCTTTCCCCTGGATTGCAGGCTGGCTGCTCTGTGATATTTATTAAAAGTAAAACAGCCAAGGACAGCATGTTTTGGAAAGTAAATACCTGGTGTTCTGACACACTTTCTGGATGAGCCTTGAGTTGGTGGCTTCCTCAAAAATACTGGTCTGTTTATTCAAAGTTTTTTGGAAACTATGTTTTCTCTCGCTTTCTCTCTCTTTCTGATTTTTTGTTGTTAGAATATATTTTTTGTTTGGAGCTTTGAATGAAGTTAGAAGCCCTAGTTCTGTCAAGACACAGGTTGCAAAACATCTCTAAGTGGTCTATGCTACCACACCAGACATGAATCACTGAAGTCCATGCTTTCAACACTTTAGCAGAACGGTCTTTCAAATACAGTGTTCTGTTCTCCCATGAAATAGATACTGTGTGCTTTTCTTTAGGGCTTCTCTCAGCAACCTACTTCCACTAACAATGCAAAGCAGAAAAGTCATAGCATTTAACAGGATAAATGCTGAAGATTACATTTCCTCTCTAAAGAATATGTGCTATGTGAGGACTTTAATAATTAATTTAAAGTACTTCAGAATATTGTAATTTCTACCTAGAATTATCCAATAACATTTTTTTCTTTAGCTATAATAACATAATTTAGGCCAAACCACATGATTGCTTTAGTTTAGGTATGGGATTATTTTGCCTTGATTCTCGAGTTTTCAATGACTCTAGTAATCATAACATGTATCATACATTGAGAAAAGTGCCGAGCACGTGACAGGTAGCATTTCTCAGCCTTGTCACATTCCTGCAAGACAGATGTTACCATCCCCATTTTCCAGCTGAAGACCTTGGCCCTCAAAGGATGAAGTAACTTGGGCTGTCTTACAGCTAGTAAGTGGCAGAGTCAGGAGTTGAACTCATGTTTGTCTGACTCCAGTTTGTCCCCTCCTTTGAGTTGGGAAAGCCAGGCTCATATCCTTTTCCTTTGAGGTTTGCAAAGCTTTGTAATCATGTAAATGGGAATATGTAAGTATCCTTACCAGGCTCTGGTGCATATGAAAAAGAGCAACAAATTTTAAGTGAGGAAAAATATTCCATTCAAGAATGTTTACTATACATGATTTTAAGTCTTCATTTCATAAAAGTTATGATTATCTTGTCTGTTTTTCCATAGCATTAATTATTTTCTTAGTTTAAAAACCACACAATTATTCTACTTATATTAACTCCCAAGTCTTACATTTTGATATGATTCTTTGTTATCTTTACTTCTTGTTTATTCTAAACTACACACTTCTTTTTCCCCATTGCCTTAACTCTTTCTTCACATTTTTCTCAGATAAGTTACACATAAGAAGAATATTGTAGGCCAAAAATATCAGAAAAGATGAAGCTACCAAGTTTTTAAAATTCTCTACATTCTCATGAATTTGGCAGTGATGTTGTTTCTGTCTTATCCATGCCTTATAATCAAATATTTAAGAAGTGCTAGAGTTGCAGTCTTTTTAATTAACAAAATACCCAAAATGTACAAAAAGACTTCCTCTAGAACAGGGAATTAATAAGACTAGATTTTTGTTTCAGGAAGTATACTCTGAACGTATAAAACATATTTAGAAAATTAATGTAATGATTTAGGCAAGAGCAAGTGAGGTTTGAACCAAAATAGAGAGGACAGGGAGAGGTATCAGATGTGGGAGACATTAAGGAGATCACATCTACAGAGCTTGAGGACTAACTGGATGAGGGGTATAAGAAAGAAGAACAGTTCTCGGATGTCTCCCCAAAATAAGGAGGAGTAAGTTTGGGAGGAAAGCTGACACTTACAAATAGATTTTCTTATAGATTCGCTTACTGTTCTTCCATTAGACTGTTAAGAGCCAGCAGGGCATGAACATAGTTTTGTCTGACGCCATACATGATATTTAAGAGGCATTCAATTTAGAGTAGGTTCAATGTTTGTTATGTTGAGTTTGGGTGTTAAAGGGTCATATAGAGATATACAAGAGACTAAAATAAAGTATGAATTGTGATTATCTCTAGTTATTAAAATTATGGTAATTTGTATATTATTATTTTACTTGTAACATATTTTTGAATATCCCAGATAACTACATTGAACATATATTTACATTATTTTTTTTAAAAGTTAAAAGTTATTTATTATTTTAAAAAATAATGAGGCTGGACAGAAAAATCTGGAATCATTAGGACAGCCTTCAGAGACAAATAATATGTATCAGAGAAATTGTTAGAAGTTTGATAAGAAAGTTTATATTAATTTATATTCCCATCCCAATTTTGATAATATGATGGTCACCACACGATCCAGCACAGGTTTTGTAGCTCATATTCAAATGTCACACATTTCCTTATGATTTATTAGAGGAATCAGTGGTTCCCCAGACTCTAAGAAATGCAAGTAGCTGGTCACACACCTCGGTCATCAGCTCACCTCTTACTGTCTGCCTCTCTTTCTGAGTTTCTGAACAGTGTTTCATGTCAAGGCAAAAGATGTCACTCTGTCTGTAACTGCTCCAGTTGTCTTTCGAACGCACATTTTGTAACAAAATTTCTTACGGCAGGCAGATTGTTTTACAACAAAACTAAATATGAGAGAAATAAAATTAATACCACACATATAAATTAGACATTCATAAAAACAGGGTTATTTTTGCTTTTGTTTTTGTCTTTTTCAGCCTAGAGTAAAACTTAGAATTAAGTTTCTCTGGAGCAGAAAGGATAAGACCTAAATTTATGTAAACCAATATAGCTGCTTCCCATGCTAACCTGAAACAAAAAATTGTAAAAAGCCAAAGAGAGCTCTTCCAAAAATCATAGAAATAGAGAATTAAAGAGTGTATGTTACAGTGGAGGAGTGGTGACCCATATGAGGAAACAAACAAAACAAATAGATGAACAAGGAAGAGAATAGGTAAAATCCTCAGACACTTTTCTGTTGGCATTAATACATGAAATACTAAGTACTCATTTAAGGAAACATTGGGAGTAAAGTAGAAGAGATGAAGACAAAAAAGAACAAAGGTTGTCAAATGTCATATTGTGTTTCTTGTCATTAGCTTATATCATTTTAAGCTCTAAGAGGGTATATGATGCTTCCATTTTTTACTACAGGTCTGTAATGTGAACATATACATTTAATATTTCAGGAAAACCTGGTTTTTACTATCAACATCCTTCCTCTACAAGACGTGTCTTGGAGGCAGATACACATAGTTTTACTGAGAGCTGACATTTTAATAAAGTATGAAGTATTAGGAATAACAGACCTAAATGGTATCTAATGTCCCAAGAAGAGGAGAGGAAAAAAATTTATCTGTAGGGAGAAAGACCAATCTCAAACCATCCTAATAATTAATTCAGCATCAGAATGAAATTCAAAGAAGTTATCAAATGCATCCTTAAGGATTTTGCTGTGAGCATCTTCACTAAAAAGTCACTGAAAATATCACAAATTCCAAGTATAAACAATCATGATCTAAGGTTTACAGAATAAGGAAATTCATGACTCACTATTGAAAACCCATGTAGAAAGAAATAGTAAAAAGTGTTGGCTGTGTTCTCACTCATAAGTGGGAGTTGAACAATGAGAACATATGGACACAGGGAGGGGAACATCACACGCCGAGGCCTGTCAGGGGATTGGGGGCAAGGGGAGGGATAGCTTTAGGAGAAATACCTAATGTAGATGACAGGTTAATGGGTGCAGCAAACCACCATGGCACATGTATACTTATGTAACAAACCTGCACGTTCTGCGCATGTATCCCAGAATTTAAAGTATAATGGAAAAAAGTGCTGGCTGGCAATATGCCATCAGGACATGGATATGTATTCATATATTATTTACAAGTGGAAATGTTGCTTGTGAGGCCATCATTGCATAAGCCTCATGGTGATATTACAGAAGTCCGCTGTGAACCAGATTCTAGGCAGATTTGAGGTATTTATGGAAGAATATAAATATATGGGGCTATTGTGACTAGGAACAACTAGTATAAACCATCAACCATGACTCTTTTCCATGATAATTCTGCAAACCTACAGGAGATATATTTGCCTGTCAGATAACCATCGTAAATTTGGGTTTTAGGTATACTTAAATTTGGCTTGTGCAAAATTTAAATGTTTCAGTTGCAGTCAACAGAGGCACACTAGAATGTAGAGAAAATATATATATATATTATATTATTTGCTTGATCATAAAATTATGGTTCTTCTAGAATAGGAGAAATGGAGCCTAATTTGCATAAGATATCTTGTGAGATAAACTGATAAATACAAGAAAGATAAAAGGTGATCCAAGTGGCATTTAAAGGGCAATGCATGTCTACATTATTATATTATGATGTATGAAAGTTACTGGTCCAAGTTGTGAATTATATTAGCCTGATAAACTTTGTGGCAATGATCTACATGAACATGGGTGTGGCAGACTGGTAGTATTAACCATTTCAGTTCTTCATCCTTCCCTAGATCCATGTCCCTTACCATGCGACTTTGCAGCTCTTGCCCTCAGGAGTATATTTCTCTGCCTCTTGATTCTTAGCTTGGTGATTTGGCTTGCTTTCACAAATAGGATGTAGAAAATATAACCAACCGAGCTTGAAAAAGTGTGTGTGCCTTTCTGCTTGTGCTTTTGCCCTCTGCCATCACCATGACAACATGTCTAAGCTAACCTGGATGATAAGATTCATGGGAAGTATAATGGTGACATCCCAGCTGACGTAAGCACAGCCATGTCACATCAGCCATCAGTTAGCCAACACTGAGATAGGTGAGCAAACCCTGTCTTGATTATAGAAACGCTTAGCTGCAGATATGTGAGAAGTAGACACTTATTGTTGTATGCCACTGAAAATTTGTGGTTGGTCTTTATAGAGCATTTTAGTGGTTGAAGAAGACAGCTGCAATGAGTAAGGTGATTATATTTGTAAAGACCAAGATGGCCAAATGATTTCTTATGAATAGACAGACTGATGGTTTCCAGCTTCATCCATGTCCCTGCAAAGGACACGAACTCATCTTTTTTTATGGCTGCATAGGAAAACCGAGACCTGGAGAGATTAGGAAACTTGTTCAGAAACACAAAACTAGGAAGTGGTCAAGCTAGGATTTAGTTAAGGCTTCAAACTCCACACTTTCTACCACCACACTTCATTAGCATAAAAAATAAGGAAATAATTAAGTGCTGGATTTGGCAATACACTTTGCAGTTGTATTTTATTTTTAAGGCAGTATTTCAGTTTAAATGTATGTTAATTATTTGCAAATGTCCAATACTTGTAATAGCTTTTTAATTCAATAAACTGAAAAGAAAAACTGTGGAGTTAGGCATTTTGGCACCTGCTGCAAGTTCTATCACCTTCATTTTTAGACATTTTTTACAAGAAGCTTAACTACTTTTGTTTTCATTTCCACTGTGTACATAATTAGGGCAATAGTACTTGCTTCATTTAAAAAATAGGGCTTTGCATTTCTTAAATTTAAAGACACAGATAGTATATTTTTGTTGTTTCATTAATACTTAAGAGTTAGTAGTGGATGGCAAACTATCAAATCACATGATTCTGCAATGTGTCAAAAGGGCACTGACATGTTGATGGTACCCCCATCGGTAGAGATGCCAAAACCCTTTGTACACAGTGTTTATGGTCCAAGGCTGATACCTTACTGCCCTGTCATTTGTGGGCAGTCAGGACCAACACACTATTAAGCTTTCAAAAGATCTAGGCCTAATGAAAGAAGAATACACCACTTTTATTTAGTTAGTTAACTAACATTAGACACTTAGACACTTTAAACTCAGGCACCCTTAAAAGTTGCACCTCCAGCTACTGTGGAAGGAAGTTGCAATAGGGGATATGCTTGGCTTGGGTTGGTCCTTACACTGTAGAGGCCTAGAAGAAATAAAATGAGTAAAATATTTCACCGGGTTTTTGGCAATAGCTCAAGAAAATGAGTGATATGGATCAGGAATTTTTAATTCTCTTTCAAGCAGAGATTTCCTAAATTTGTTCTTGTTATTATTCTTAAAAATACTGAGATGTTCACATTATTTTTTTTTTAAAAAGCAGAGGTCTTAAACAGAGATTCTTAACTTTTTCATATCATGATCCCCTTCAGCAATCTAATAAAATCTATGCATACCTTCTCAGAAGAATGTTTTAATGCATGAAATAAATGCATACCACTACCAAAAATTATAATAAAATATAGCTAGAACATTTAAGAATATTGTGAGATGATAACTTATATGTTCCTTTATTAATGCATTAAATATCTAGGCAATATATTTTAAATATATTTAAATAGATTTTAAGTAAAGTTAAATATTATATTCTAATACAGTATGAAGGCTAGATTGAGAATATTAGGTAAAAGGAGATCTTTAATTAACTACCTTCAAAGTATTAGCACCAACAAATAGAGGTATGAAGTGCTGGAAGGTAACATAGATTTCTGGGTTACCAGAGTGAGAACCTTCAACTTCATTGTGTTGACTGCACTACAAAGCGCCAAATGCCCAGATAGTTCCTTTGAGCATCTGTGGGAAGGAAGGCTTCAACCACTTGCAATCCGGCAGTAATATTAAAGTACTCATACATATAAATGATGTTTAAGATATCTTTTTCTACTGTAAGGTGCTATGAAAATATCTTATTTCTATAGTGACAAAGTCACAGGCACTATGAGTACTACTGAGGTTTATTGCATACATTTATAATAGAAAGAAATGGTTAGTTAGAAGCTATAAAAATAGGCCGGGCGCGGTGGCTCACGCCTGTAATCCCAGCACTTTGGGAGGCCGAGGCGGGTGGATCATGAGGTCAGGAGATCGAGACCATCCTGGCTAACAAGGTGAAACCCCGTCTCTACTAAAAATACAAAAAATTAGCCGGGCGCGGTGGCGGGCGCCTGTAGTCCAGCTACTTGGGAGGCTGAGGCAGGAGAATGGCGTGAACCCGGGAAGCGGAGCTTGCAGTGAGCCGAGATTGCGCCACTGCAGTCCGCAGTCCGGCCTGGGCGACAGAGCGAGACTCCGTCTCAAAAAAAAAAAAAAAAAAAAAAAAGAAGCTATAAAAATAAAGATATAAACTTTTTCCTAACTGTTCATAGATATTCTAAATTAGAACCATACACTTGGGTTTAAATAAGGGTTCTACTACTTATTTGACTGTGTGACTTTGTCATGTCATTTAAATTTTCTTGGCTTAGTTTTTCTTTTAATCTATAAAATGGGGGCATGAATGTGTATTTTATAATGTTGTCATGATCAGGTGAGATAACGAATGTGGGAAGGCTCTGCAAATTTTAAAGTGATAAATAATGCTTGCTCCCTTAAGAAAATTAAATAAGGTTTGAATCCAGTTTGTTCTATGACCAACTCAAATGATTTTTCAATCTCCCATCACCTTTTATGTGAGATATGAAGAAAAAAGGTGAGAGAAAAAGAGACGAAGGAAAAAAAACAGAAGTTAAATAAAAACAAAGGAAGGAGACTAATTAAAGCTAACTCTTTTGCTCTTTTTATTTTTAATTGAGACATTTATAAATGAAATTCAAAATTTCATATATGAAAGCATATACGAAGTACACAAAATGTACTAATCTTAAGATTATACAGTTTGATGATTTTTTTTAACTTACATGCAGACCTGGGTAACCACCACCTAGATTAAGCTGTAGAACATTTCCATACCCAGAAGCTTCCTTCATGCTCTTACCAAGGCATGTTTCACTCCTAATCTCCTGAGATAACCACTATTCTGACTTCAACACCATAGATTAGTTATGCCTGTTCTTGAACTTCATATAATGAATAATTCAATATATAGGTTTTTATGTCTATCTTCTTTGAACAATATAATGGTTGTGAGATTCATCCATTTAGTTGCATGTTATCAGTAGTTTATTGTTTTTATTATTGTGCAGAGAGTCCCCTTCACTTTTATCATTGGTTTCATCTTGCTCAGAATCCTATTACTTTAACAAATAATCTGTGTCTCCTTTAGAGGTGGTACAAATATGACGAACAATTGCCTTCTTAAAAGAAGTATAGTTTTTCAAAAGCAGTTC
Source organism: Homo sapiens (assembly GCF_000001405.40). Lineage (NCBI taxonomy): Eukaryota > Metazoa > Chordata > Mammalia > Primates > Hominidae > Homo > Homo sapiens. The sequence continues at coordinate 82,692,607 of NC_000005.10, forward strand.
ATAATTCCATTTTCTTTCCTATTCAGGAAGAAAACTCTTCCATTTCTTGTTTTCTTTCTCTAGGTCTGGAATGCATGAAAATGCAAATAATCTGTAGTGTTAAACGAGATGATATGAGCATTTGTTTGGTCTTTTCTTGTTATCTTAGAGCAATTTCCCAATAAACAAAATCAACATTGAATCAGTAATAACCATTGCTCATCATAAGTTAAAGAAAAAACAATTCAGATCTAACATTGACAGTAGAACAGCAGAAAATCAGCTGAGAATCTCATATAAACTTCTTTGGAAATTTGTGAGTAAAACCCTGGTTCCACCATATTAAAGATTGTTATGCTTGTAGAAATGCTGGGAGACTGGAATCTGTTTGCAATTACCAAATCAAAATGCAATTTACTAGTCACTGGGAATAAACAATGATGTCTTTAAATGCCCTTTTGGAAATGTAGAATTGGCAATGGAGATCAGGTTCCCAAGGTTCGGATGTTTTCACTTATGCATCTCCCTATAAAACATTGTTCTGAGGACCATTGCAGTAGTTTCTTCTGTGAGGAGGGAGGACGAGAGGGAGACATGGCACCTGATCCAAGCATTGAGGCTTCTCTACTTCAAAGAAAACTTTTCTGCTGTCCCCCCATCTTTTTGTTCTGATCTCACATACGATATAAAAATATATTTCAAACTAAGGATTGAATTTTGCTGGCACATGACCTTTTTTCCTTACAAAATTATTATAAGAACTGTCTCTGATATGGCTGAAGGGTGTAATTCAGGTTAAAAAAACTCTGCTGTGTTATGAAAAAAATTCTTCTTTTCTCTTTCAATAATGGCATAGCTGACAAGCCAGAAATATTCACTTTCACCCTTCTCCTTTGTAAAAGCATTTCTCTAGTGTCTGATTTTCTACATATTCATTTCATTTGTATTACCTATTTGTTGTATCTCCTTAAAATCAGCCTTTAGTCAGCTTTTGGCTGTAGCTTTTAATGGAGAGCAAAAACATTTAAGTAGATCCATAATAGTGACAATAATATTAATAGTAGGAAAATAACATTTTTTATACTTTGAATATGTATCCATTACAAGGGACTATAGGTGAACGTAATGGCCATTCCCCTTATATTTCCTCTGATGCTGCACTGGTGGAGGTGGAAAAGAGCAGTGGAATGTCCAAAAACTGAGCCGAAAGAGAAGCTGTGTGAGCTTGGATAATCTATGAACTATTTCACACACTGAAGTTTAATTCATTAATGGCAAAATAACGATGGTATCAGAGAACGCGGAGGCTGTGAAGGATTCCCCTGGATTTGGTTGACTTCTCAGGCCAGTGATCTGCTCACTCAGAACAGTGGGCTTTAGCAGATTAGTTGACTCTAAGCACTTTATGCAAAAAAAGTACGAAAAAAAATCTTTTTTTTAAAGGAGTGCTTCCCTCAGCAATACAAAATAGCTGTTGGCTCACCTCTAATGATTATGGGCCAGGGCAAGAATACAAAGGAAGCCCTGAATATGTAAACATTATAACTCAAGAGAAAATACAGTTAAATTCAATGCCCTAGCCTCCTACCTTGACAACTGCACCTTGCTAATATGCTGGGAGGCCAGGTTGGAATTTGGAACTCAGTCTCCTCAGAGTTCCCCCAGGAAGGTGACAGGGCTGGGGAAGCTGGTCCAGGGTCTGGCCCCCCAGCCTGCAACATGTTCCAATTCTCTTTCCATCCTCAGCTCCATCCCAAAGCTCAAGGTGTCTCATGAGTTGACATGTGTACACTCTAGTCCTCTGGTCCAAGGTCCATCTGTAATCTCTGCAAACCAGTAGTCCCATGACCAGTCTCTAAGCCTAGGGGTGCACAGACTTGTGGCTCAAAGGGAACCTCTAGGAGATGAGATCTGTGGAGAGGTCTGCTCAGGCTCTTCAAGTGTGTTCATGGTCATCCATCTGCAGTATATCTAGAGAACCTGGGAGGGTCCCTGGATGGGCATGACTGAAGGATGTCAGCACAGATCACTTTATAGAAGGGCCCCCTCTTACTAGGGTCTAAGACAGTACTGAATAGCTGCTCTTGATTATACGTCAGGAATGTCAGACACCTCCAAAGTCTTCCCTTTAATTGTACCATGGGCTGTGCCAAATACTGCAGATTTGGAGAAGAGTAAGTTACCACCCTTGAATGAATTATGCCCTTCTGAAAAGGCCACTCTAAAATGCAAACACAGGCACAGAGGGGAGTTCCTTCCTCTCCCAGGACTACTGTAATGTGAATTTGTCTCTCAAATGGGCTAACTGTTCCCATTTAAGGGTAGCACAGAAAGCCAGACCCTGGTCATCACAACCACTGATTCATGTGTTAAAAGAGACACGCATGCTCCAGTAATCAGCTCTCCACCTAGTTCTTGCTTGTCTTGGCCCACTGCCTGCTCCCCACCCTCTTTCCTCTGACTGCAGTTTCCTAATCACTAACTCCTGAGAGGGGTCCCTTCCCTGCCAGCCAGTGCCCACATTAATCCATCTGGGATTTAGAGCCCTCTACAGCTCCACCTGCCAGAAGTTGCCTTGATCAGCAGATGCAAACAGGAGTGCTCTGTCTCTCTCTGGCTTAGACCAAGACCCAAGAGACACAGCATCGGGGTCCCTTGGGTTTCCATCCCTACTCCCCCAACAAGATTACCTGAATAACTGGACAAATCTGGAAAGTGAAACACTCTACGAGACTACTGCCCCTGTCGACAAGTTAAAGTAAAAATAAAAAGACCATGCTTGATTAGAAGAGATGAAAGAGACCAAACAGCCAAATACAATTAATTTTCTTTAACTAGGTCCTGATTTGGACAAAAATATTTTAGGAACAACTGAGTAAATTTGAATATGGCCCCAGTATTAGATGAGATAAAAATATGGCAAAATGGAAAGATGGAGATCATTGACTGGGGGCGGTGGCGAGAGGAAGTTGGCTATATATGTGTGTGTGTGTATTAATACATATTTGTACATATTTGTATGTGTGTATATATATGTACACTAATACACATAGATCTATCTGGAAATACATGACTAGCAATTTACTGTGGTGATCATTGGGTTGTAGCAATGTGAAGTGATTTTTTTTGCTAATTATCTACAAAGATTGCATGCTTCTTCTATAATAAAAGTATTACTTTAAAACAGGAAAATGTAATGTTACATTTCTATTTGTTTAGAAAATTACTACATTCTCTGTACCTCTCTGCCTATACTTCGACTAGCTCGGGCCTGGTAAGAAACCAATTGCAAGTTGTGATATAAAAATTAGGGGTTCCCAGAGGTTTTCTCAGACAGAACCACATTAATCTTTTACCCACATAAGTTTATGGAGTTAAAGTTTAATGTTATTCCTTCAGCTTTCACAGAAAGATGAAATGGAAACATCCATTTGAAGAATAGTTTTCAAAACTATAACAGAAGTAATTTTCTATTAATTCATGTGGTATCTCTTTAATAAGTACCTAATTTATGGATTCCTTTTTGAGTTCCGTGCCTGGGGAAAAAAAGTCTTTTTCTTTTATTGATTCTTTCTTTTCTATATAATAGAACTCTCTATAATCCATTTGGTTTCCTATTATCTTGGGTACTGGGGAGCTCAGATGTAAATTAAGCACGTAATTGCATTAACAAACTTATTATCTAGTAGCTGGAAAGAGTAATTTCCTTTGTCTTTACACTGCGTTATTATTTCATAAAAATCTAATTTAAAAAGTGCCAATTCTAATTCCTCCTTTTTGCTCATATGATCATTTTCTACGCCATTTTGGAAGAAGGGAGAGTATAAATAAATAATATGCTGCCCTACAGATCTCTGTGGAATCTGTGCAAGCAACCTAACAAGTAGTTGACGGTTTTTTGTTTGTTTGTTTGTTTTTATGAGACGGAGTCTCACTCTGTCGCCCAGGCTGGAGTGCAGTGGTGCGATCTCGGCTCACTGCAAGCTCCGCCTCCCGAGTTCACGCCATTCTCCTGCCTCAGCCTCCCAAGTAGCTGGGACTACAGGCGCCCGCCACCACGCCCAGCTAATTTTTTGTATTTTTAGTAGAGACGGGGTTTCACCGTGTTAGCCAGGATGGTCTCCATCTCCTGACCTCGTGATCCGCTCGCCTCCGCCTCCCAAAGTGCTGGGATTACAGGCGTGAGCCACCGCACCCGGGCTGTAGTTGATGGTTTTAAGGGTGTCTTCTCAACCCACAACTCTTCTCACTTTCTCTGAATGGGGAAGCCCACAGGGTTGAAAATCCCTCACTCCAGCCACAGTTGCAGTGTTGGATCAAATGGACACATGACCAAATCCAGGTGTGAAGAGTATCTATTCTGACCGAGCATTTGGAATTGATAAAGCAATTCTCTAATGCTGTGAGGCATACATAAGCCAATAATTTAAACAATCAGTTTGTAGTAGTCTCATTTTGTCTTTGAAAAAGAAATTTAGCTTAAAACAAACCATGTTGAATTATCATATTTCACTTTTTCCCCCTAAAAGACAGATATTGAAAATAGAAGAATATTCTAAGTTCTGGAACCAAAGAGAAGATTTACATGGTAGTATAAATACCCATGTTGCAGAATTCAGTGACACAGCCTCAGTGAGGTGGGTTGGGTGGGTATTTACACAGTGTAGATACCCGTGCTGCAGCATTCAGTGACACAGCCTCAGTGAGGTGGGTTGGGTGGGAGGAAGATGACCATTAGTATCACCTGGGGAGTTTTTACCCAAAGCACACTTCACTCCTACATCTCCCACTAACCTGCAGAGGAGGCAGGCTTCAGGAAGATTTTTTTTAAGGTCAAAGATAATCCTGATACCTACTTGCTTCCCCACCTTCTCAAAGAATGGATAAAGAAAGTATTTGTGTTCTTATGTAGACTGACTATTCTATTGAACATCATTGCAATGACAGTGATGTATCTATAGCAAAGTCCCTGCCAAGGAAAGTGCACTTATTTCCTACATGTGATTAGCATTCTCAATCAGCTTCACCTTTGTAGATTCATACAGCAATTTTTGTTGTTGCTGATGTACTGTGGCATTTAGTGTGCTACTTCCCAACTTTAGGTTTATTATGACCATTGGAGTTGTTCCCCAGAAACTATGAATTACACTAAAATTCATGTTTTGTGTCATCATTCCAGCCTATCTAACAAAGTAGGTTGGAATAGCAATTCTCTTTTCTCCAAAGTGGAACTAATAAGGTAAGCCTTCAATGAATGGTCACTGGTTTTAATCAAATTAGAATATTAAGACTACCCTATTTTAGAGGCATATGATAGCAGCTTGTTAAGTAAGTTTCTTCTGGTTTGGAAGAGTCAATGAGTTTCTCAGATGAAAAAGGCTCAGAGTTCTTATAATTCAACTGCCCAGAATGGGGCAGCGAGAGGTGGCTGGGGTTGGCTAAAGCTCTGCCAGATTAAGGATCTACTTACAGTGAATCCACTCCACTCCCACCCCTACTCGCACCACACAGACTCAGATTCTCTGCACAGACTTCTGGTTCCTTCATTTTCTGTTTTCACATGTATGTTAAAAAAAAAAAAAGAAGTGATGTACTCTCAAAATAGAAACAGATGTGAGATCTAATTTCTTACTGGAAGTGACAAAATATATAAAGATTTGGCAAAATATGTATTCACATATTTCAAGATTTCAAAAATAGTCATTGAACAAATAAAAGAAGCACTAGATAGCAGGGTGGTCTTTTTTTGGTTTTTGCATGCTTTTGGTCAGATTGCCAAGATGGTCTATTGTCAATAAAGTATAGAACATACAGAAATGTCATATATAATAGAAGCTTATAATACAAATACATATTTTCAAAAATAATGATTTAAGAAAAAAATAGCAAATTTTTTTTAGTTTTAAAGAACAACCAAATTTGGTAATTTCTATGTTTTCATTTCACTGTGAACTTCTATCATCCCCTTTGACCAACTGAGATTTTTCTATCAAAAAAAGAAAAAGTTCAGAAATGAATAATTTCACTCATTAAATTTTAAGGGCAGTTGCTGTACAGAGCAAAGCAGATGTAATAGGTTTTAAGAAAGAAAGATGTGAGGAGGCATATACTGATGAGTATGTGTGATTGTGGTGAGTAAGTAAATTTGCATTTATATAGCACCATTTTTCAGGTGAGACAATTGGTAATGTATTTGCTACAGTGCATTGCTGTGATGTAAAATCTATACCAAGGAGAAATGGTGTAGCTCTTTTTAAAACAAAGGCATTTGGATTTGATGAAAATTTATCTAGTGCCTTCAATGTGCCAGGCATTGTCTAACCAGGGAATTCTTGCTGTCCTTGAACTTTCATGATAAGCCTATTTGGTATTACTCCCTTCATTTTTGAAAATGAAGGAGCTGAGAATCCAAAAAAATGAAATGACTTAGTTAAAGTCACGTATTTGGTAAATTGAAGAGCCAAGATTGGAATGCAGATCTTTCCGAGTCTAAAATTATTTCCACTCTACCCCAATTAAAACAAGGAAAAATGCTGCAAAGTTTCAGAAGTCCTTATATTTAATTAGTGCTTAAAGTTCACAAGTTAATTTTACAACCTTTGTTTCTAACCCTTAAAATAAATTCGTAAGGCACACAGACACCCATGTTGAAGATGAGGAACGTTCAGAAAGTTTCAGGGCCGTGCCACAGTTTGGCATGGTTTGTGACAGAACAGCCATTGGGCAGCTTTTGGTGACCTGGGTTAGTGCCTGACACCCCCACTCCAAGTAATTTCCACCAGAAAGAAGTTATCGCATATGTCCCATGAAAAATATTCTTTCCCCTTTGTCCAGGGGTTCTATGATGAGCCTCAGGTGGGAGGCTGGGAGGGAGATGCAAAATAGCCAGGGAACTGGGGTGGGATCTATGATGGGGCTTGAACTCTTCTCTTCCTTTGACCAGAGACGTTCTCTATCAATTTGCTTTATATAGTTAACTATCCCATAAGAGTCTACTTGAAGAAAGGAGTTCTGTGGCTTCAAAATATTTCAAAACTATATCTTTATTCCACATAGATATTGTGCCATTTTGAGGTTTTTATACTTTTTGTGCTCAGACATTTGAGGAACCAGTGATTAAGATAAAGACAAAAAAGGAAAGTGGAGCAGGGTTTTAAGAGTGCATATGCCACTGGGGTTGAGAATCTCTGCTTTAAAATGTGTGGTGACAACCTCTCTCATGTTCCAGCTACCCAACTGGGAAGTTATAAGGGGTTTGATGATTCCAGCCAGCACATTTGGCTCAATTACCTTCAGCTAAAAAAGTAGACTAGCAGCATTGCTGACAGCAGCTTAGAAAGTGACCTCTGAACTACCAGAAATTTACAGAGCCAAGTTCATGCGACTCTAAATGTTAGCGGTCAGCCTGAATTCCCAGCTCATCACCTATCACACACACACACGCGCGCACACACACACAGACACACACACACAGAGACACACACACACAATAAGCACATATTTGTTAAGGAATTGAAAGGAAAAAGGATTCGTTAGGAGACAGGGGGTTAGAAGTATCTTCAAACACGATATCTCTCATCTTCCCATTCAACTTACTCTGGAAGTGAATGTTTTCATGTTTTCCTTTGCCTCCCAAAAGAAAGTCAGGATACAGATTTAACCAAGGGGTAAAGCAGGTACCCAAGGCAACTGGTACAGGGTGCAGAAGTGGTTAGAATGGCCCCTGTGACACCTGCCAGGCCGTTCCCTAGTAGAGAGATCTCTGGGTTGTGCAAGGTTATGGACCAGTAGGCTGATTTACCTACCTTTTCTGAGTGCCACAGAGAGAAACCCATCCCCAGGTATGCAACCCCATCCCTGAGATGCGCCATTGCACTCCAGCCTGGAGTGTCAATCCCTGAGATGGGGTTGACACTCAGGTAGTGGGGAATACTCCTTGAGTTACACAAGACAGACACCACTCCACTTCACTTCAACTGAATTAATTTTTAGAAAAAATGGAAAATAGGGCAGAAAACCAATGTACAACAATCATGATGGTTTTGGTATTGATAGTATATAAGCTTGGATGTTCTCCTAATACTCTTCTTTTCTCAAAGCTTCACCAGGCATCTATTGTGCATTATTTTACATGTGTGTCATGTCACAATTCACCAGCTGGCTAATATTTACCAATAATTAGAAAAGTAACCAACTATGTCTATGTGACACTTCTGGTATCAAACCTAATAGTTCTTCCTAAGATGAACTTGTTAGGACACCCCAACAACTGCCTGTGGAACCTGACAAAGTAGACATCCCACTGGTAGTGAGACTTTCCGTTTTTAGGACAATTGTAGGTCTTAGAAGTAAGATGTCCAGATTTCCTAAGAAAGACAAATAAATAGATCTCATTACAGGCATTTTCTGGAATTTATTAATCACTTGGGATATTCACATATGCACACCCTCAAACAGATACACATACATACACCCATATGTTTTCTTATGTCACTTCTGATTCTATGCTCTAAAGGTGTTTGCATATACCTTCACTACAGCCCTACTGCACAGTCTAGTGGTGTCTGTGTCTGTTTCTAACAGGAATTCAGAGTAGGTGACTGAGAATTTAAAGCTGAAGGCCATGGCATAAGACGTGGACTATTTCAAAATATCTACTGTTTGCTTTTTCAGCTGAAGGTAGTCTACTAGTCTACCTTTTCAACTGAAAGCAATTGAGCCAAATGTGATGGCTGGAATCATCAACCACCTTATGACTACCCAGTTGGGTAGCTGTAACATGATAAAGGAGGTTGTCACCATACATTCTGGAGCAGAGGTTCTCAACCTTGATGGCACATGAGTGTGCCTGTAGTTTATCAGCCCAACCCTACAACCATCTCTAGGAGTAGAGCCAAGTCATCAGGGTTGCCAAAAAGATCTTCATCTGATTCCAAAGTACAGCCAAGCAATCACTCTTCTAGAAATAGCTATCATCTGCCAACAAAAAGGGTGATTGGGAACTAATTCATGAAACACATTTTATGCTTTATTTCTTGCTAACAAAATAAATATCCTAGATGAAAAATTTATCCTTTATAAATCTAAGTTACCATGAGAAAATTTGACCAAGCCTGATTCTGGTTTCTGTCAAAATTAGGTACATAATATAAATAGAACAAAGTTTAAACACTGCTCTCTCACATGAGCTCGGAGGTAGATAATATGTCTTTGTGATAAAAGAATACTACATTTAACATTTATAATTCATTTTCACTGCCATGAAAGATAAATTGCTCAATCACTGGTAATTCTAAGTTTCTTGACTTTTATATTAGGTGATAGAAAACCAGTGTGAGTGTCTGGTTCCCAAAACCCTTCTCTTATAATCTGCTTCTTTTCTTTTTTCCCCTCCTATGAAAGTTTGGTGTTGAGGATTAAGATTTATAAAGAAGTGGATCTAGAAATATCTAACATTTTTAAGGAACAGTAGGTGTTTAAAATAGCCAGTGTCTTATGCCATGGCCTTCAGCTTTAAATTCTTAGTCAATGTTTAAAAAGGCATGACTTGTGTAAATGTCCGAGTATTTATCTTTTTATTCAAGCCCAGAAGTGTTTTTTCTACTTTTTGGAAAGAGACATGGTAGAGATGTTTGCTATTTAGAACACTTCTTGCTGGTAAGAAAGCCTCCAAGTTTAGAATGGAGCAAAGAAAGACCCCAGAGAATTGATATCATAGAGCTGTAAAGCAGGCAAAAAAAAAAAAAAAAAAAGAAAAAGAAAAGAAAAACACTAGTTGCAGACATCACTTTAAAATGAGAGGATAAATTGGCTTTGTCAGATTTGATGGATGTGCCATAAATGGAAAGCCAGATTTGTCTCCTAGAAAATAACGATTAGTCTTTGGTTGGTAACTACCTTCTGTGAAATACATTTCTCTTTTTTAAAAAATTGAATATAAGGCCAATGGTCTGGGCAGGATATTGGGAGGGTTGACCTCACTGATTCTAACCGTTTGATTGATGACCGCCCAATCACTTTGTCTTTACAGTGGTAGAAAAGGACATTGCTCCCTCACTCCTCTAGACACTATGTTAATTAATTCATTAGTCTGATAAATCTACTGATGTTACCCTTATTTTCTGGAAGAGCAAGGAGACATAAATCTAGAAATAGTCTCAAAACTGAGCTGAGAGATTCTTTTTATAAAGTAGCATCCCTCCTGCATAGCCAGACAATGATAAAAAAGAAGAGTCCTGCTTTATTTGAAAGAAATAGAATATATTCCCTTTTATTATAATGTAAAATATTTTGATTCCTTCTTTCCTGGAGAAGTTAGAAATCTATCAAGATTCCAGAGGTTTTCTGTTTTCAGTGCTGATTGTGAACATAATCAAGAAGTTTAAAAGGCTCTGCATAGAAAGGATCTCTCCTTGCCCACTCAACTTTAGACCCCTCCCTCCATCACATCAGACATACAGCATGTTTGTGATTCATAATCTCTACCTTTTCTGCATTCCTGTTGCCACGATTTAAAATGTTTTTATCTACAAAATTATTTATCATCTTGATTTATTTCTTTCGATCTGCTTGATTACTAACCTTCAGAGACTTGGAGAATAAAATTGCTAGAGATGAATTGAAGTGAGAGACGATGTTAGTTTGGACCAGGAAGGTAACAGTAAAGGTGGTGAGAAATGGTCACATTCTGGGTATACTTTGAATGTAGGGCCACTAAGATTTGTAGATGGATATTAAAGAAAGTGAAATATAAAGGATAACTTCAAGATTTTTGGGTAAAGCAACTAGAAAAATAGAACTCTCATTTATGAATATGGAAAGAATTGAGGTAGAGCATTTTTTGTTGTTGTTGTTTTGTTTTGTTTCCCCCGAGACAAAGTCTTGCCCGAACACCCAGGCTGGAGTGCAGTGGTGCGATCTCAGCTCACTGCAACCTCTGTATCCCAGGTCCAAGCAATTCTCCTGCCTCAGCCTCCCAAGTAGCTGGGATTACAGGTGCATACCACCACACCCAGCTAATTTTTGTATTTTTAGTACAGACAGGGTTTCACCATGTTGGCCAGGCTGGTCTCAAACTCCTGACCTCGTGATCCACCCGTCTCAGCCTCCTAAAGTTCTGGGATTACAAGAGTGAGCCACTGTGCCCGGCCAAGCATGTTTTTAAGGAAAAATAAGAGCTTCATTTGGACATATTGTTTGAGATAACTATTAGTTGTTTTTTTTTTTTACTGTGTGCATAAAAGATTTAGTAATTACAGAGACAAATCTGGAGTTCAGAGCAGCTATCTGGGTTGCATATAAATTTGAGAGGCCTCAGCATATAGATAGTGTTTAAAGTCATCAGACTGTATGAAATTGATAAGGCAGGGACTGCAGACAGAGAAGGAGACTTCACTACTATCTTTCAGAGAGACTCCTGAGTAGGGTTCTAGTGCTTCTGGATCCAATTCTGGCTTGCAATCACATATGAAGCCAACTCATCTGTGAACCAATTTCACCCTTTATCCTCCTCAGTCAGCAGGAAATAAGGGAATCACCTCCCCCGAACCCTTTCCACATGTGGCCATAGGTGAGACTAGAGGGAAAGCCATAGATACAATATTGATGAAAGACATGAGAATCTGAGACACCTGATTTGCAGCTTGCTTCTGTGCTATGGCCTTGCTTGTGCCCAATCCTAGATGTACCATTTACCGCAGGGCTTACTAGACTTTATGAAATGGTAGGTCTGAGAGAACTCAGCTCAAGATGGGCTCAGGATGGGGTCATGGCTATGTAGTCACTTCATACACCATGGTCAGAACTCCATCTCTACCAGGGCCCAGGAACATACCAGTCGATATGGTGGATAATTTTCCTCTGCTGAGGGCAGAGTTTTGTTCTGAGACTCTGAGACTTGTTTTCCTCTGGAGGAGAGCTTGCACTACAACCGAGACCTGCTGTAGAACATTTTCCTGCTCTGGGTCCCATGCAAACCTGGAAGCCTTCCAAGTCATTCAGTTAATGAATTGAAGCAATACTCCCATGTGTGTGAAATATGCTGCCTCCAGACCATAAATAAGCTAACAGGTGTTGTGATTGCTTTTTAATGGTGTAAGAGGCAAGATGAAATAATTTATCCTTTACTTTGAAGAGGAGATTCAGGTATTCTGTAAGACACTGGATCCTAAAAGCCTCATTGATGTGGCAGGCCCCCGAATCTTTGCATGGTTTATCTCTCAAATACATGTGTCTTATAATGATCAATAAATTTTTCACAACCTGCTTATCTGGTCTAATTTGGAAGATGTCATTAATATAGTAAATTAGTTCAATTTTTGCAGAATGTCCAGAGAATCCACAACATCCTTTCAGACTATATTATGACAAAGAATGGGAAAGCTACAGCCCTAGAGAAAAATCATAAATGTGTACTGTTGTCTTTAATGGAAGTGAACACCTTCTGGTCCTGCCCCATGATAGGAAGGGAAGAAAATGTGTTCTTAAGACCCATGATCACATATCACATACCTAAGACTGTGTTAATCTGCTCTATCAAAAATACACAGGAGCAGTAATTGAGACTTCTTTATTATTGAGTCCACTGTCATTTTTCAAGATCCTTCTCATCTTCATAGGGTCCACACCAGAGAATAAAATGAAGATATTATGGAACAATGGCCACTGCATCTCTTTAGATAACACCAGGCTATGCCATAAAGATATAATATTGGTTTTGATTTACTATGTCTAATGGTTGATTTTATGTGTCAACTTGACTGGGCCATAGGGTGCCCAGATATCTCATTAAACATAATTCTGGGTATGTCAGTGAAGCTGTTTGGGATGAGATTAACGTTTAAATCAGTAGACTGAGTAAAATAGATTGCCCTCTCCTATGTGCGTGGGTCTCATCTAATCTGTTGAAGGCCAGACTTGAACAAAATTTGAGTGGGGTTTTAACTTTTCCATTAGGGCATATTCTCTCAGCCTCCTTGATATCTTTTGATTATATGGATTAAGCAATATATTTGTTCACTGCCCATCTATCTTTCCCTTAGCAAAGTGGTCCTCTATTAAACGCATCTATGCCTCTCTGTGCATCCACACATCCTGGCTACCTCTCTGACTGTGATGCTCATGATAAATGTGCTCACCTTGCTTCTGATGACCAAGTGCTGCTACCTGGTCTCCATTAGTTCTGGATCCTTTCATTTCCATTCCCATCAGGAAGCTTGGTTTTACAGTAGCATTTTATACATCAGCCCTCACCTACAGAGGAAAGACACCATTGAACTTCTTACCAGTGCATTTCTTATCGCTTTGGTAAATGGTGCATACACCAGACACTTCCATTAACATAGTCAGCTGGGTTTTTTTTGTTTGTTTGTTTTTTGGTTTTTGTTTTGTTTTGTTTTGTTTTTTGCCTCATGCAGTATATTCACTCAAGCAATTCAGCTTTTGTAAGCTGTTTGATCCCTTCTCCTCCATTATCTATAGTGGCTCTCACACTTCTACTCTACTTGCTATGGGCCATTGCTTTTTCCAAGCTTCCAAGAGCCAACCCAGCAATCTGTTAGTAACACCTAGCAATGTAGTATCAATGCTATATCACAGGAGCATATTCTCATATTAACAAACTCTTTCCTATTCAACTTTATATTACATGTACCTTAATCCAAAACCTTCAGGATACAGTCCACACATACACTCCTGGCTCCTATGAGGCCACATTAGCAAGGTCCTGCAGTTCCTTTGAGAATTTCTTCCATAAAGGCCTGGAAATTTTATGTCCAGGTAATGTTGTGACCCAATCTTATTCATTGTTCTCGTGGCCAAGAGTGGAGTTGGAGATAGATCTTAATAGGGGTGTTTCTTGCAAGACAGACATATTTTATCACTCAAGCAAGAAAAGAGTGCTGGTCTTTTTCAGGAAGAAAAAGAGGGTGCCTTCCACAATCCAAAAGGTTCAAAAGAATCTGTAAATTCAAGGTGTTTGAGTGTATTGATCTAAATGTCCCCACCCTAAGTCTCAGGGTCTCACTCTTTTCCAACCAGATTTTGTGATAGCAGTCTCAGTGGTGCTGAAAATTCAGTGTTCTCTAGAGATTCTAAACCTCAGTATTTTCTGCCTCTGGCTGAGTCGATGAGGATCTCTATATGTGGCCCTCTGCTTTTTATACTTTTTCTTATTTAGGCAATAAGTTTTAAGTTAACTTTCTTTAATGCACTCCTAGTCCTTAGCAGAAATCATCCAACGCAGTACGCTTTTCATTATCACTTGCCCTGAACCTCCCACATGCCTGGGATATTACACCTGCCAGTGTATTTCCTTTCACCACAGATCCCACTCCCGTTCGCTATCAGTAAAAGTTTTAACAATTCAACACTAGTGGCTGGGGCCTATTACTACTCCACTCATAATCATTACCTACCAGCTATTTGGGAATTCAGTTTCAAAATCTATTTTAGTGGCTCCATGGGTCACTATTGTACTAATTGTCCTAGGTCAAGCTGTCAGGGAAATAGACTCTGAGATGGAGTTTTATATGTAGTTGTGTATTGGAGAATGTTATCAGGAATAACACATTTGAGACACACACACACACACACACACACACACACACACACACACAGAGCAGAATTGCACAGAGGGAGAGGTTAACCTGCAAAGCGATGCCAATATTGGACTTCTCAAACAATGCCATGGAGAGATTTGAGGTTGAGATGGCCTTTCTGAGACATCCTAAATGGAACAAGCAGGCTGGCCTTTACATACCTACACTGACCAGTCACTGGAAGTGGACTGTCCCTGGGAGAGACATAACCTTGGATGAAGCAGCTTTATTCAACTAAGGGTGATTTCTTGGGAGGAATTCCGCTGTGAGCTTTCAGCAGGGTCAACATTCTTGGCAGCTAGGGGAGTGAGTATCTCTATCCTACAGGGGAATCTGGGAGTTATACAGCATCTGCTCGAACTAGCTTTAAGCTAATTAGCTAACCAACTCACCAAAGAAAAGTAAAAGACACGGAGAATTTTATTCTAAATTCTCGAGGATCCAAAAAGGGTTCTTGATCTTTTATTCTTTGCAGAGAATCTTATCTTCACAATAGGGAGGAAGGGGGAAAAGGAGTCAAATGAACTAATAATTATCTGCTCTTTCATTTTTTAAATGAGGTTCCAGCTAAATTCATTTCAGGCCCAAGGCTAAAATGTTTTTGTTTTGTTGAGAACCCACTTATATTATGTGGGTAAGTCACTGGAAAAGATTAGAAAGTTGGAAAGTAAATTTGTACAGCCTTTTGAGGATCATAGGAATCTAGGATTTGTGTTGAATCACCCACTGTGACCACAGGTCATAAAATCTCTGGTATGAACACATGCTTCTGTTTCAATAGTGGACAAAGTCAATACCTGCTGTACAACAATGAGAATCCTTATGGAGATTTGATTCACCTCTCATTACTCTTTCCAGTGTGGCTCGCTTTAGCTGAGTCTGAACAAAGAGTAAAATTGCTTTTTTATAGATTTTAAAGTGTGGAAGAAATTACCTTTGTTTTTAAAGACTTATTTAAAGGAATTAAAGTCAAAATTAGAACAAATTAGTTAAAGCTGTGGGTATGAATAATATCAATTAGATAAAGATCAACTTTTACCTTCATTACCAGATATCTTATTTTGATGGTTCTTAAAATAAAAAATTAAGGAGATAAGGAAAAAATTTTAAGTCCAATAATACTTGAACAAAAATGTAAATAAATGCAATATAGTGACCAATTACCTCTTTTTTGGTTTTTTTTGGTTTTCTTTTTTTGAGAAAAAGTCTCACTCTGTTGCCCAGGCTGGAGTGCAGTGGGGTGATCTTGGCTCACTGTAACCTCTACCTCCCAGGTTCAAGCAATTCTTGTGCCTCAGCCTCCCAAGTAGCTGGGATTACAGGCACTCATCACTGTGCCTGGCTAATTTTTTTGTATTTTTAGCACAGATGAGGTTTCACCAAGTTAGCCAGGTGGTCTCGAACTGCTGACCTCAGGTGATCCGCCCGCCTCAGCCTCGCAAAGTGCTGGGATTACAGGTGTGAGCCACTGTGCCCGGCCAATTATCTCTTTCTTGAAGCACTTTCTTCACTTGGCCTCTGGGACACCACCACTCTCCTCGTGTTGCTCCTAGCTTACCAGACACTCCTTTGCTGTCTTCTTTGTTGGGGTTTCCTTTTATTTCCGATGTCTACACACACATATGGCTTAATAAGTGTATCTTAGTCTGTTTCATGCTTTAAATACTTTCTACAACTCTCAAGTGTCCATCTTTATTCCGACCTCTTGATTGTACTTCTGATTCACACATTCAACTAGTTACCTAGATTCACTGTTTGAATGTTTAAGAGACATGTCAATAATTTATTGTGTATTATCAAATAGCTAGAAGAATGGATTTTGAATGTTCTCAACATAAAGAAATAAGAAATACTTAAGGCAATGAATGTGTAATTACTCGGATTTGATAATTATACATTGTATACAAGTATTGAAATATCACACTATACTCCATAAATACGGATAGTTATTATGCATCAGTTTAAAACAATAAATTAAATTAAAGGCATGCCAAATGAACATGTCAAAACCCACTCTTGCTCTGGTGCGGTGGCTCACACCTGTCATCTCAATGTTTTGGGAGGCCAAGGTGGGAGGATCACTTGAGACAGGAGTTCAAGACCAGCCTGGGAAACATAGTGAGACTTCTTGTGCACCGAAAAAGAAAATGCACACACACAAACACAAACACACGAACTCCATTCTTAATTTTCTTCACCCAAACCTGCTACCCTACCAGTCAACCAATACATTTTTCTAATTTTAGGGAATAACAACTCCTTTCATCTAATTGCTCAAACCAAAAATGTTAATGTCTTCTTTGACTTCTTTCTCTCTCTCTCTCTCATCTAAAACTCCAACAACAAAAATTCCTCTTAGCTGTGACTTCAAGAAAAAGTTATACGCCCAGGATTTAATGAAGAGCCAAACTGACCTTCAGATAAAAAATACTGGAGCAAACCATATGATCATAAAATGATGAGTTCATGTCCTTTGTAGGGACATGGATGAAATTGGAAATCATCATTGTCAGTAAACTATCGCAAGAACAAAAAACCAAACACCGCATATTCTCACTCATAGGTGGGAATTGAACAATGAGATCACATGGACACAGGAAGGGGAATATCACACTCTGGGGACTGTTGTGGGGTGGGGGGAGGGGGGAGGGATAGCATTGGGAGATATACCTAATGCTAGATGACGAGTTAGTGGGTGCAGCGCACCAGCATGGCACATGTATACATATGTAACTAACCTGCACAATGTGCACATGTACCCTAGAACTTAAAGTATAATAAAAAAAAATAATAAAAAAATTAAAAATAGAAACATTTTGCTAAGAGCCTTATAAATATTGTCCAGAATAAAAGAATATTACATAGAATTGAATTTGTATTAAGAAGCAGGGAGAAGGTGAGAAAACAATCTCCCTAGAAGATTTTTTTTTTTAATGAGAGGAAACCAGTAGACAACACCTAATGAAAGAGGAATTAAGAGTATTATATGAGGTGTTGTATTAAATGTAAATATTACCATAAAAATAAAAATCTTTCTAAATATCAAAAATATACTGAAAGAGAGAGGGAGGAAGAGTGAGAGAGAACAGCCTACATAGTGGTATCTATAAAATAAATGAGCTTAACATACCTATTAAAAAGAAAAACATTTTCAGGTTTTCTAACAAAGCAAAACAAAACCAAACCCAAAAGATTCAGAAAAGTTAAAAACACAAGGATACAAATATGTACACCAGACAAATACAAAGAAACAGAAAGCAGGATATTTTTATATTTGATAAGATAGGATTCAACCTAAAATGTCTTAAAATAATTTTTTAAAAGGATACTTTATAATACCAGAAGCTATAATTTATAAATATAAAATTGATATTAGTATTTATATGCTCAAAAAATCAACAATTTTCATAAAGCAGAAACTATAGGAAATGCAAGAATGCAAGAAGAAATAGGTGGAAACACACAAAAAATAGAAAACGTTAACATATCACTGTCAATACAAGACAAATAGTCACACATTTAGTAAGAATATAGAAGAACAATTTATAAGATGTATCTTATAGATATATCAAACTCTGTACACCTGTAGTAGAGAATATATGTCTTATTTTCAGGTACACAGAGAATACTCATGAATACTGAGACAACCAAAAAATTAAAAGCTCAAAAAAAACCCAAAGAATAGAAAAAATATGAATGGTACTTTCTAAACATAAGGCAATAAAATTAAGAATTACTAGCACATTTTATAGACCCTTCAACATGAAAATTATTCATAGTCTTACTTTATTAAACTCTTAGGTCCAGGAAAAAAACAGACTGAACTTACATATTTTCTCTCTCCCTAATAATAAAGTACATAAACACTTCTTGAAGTTAAGTAGGAGAAATCGACTCCAGTTTTAAATTATTGGTATATGCTAGAGGAGACCAACTGTTTTTTCTAATAAGTAAATAATGTTGAATGTGTTTTTCTTCCTTATATTTTTATATTTATTTTATATTTTTAGCTGAGTTGGTTAATGTTTCATTTTTTGAATATTTATAAAAATGTGACCTTAACAAAACCGTTCAACTACTATCGTAGTTTGCATCTTAGAGTGTAAGAAGAAATAAAATCAAACATCAACCAAGTGTCCAAAATAATGTTTCCATGACCAAAACAGAAAAGTAATGATCAAAGTTTGATTTAAATTATTACCCTGAAATGGCTTTTTTATATTGGTTGGCATTAACCAGTAAACTCACAATGTTTAAAAGCAATTATTTTCAAAACTTGACTGAGCATAAGATTTTCCTTGATGTGACTATTAAAAATGCAGATTCAAGTCTCCCCTCTGTAGATTCTGCTTCCATTCCACTGGGCTGTAGGCTGGGTTGAATATTAAGCCAACTCACCAAGTGATTCTTACGATAAGCAAGGTTGGCAAAAGTCAAATCAAGGAGTGATCCTGTTACCATCCTAATGGGCTCACTTTAATGAATCCCAGGAGATGGAGAGAAGGAAGGCTTGCGTGGAAAAGGGAGCTTTTACCGTCACTCAGCCCCAACATCTGGATCGGAACTGAGGTGGGAGAGTGAAAGGTAAAGTTAGATAATTATGATTTGAATCAAAAGAATCTCTCCTCTAAAAAACAGAAAGTTATATACAAGTGGTTCTACAACTTGAATGAAAATCAAAATCCCCTAGGGTAAAACTCAGTGCAGCAGAACTGGGGCTTGGCCATGTGTTTTTTTAAACAAACACCCTAGGTAATTCTGATGCAGATGGTCCACAGGCCTCACTTTGAGAAAGACTTCTATAAATTACTTTTCAGACACATAATAATCATCAGCCTCCTCAAGCCTTTCCTGATGAATTCACTTGTCTTTCTCTTACTCTCCAGACTTGTTCAGCAGGAGTTTGTATGTGTGTTCTCTCTCTCCAAATATACTCAAAATTTGTTTAACAATGATGATGTATTTTATCTATTAGAACTCCCACATAGTAGATGTTAATGATACCTTGCAGATTGATTTCTTAACTAACATTTACCAAACACTATGTGTAAGAAAGGCATGGAGCTAAATGCTGAGTAAATGATATTTGATGATAGATGCTCCTTTGTTTCTCAGATGGCTTAATGTGTTTGGAAAGAGAGGAGGGGAGCCCAAGTGTAGACCAGTGTTTTCTTGTGTGTATTCCTTGAATGTGTGCATGTTTCCCACTTAGGCTCACACTCACAGCACAGCCAGGGCTAAGGCTATTTGCAATTTTGGATGAGTATGGAAGGAGGATAAGTCCAGTGTACGTGTGATGCCTTTGCCCCTTCTTGTAGTGAAATACTATGAGCACCATGAATAGCAATTGCATGATGCTTCAGAGATGTGGGTTCTAGGAGAAATTCCAGATGTCTGGCATCATCTCTTCCTAATAAAAGTATTTATTGGCCTCTCATTAGGTACCAGACACTGATACATGATTTTCATTCATTATCTCATTTAATGGCCACAGCAACTGTATAAAATAGCATTACATCCATTTCTAATTTGCAAGAAGAAAATGGGAGCAAAGAAAATTAAGTAACTTTCCCAAGACAAAAAGAGGGTTGAGCTTGGCTTCAGAACCCACTCCAAATTCTCCTCCACACAATTTTAGTTCAAACCACTGGGGAGGGAAATGGCCCCGGGCAATGACTTTTAGAAGGCAGAGGAAGCATGTTAATACTTAGACTTACCTCTACGCCATATCCTGTTCTTAGCTGTAAAACTCAAATCTCATCACTTTACTTAGTGAAACCTATCGATGGCTTCAATATTCATCCCAGACTCGTTAGAAAGATAACTAAAGCCCCTTAGCATTGGATTGAAGCTTTTCTCCTCAGCCCTCTGGAATCACTGGAATTTTTTCAAAAGTATTTTGCAAATATTATTCAATTTCTAGCTGAAATGGCTTCTTTCTCACCCCAAGTCTGCTCCTAGGGAAGAAAGAATACAGCTCTCCTAATTGACTCTCTGGAGCCAGTTAAAACCTTATCTTCTCATAAAAATTCTCTCTGTTAGGTTCCCACCTCCCAATAACCCAAACTGAGTTAGGCTCTTCATCTCTGCTTTTCCAAACATCCTGGGCCTACCTTTCATTATAACCATGATTCACAACTAATTAATAAAATTGCTCTGGTTTCTCTGGGAATTCCTTCTCATTTCTCTGTTTTCCTCCAATGTCCATTGGCAGTTAGGGGTAGCATCTGGGCTCAGAGATTCTTTCTTGGCTCATAGGGTTTGGTGCATGTGAGTGTAAAACAGGATGTCTCTGGAGACAGAGAGCCAGGTTGGATGGTTAAAAGTTTCTCTATCTGAGTTTGAAGGAGAGGCTGGCATCTCCTAGAGAGACTGCATATGCCAATGAACTCTGGTTCCTACTGGCAGAGGCCACTGGTAAGAGGAGTCTGAACCTTAGAAACTGTCTCCCTGTCTGGAGGTAGAGATACTTACCTTGTAGTCCTACAACCTCTTTCAAAATGTGTATTCTAGCCTTATGGCTATGTAAAAATATACTGAATACACATTTCTTCATCTTAGCTCTGATATCTGGCTACTTTTTCTTTCTTGTGAGATCCTCAGTCCCCTTCCTCCTCAAGGCATCCCCACATATAGCCCTTCTAGCCCATATTGTCACCCAGCTTCACCCTAAAATCCTCCACTTAGGCCAGCCTTCTGGTGCAAAATTTCCCATACCCAGAAACCTCTTGAATTGGTCATTATCATAGAAGAAATTAAGTCTCACGTTTTAATCCACTGTTTCTCTCTCTCTTTCTCTCTTTCTCTCTTTCTTCTCTCTTTCTTCTCTCTCTCTCTTTCTCTCTCTCTCTCTCTCTTTCTTTTTCCAGTGTTTCACTCTGTCATCCAGGCTGGAGTGCAGTGGTTCAATCACTGCTCACTGCAGCCTCAACTTCCTATGCTCAAGTGACCCTCCTGCCTCAGTCTCCTGCATAGCTGGGACTACAGGCGTGTACCACCATGACCAGCTAATTTAAAAAAAGAAAAAAATGTGAGGTCAGGAGTTCAACACCAGCCTGGCCAACTTGGTGAAACCCAATCTCTACTAAAAATACAAAAAAAATAGCCAGGTATGGTGGCAGACGCCTGTATTCCCAGCTACTTGGGAGGTTGAGGCAGGAGAATCAGTTGAACCTGGGAAGTGGAGGTTGGAGTGAGCCAACATTGAGAGGTGACAGCGTGCTGGTAGTCCTCGCCCCTATCCAGCAGGAAGTAGCTAGAGTGGTCATCGGCCAAATTCCCAACAGCAGTTGGGGTGTCCTGTTTAGAGGGGGGATTGAGAGGTGACAGCGTGCTGGCAGTCCTCACAGTGCTCACTGGCTCTTGGCGCCTCCTCTGCCTGGGCTCCCACTTTAGTGGCACTTGAGGAGCCCTTCAGCCCACTGCTGCACTGTGGGAGCCCCTTTCTGGGCTGGTCAAGGCCGGAGCCCACTCCCTCAGCTTGCAGGGAGGTGTGGAGGGAGAGGCACCAGTGGGAACCGGGGCTGCATGCAGCGCTTGCGGGCCAGCTGGAGTTCCGGGTGGGCGTGGGCTTGGCGGGCCCTGCACTCGGAGCAGCCAGCCGGCCTGGCCAGCCCTGCCGGCCCCGGGCAGTGAGGGGCTTAGCACCCGGGCCAGCAGCTGCGGAGGGTGAACTGGGTCCCCCAGCAGTGCCAGCCCACCAGCGCTGCACTCAATTTCTCGCGGGGCCTTAGCTGCCTTCCCGTGGGGCAGGGCTCGGGACCTGCAGCCTGCCATGCCTGAGCCTCCCACCCCCTCCGTGGGCTCCTGTGTGGCCCGAGCCTCCTCAACAAGCACCGCCCCCTGCTCCAGGGCGCCCAGTCCCATCGACCACCCAAGGGCTGAGGAGTGCAGGCCCACGGAGCAGGACTGGCAGGCAGCTCCACCTGCAGCCCCAGTGCGGGATCCACTGGGTGAAGCCAGCTGAGCTCCTGAGTCTGGTGGGGCCTTGGAGAACCTTTATGTCTAGCTCAGGGATTGTAAATACACCAGTTGGCACTCTGTCTCTAGCTCAAGGTTTGTAAACACACCAATCAGCACCTTGTGTCTAGCTCAGGGTTTGTGAGTGCACCAATCGACACTCTGTATCTAGCTACTCTGGTGGGGCCTTGGAGAACATTTATGTCTGGCTCAGGGTTTGTGAATGCATCAATCGACACTCTGTATCTAGCTACTCTGGTGGGGACGTGGAGAACCTTTATGTCTAGCTCAGGGATTGTAAATACACCAATCGGCACTCTGTCTGTAGCTCAAGGTTTGTAAACACACCAATCAGCACCCTGTGTCTAGCTCAGGGTTTGTGAATGCACCAATCAACACTCTCTATCTAGCTACTCTGGTGGGGCCTTGGAGAACCTTTGTGTCCACACTCTGTATCTAGTGGGGACGTGGAGAACCTTTGTGTCTAGCTCAGGGATTGTAAATGCACCAATCAGCACCCTGTCAAAACAGACCACTTGGCTCTACCAGTCAGCAGGATGTGGGTGGGGCCAGATAAGAGAATAAAAGCAGGCTGCCCGAGTCAGCAGTGGCAACCCACTCGGGTCCCCTTCCACACTGTGGAAGCTTTGTTCTTTCGCTCTTTGCAATAAATCTTGCTACTGCTCACTCTTTGGGTCCACGCTGCTTTTATGAGCTGTAACACTCACCACAAAGGTCTGCAGCTTCACTCCTGAAGCCAGCGAGACCAGGAGCCCACCGGGAGGAACGAACAACTCCAGACGCGCCACCTTAAGAGCTGTAACACTCACTGCGAGGGTCCGCGGCTTCATTCTTGAAGTCAGTGAGACCAAGAACCCACCGATTCCGGACACAACATCATGCCACTGCATTCCAGCCTGGGCAACAAGGCGAGACTCTATCTCAAAAAAAAAAAAAAAAAGGAAAGAAAGGAAAGGAAAGGAAAAGGAAAAAGAAAAGGAAAAAGAAAAGAGAAGAGAAAAGAAAAGAAAAGAAAAAAGAAAAGAAAAAATGTCTAGAGACAGGGTACCACTATGTTGCCCAGGCCAGTCTCAAATTCCTGGGCTTAAGCCATCCTCCTGCTTCAGCTTCCCAAAGTGCTGGGATTGCAGGCATAAACCACAATGCCTGGCCCTGTTTTCCTTATGTTTAGTTAATTAAAAAACAAACAACTTTTTATGACTCAATTTCTTTTGCTCACACCCCCTATATTCTGTTTTTGTTTTCTTCTCTTTACTATTTTTTTAATCTTTCAGATATTCTTCTTTTCAGGTCTTTCATCATTTACCTTTTATCGGTCAGTTTCCTTTTAATAGGTCACTACTAAATGCCCTAATTGGCAATTTAATTTGTTTTATAACAAAAAAATTGACATTTGATACATATTCATTAAGAGAATAGACACTGTTACCATGAGGCCTTACATTTCCCTAAATCTAATCATATCCTAAAATTATTCAAGTGTCACGTGTTTTGTTGAAGATTGTTTTTAGGTTTGATCTAAAATATTTCCTTATATAAAGGGTTTTTTGGGAAGAGAAAGCACCAGTGAGTAGGAGCCAAGATTCTGGTTTAACATTTCATGATTTGGGACCCCAAATGAATGAACAATTGGTTTATTACAAGATAAATAGAACAATCCCAAACTAAGTATAGTTTTGTTTTGTTTTCTGGGCCTTTTTTACATTTCCCCAGTTCACTGATAGAATTTTCTTCCTCCTGGTCACCTTTCTTATGTTGACATATGGTGGAATCCTCCATAAATATTAGTTATCAAATTAAAAGAATCACTTCTTTAACACTCTTGTTAGGTGGGAGAATGGTTGAATGTTGCATTTTTTTCTTATACAGAGGTGACAACAATAACCAGTCTTTAAGATTTTAAGAATAATGGAACTGATCCATTTATAGCTGAGTGCCTCATTCTCCTTTTAATCTGTAGTACATGTACAAAGTTAAAAACTTTATAAGACACTCGACTAGCCTAGTATCACAGAGTAAGTATAAATTCTGGGATTAGTTCCATATCCTTGATCTCATTCGCTTTTTTCCTTTAGTTTTCATAACTGAGATATCATGGCAGAAGGAGAAAGAATTAGATCAATTTCAGGAGAACGAGATTATAGTTCTGATTCTACTTCTAACACAGAGTGAAGTGGTGTTTAGGTCACTAAATCTTGTACAGTTGTCCATCAGTATCTGCAAGCATTTGGTTCCAGGACCCCCTGAGGATACCAAAATCCATGGATACTAAAATCCTTTATACAAAACAGCATGGTATTTGTATAAAACCTGTACACAGCCACCCATATACTTTAGCTCATCTCTAGATGACTCATAATACGTAATACCACATTACTGCTACATAATAGTTCTTTTACTGTATTTTTACTTGTATTATTTTTTATTGATATATTGTTATTTTTTAAATATTGTTATGTTGTTGTTTTTAAAAACATTTTGAACCCACAGCTGTTGCATCTGCAGACGTGGAACCCATGCCAACTGTACTTGGTATTCTTATCTGTAAGATGGTTTCGACAAGAGTGTTTCTTAAGATGCCCAAATGTTATGGTCATCAGAATTCTGTTAAGTATAACTAGTGATATGGTTTGGATCTGTGTCCCTATCAAATCTCATGTTGAATTGCAATCTCCAGTGTTGGAGGTGGGGCCTGGTGGGAGGTGACTGGATAGTGAGGGTGCAGTTCTCACAAATGGTTTACCACCATCCCCTCAGTGCTATTCTTGTGATAGTTAGGAAGTGAATACTCATGAGATCTGGCTGTTTTGAAAGCGTGTAGCACCTCCCCGCTCTCTCTCATCCTCCTACTCCATCCATGTGAAGTGCCAGCTTCCCCCTTGCCTTCTGCCATGATTAGAAGTTTTCTGAGGCCCTGTCAGAAGCTGAGCAGATGCTGGTATTATGCTTCCTGTACAGCATGCAGAACAGTAAGTTAATTAAACCTCTTTTCTTTATAAATTACCCAGTCTCAGGTATTTCTTTATAGGAGTGTGAGAACAGACTAATAATACAACTAGTCAGTAGGCGCTTTCATTACAAATAGTCTTTTCATTTTCCATGATATCATGTTATGTCTGTAACATGTCAATTCTATCTGTTTATTTAAGCCTAAACATGAGTGAAGGGAAGGAGAAAAGAAAGAAGGAGGGAGAGTTTATGAATAATCTAAAACATAAAGCATGAGAAAATTGACCTGATGGCAAGGTTTTGAATGCAATGTTATAATTTCATAATATAGGTTTTCAGTAGATAAATAAGTAAAATGTTTTCTTATATTGTCATACAGTCTTACGACAAAAATGTGTCTGCTCTCAGAATCTTTCAGTGTCCATCTTAAAAGGATATTGGATGTAACCTCAATGTTATTTGAATTTTGTCTCCAAATAATAACTGAGGATTACTGTCATGTTTAAGAAAAATTTGCTGATAGGTTGATCTATCCTGATTTGAAGAAAAGTATAAATTAAAATCCTGAGTGAATTATAATCTGATCTCAATGCCAATTCCTTTACCTGTATTTCATGTAAAATTAAGAAAGATGATAAAGAATCTCATTAGTTCTGCCTAAAACAAAAGCACTGTAGTAATATAGTGTACCATTAGAAAATTCTTCCATCAAACATTGTTTAATTTTATGAGCCTAAAGGATTAGAAGGTACCATTAAAAAAATCCCTTGAATAACCTTACTGTATGCACGTAGGGACTCAAAGCCCCAAAGGGTTATATGATTCTATATGCCAGTAACTTGTGCATAATTTGCAATCCGGAAATTCATAAGAATGTCATAAAATATTGAATGAATCATGGCTTATGAGTGTGGAAAAGGGGATAATATGGAGTAAGAAAGAAGAAACGAGAGAAAGATCTTCACAATTAAAGTTGATTGTATCTACTTAGGTGATAATCTAGAACAAGGTCAACCACAAATTTAAATCTGAGTGGCATGATAGAAATTTAAAAGTCTCCATAAAAGGGCCTCAGATATGTCTCATACATGACATATGACTAGAAAACCACAAATAAAAAATCATAAAATGTAGGTAGGTTTAAGTTAATGTTAAGTTTATGTTAATTTAACGAACATTTATTCAGTAACTAGTTTGCTGGGCCGTCTTCTAAACGTTTTATATGAAATCAATTCATTTGTTAAACTCTATGTAGTATATATCAATATTCTTATTTTACATGGGAGGAAACAGTCTCAAATGCTGAATTAATTTGCACAAGGTCATTGCAAAATGGTGATGCACAAGTCTGCTAGTTCTAGTTCCCAAATCCTTTTTATTATAAAGTGCTACACTGTATGAGGATGTGGAGTAGCAAAACTTCACAGAGTCTGATACAGAGTCAGTCACCAGCCAGCTGTGCTGTGTCATTACATCATCTAAACTTCTGAGCTTCCTCCTACTCATTTATAGAATGAACAGTGGGGAATTAGGCAGCAATGCCAGCCACTGCTGACCTATTCACCTTGTAGTGAAGGCCTCACTACGTAAAATGACAACAACAACAAAAGATCAGAAAAGAAAGAAGTTTAAGGATTAAAATAAAAATTGCAATTTTTCCAGACTACTTACTTATCTTTCAAAAAAAATACAAGAGAACTTAAAGGATATATTTAATAACTGGGCTGACCTTTTTAATTAGTTTAACGCATTATGTTAAAATTAATTTAAAAGGTCAATGTATTAAACTAATTAAAATATGTTAAAACTAATTAGAAAGGTCAGCCCAGTTGTTAAATATATTTTAAAATTAATAGCATTCATACAGACCAGCAAAAAACCAATTAGAAAATGTGAAAGGTAAAAAAATGTAACATTAGCAATTAGCAGTGAAAACTAGGAACAGACCTAAGAAACTGCAAGAGCTTTATACAAAAACTACACAATATTCTTGAGAGGCGTAAAAGACCTCAATAAACAGGGAGAGCTTCATTCCCTCATAAAACAAATATTTCATACCTATTTTGTGCCAGTCATACTTGTAGGCTTCAATTCTTAAGTAGCAAGACAGAAGGAGAAAGACAGAAAATAAAAAATAAATATAATGTTAAGTGGGAGTGAGTAATAAAAGTGAAAATGAAGGAATGTAAGGTAAGTTACTGTTTTATGGAAGGTGATGTAAGCTTCTGGAAAGAGAAACATTTTACCAGAGATGTACAGAGAGGAAGCAAGCTGTGGGAAAATCTGGGTAGATTCTCCCTCTACCCAGGCAGAGGGAGAACAATGAACAAGATAACATGCTCAGCATTGTTGAAGAGCAGCAAGGTGGTGCAGAATGAGGAATGTGGGTGGGAGATGAGGTCAGAGAAAGAGTAGGGAGCCAGATCGTTTTACTAACCAGCCAGATTCTACCATAAGAAATAATGTTAAAATGAATGAAATTATATCTTTGTTTGCTTGTTTATTTTCTTGAATCAATTCCCAGAAGGAAGCAGTCTGACTTTTAAGAAACAAACTAAAAAAACTTAATCCTGGATTGCTTACTGTAGGAATTGCCAACCTAATGTTCCCTTTCCCCTTATTTTTTACCATTAGAACTTTGCTTTTTCCGGGGTGGGGGGCGGGGGTGCTATAAGTGGCACAATTACTTTTTCCAGCTCTTTTGTTGCTAGGAATTAGCATGTGACACACCAGCCAATGAGATTCGAGCTCTTTATCTGCGGCTGACTTAGCACGTTTGTCTCTTGTTCTTCTCCCTATTTCCTGCCTGGAACATAGTCTTGATGTCTAGTGGGGGTTGGACTGGGAGCACTGAGGGGATTGAATGGAATGGTGGAAATGGAACCATCTTGTAATCATGAGGAAAAGGGAACAGGAAAGGATGGCTGAGTAAACAGGGAAGGAGCCTGGGTTCCCACTGACATCATGAAGCTGTCCTGCTAATCCTAGACTCTTCCTTCAGACTCATTGTTATCCTTGTTTTGTGGGTTTCTGTTGGTGGCTAAATACAATTCTTGAAATTATTTATGTAATAATCATCTTATGTTTATAGATTCCCTAAAAATCCAGTGTTTTCTTTATATATTTCCCTTCTGGAGTAGCAATAAAGAATATTCTGTGACTTGTATTATGGGATTATAAAGAAGAATGTCTTCTGTATATCTTGGAAGTCACATTCCTTGGGAGCCTGAAACCTCCCTCATAACTCCCTAGTTGTGACTTCTGGTACTTTTTTCTTTGGTCCAGGGAAACGAACCCTCTAAAACCACATAAGACTGTACAATTCCAAAGTAGTTACTTACTCAAGTTGATAAAGTCTGTCCAATTTTAAGGCAAATCTGATTGCAAATATATATAGAAAAATATATACATATATACATGCAATATATTATATATCTATCTTAATCATATTAGTTTTTCCTGTAGGTATTTGACTAGGCTTCCAAAAGAAATTTGTTGATTGATTGATAACAGGTTACTGTTAAAATGAGACAAAGATAATTCTCTTGAATAATAAATGAGATAGTTCTGAGGCTGTCTGAACAGTGCATGTGCAAGAGGAATGAGGAATGACCTAGAATAATATTTTTACACATGGGCTGAGTTCCTAGAACTATAACCCATTTCTGGACTTTGGTTTGGTTGATACTGAGAGGTTGGCTCTGAACTGGGAATTGGGGAAATTCAAGCTTGAGAGCTAGAGAAGATAGTGGGTGACCTATTCAGGGGTCCTTATCAGGGGTCCAGATTGGGGTCTAGGGTAGTCTTCCTAACAGGCACAGCACACCCAGCCAACTCACTAGGTGCAAGGAGCAGGGGAATAGTCACGTATGGTACTTTCTTTCTTTTCTCTTTTGAAAAAATAAAACCATAGCAAAATTATTGTTATCTGAAGTTAGTTCATTAGACTTTGGGGAGAATGGGGAAAACTACAAGAATAATGCAGGCTTTTTGTAATAATTCAAACAATGCTTAGGTGTTGTATTAAAAAATGTTAATATCTCCCTTTCCTGCCAAACCCACTCCATTCCATTAGACAACGTTCTCAGTCTAGTGTGATGCCTCACCTACCTTTTCCTATGCTATTTATAAACACATACAAAAATGTAGGATTTCCCCCTATTATTTTTCACAAGGATAAGAACATAACATATGCATTACTTTTAAATAATTCTTTATAGCAATTGCATAATAAGCTCTAGTATGAATGTACCACAGTTGATTCAAGCAGTCAGTTCCTTTTTACGACCTTGAAAGTATGTACGTGTGTGGAGAAATGCCATTTTCCTTTTCTTATAGGAGAGATTCATAGAAGTTGTCTGATTGGGTCAAAGAACTGTTAAGTTTAATAGACACTTTTCCACATGTGATTTTTGATTTGAGTTAGATGTATGAAAATTAGCACAATGAAGTACAGCTTTTCCGTTTCCCATTCAATACGGTAAAGGAGTGCATGAAACATGTAAGTTCTCAAGCTCTTTATCTCAACTAAAGGCCTTATCAAAAAAATTGATGTGTGTGTGTGTGTGTGTGTGTGTGTGTGTGTATCTTTCATGGGTGTCTCTGTGTGTTAAGACAAATCTGGCTTCATAGAGCTTGACCTGGGAAGTTTTGGAACTCCTGTAGTTATGATATCAGTCAGGGTTAAATCAGAGAAGCAGAAACACTATGATAGAGATAGATAGTAGATAGATACAGACATACATAGCTCTGTCATCTACAATTATAGATATAGATATGCATTTATACTTTTATAGTGATCTGACCATACATAATTGTAGGAGCTGGCTATGCAGTCTCTGTAAGATTTGTCTTTTTATTTGAGGCTAGAGCCTGAAATCCACAGAGCAGGCAGTAAGGAAGGGAAGGTGGATGTAAAATGCGGGTGAGCAAGAACAAGATGGAAGTACAAGCATGTGCTGGAGTATGTGAAAACACACTGGAGCCCATGCCATTTCTCATTGTCTCTGATCTTTATGGTGTGGGTGTCCTACATGTGCTGGGGAGCATTTGTCATGGAGTCAAACAGAGACACTTAGCCCAGGAATTAGAGAAGCTGATCCCTGAGGGAGGATGTGGGGAAGGAGGAGTAATTGCAATCTCCTCAGGTGTGTGAGCTACGAAATGGCTGCTAATTCACTTTTGGTCTCCAAATCTCATTAAATCTCTCATGTGGTCTGCCCTAACATGAAATGTACAGAAAAATAAATTCTGGGAAATGTAGTTCATCATAGCCAGGCTAACGCCTTACACCTTACAAAGCCACTATAATTATGATGAAAAAACCACAGTAGCAACCACCAACCTACCCTCAGTATTTCTGCAATATTATTTGGTTACCTAGCCAGCCCCCAAGGAATTATGTAGTGAAAAACATTCCCAGGCCAGGCGTGGTGGCTCACACCTGTAATCCCTGCACTTTGGAAGGGCAAAGTGGGCTAATCACCTGAGGTCAGGAGTTCAAGACCAGCTTGGCCAACATGGTGAAACCCCGTCTCTACTAAAAATACAAAAATTAGCCAAGTGTGGTGGCAGGCGCCTGTAGTCCCAGGTACTCAGGAGGCTGAGACACGAGAATTGCTTGAACCCGGGAGGCAGAGGTTGCAGTGAGCCAAGATCCTGCCACTGCACTCCAGCCTGGGAGACAGAGTGAGACTCTATCTCAAAAAAGAAAAAAGAAAAAGAAAACAGAAAGGCCGGGCACAGTGGCTCATGCCTGTAATCCCAGCACTCTGGGAGGCCGAGGCGGGCAGATCATGAGGTCAGGAGATTGAGACCATCCTGGCTACGGTGAAACCCCGTCTCTACTAAAAATACAAAAAATTATCCGGGCGTGGTGGTGAGCGTCTGTAGTCCCAGTTACTCAGGAGGCTGAGGCAGGAGAATGGCGTGAACCCAGGGGACACAGCTTGCAGTGAGCCAAGGTCACGCCACTGCACTCCAGGCTAGGCAACAAAGCGAGACTCCATCTCAAAGAAAAAGAAAAAAGAAAAACAACATTCCCAGAAAGATAAGATTGTTGGTATGACACAAAATTACGTGCTTGGATACACACAGATATTCACACAGACAGAAGCACATTCACTGATAATGGGTACTACAAAGTTTCCTATTTTTAACTTCTAATTCACCTGAGTTTCTACCTTAACCCTAAACCCCAATTTTTATTATTCCATGCACCAACAAAACCTAAAAAATATAACTTCTATATAATTTGAAAGTTAAAATACCTTATTTTATTTTTAAAATATGGTAGAATGTTTCTCAAGACAATTTTTGGCTCTTGTCGAAAGTTCTCAA
The DNA here is from genome assembly GCF_000001405.40 of Homo sapiens. Classification (NCBI taxonomy): domain Eukaryota; kingdom Metazoa; phylum Chordata; class Mammalia; order Primates; family Hominidae; genus Homo; species Homo sapiens. The sequence continues at coordinate 82,724,451 of NC_000005.10, forward strand.
AGTATCTTCATGCCATTTGTGTTTTGTTGTGGTATGTTAATACGCTATTAAACAAACTATACATCTCCTATCCATTAGCACCTTGGATAGAAGACAATCACTCTTCTGTTCAACAATGTCTTGTTGACAGCAATGTTGTCTCATGTGAGTGAGTCTTGGTTCAAAGGATATTTCTGTCTTTTATGACTAATATTACATTTAGCTAAAGGCATCCTTGTTCTTGGGTCACTATCATAGGAAATGGCACAAGTAGTTTTGAAGATGCAGGAAGCTAAAATCTTAGAAAATGCTGAGGTGTTCCATTTGGGTGTTAGAAGTATTATTGAATTCATACCAAGTGTGGTTGTCTCATGAATCTCGAAGACCTTTTCTTTTTTATTAAATTTAATGGTCTTTCTGGCTTCCTGTCTTCTCATCCTTCATTGTCCACACCACACATTTCAGCTGAGGTCACTTACAAACATACACAAGCCATTTTCCACCTCAAGTTCTGAGGCTGATACTTTTCTTAGTCTCACTAGACTAGCTCAGGTGAAGTACCTTCCAGTCAACCTTACCCAGTCCTGTTCTGACCCCATGCTCTGGTTTATTGCTGTTGTTGTCGTTACATAATATATTGCTACTATTAAAAATCTTAAGATGGCTGGGCGCGGTGGCTCATGACTGTAATCCCAGCACTTTGGGAGGCCAAGGTGGGTGGATCTCCTGAGATCACGAGCTTGAGACCAGCTTGGCCAACATGATGAAACCCCATCTCTACTACAAAAATGAGCTGGGCATGGTGGCACACATCTGTAGTCTCAGCTACTTGGGAGGTTGAGGCAGGAGAATCGCTTGAACCTGGGAGGCAGAGGTTGCAGTGAGCTGAGATTGCGCCACTGCACTCCAGCCTGGGTGACAGAGTGAGACTCCATTTCAAAAAAAAAAAAAAAAAACAAAAAACTTAAGACAAGAATAACAGCTTATTTCTGCAGAGTCTAAGTGTACATTGGGAAGGATTTGGCAAATATCTTAGAAACCAACCATATAAGGAAAAGGTAGTGATAGAACAAGGATTCTTACCAAGATAGCTGCTAACAGAAAAAGGTCCCAAAATGTAATATCTGAATCATTCAGGACACTTTTTAAATATTCGAATCTCCAAGCCCCATTCCAAAAATTCAAACAGCAGGTCTGGGATAAGGCTTAGGAAACTGTTAGAAAAATTTCTCAGATGATCTGAATGCATAGTTGGGTGTACAAAGAACTGACAAGTTCTGCTGACAAAGTTGCATTTTTATAGCCCATGTTTTATTTAGAGACTGCATTTCCAAAAAGAGATTTGTCACATGCTGAACAAGGACACCGTTGCTTTCTCCTATGGGGGTGGCTATTATGATTTGGACAATTGCTCACAGAAAAACTAAGATTGAAAGCTCAGAAGGTAGACTAGTACGTAGTCATGATCTTTAGCTCATGCTAGAGGAAGCATTCCTGGATGAAATGTGTTGCCATTCAATCAGTAATGTATTTTTTCCCAACTTAAGAAATATGAGGCTGGGCGCGGTGGCGCACGCCTGTAATCCTAGCACTTTGGGAGGCCGAGGTGGGCAGATCACAAGGTCAGGAGATCGAGACCATGGTGAAACCCCGTCTCTACTAAAAATACAAAAAATTAGCTGGGCGCAGTGGCGGGCGCCTGCAGTCCCAGCTACTCGGGAGGCTGAGGCGGGAGAATGGCGTGAACCCGGGAGGCGGAACTTGCAGTGAGCTGAGATTGCGCCACTGCACTCCAGCCTGGGCGACAGAGCGAGACTCCGTCTCAAAAAAAAAAAAAAAAAAAAAAAAAAAAAAAAAAAAAAGAAATATGTACCACTTTCTCCTAGCTACTGAACATCCGTGTTTTCTAATGTCCTTATATTGAGAGAATCTATAAGAATCTTCCAGAAGCCACTGACTTCAAAAGTAGATTTAAGATGATGGAACAAGATCCATTTTCTGATTCTTCAACACCTATTTCTGTCCCTTTACTACCAATATTGCCTATTATTCCACTTTATCTCACACATTCCTGGGTGAAATTTGTCAACATTCAACCAAGACTATATTGTAACAAGAAAGGAGCTAACTCGGCCGGGCGCGGTGGCTCACGCCTGTAATCCCAGCACTCTGGAAGGCCGAGGCGGGCAGATCACGAGGTCAGGAGATGGAGACCATCCTGGCTAACACGGTGAAACCCCGTCTCTACTAAAAATACAAAAAATTAGCCGGGCGAGGTGGCGGGCGCCAAGTAGTCCCAGCTACTTGGGAGGCTGAAGCAGGAGAACGGCGTGAACCCCGGGGGGCGGAGCCTGCAGTGAGCCGAGATCGCGCCACCGCACTCCGCCTGGGCAACAGCGAGACTCCGTCTCAAAAAAAAAAAAAAAAAAGAAAAGAGCTAACTCTTCCGTTCATAATTGGGTAGGAAATGTGAGGAAGGAATGACCTCTGCTACCAGATAGGTAACTCTCCTAGTAATGTGGACTTTTCCATTCTGATGTGGTTATTGAGATCACAAGCCTTAGTTCTTATGGGTATCAGGATGGATATCCTCTTAGGGAATAGACATTCACATCTGTCAGTCAGGCTGAGAAGAAGTGCATCTTGGGACAGGAAATGAGAAAATGGAAGTTTGATGTTACTCTGAAGGGACATATAGGATGAGAAGTTCCTCTGGGTCTTCTCCGACCTGAACAGGAGATGTTCAGAGGAATTCCCGGATGGTGAGGGAAAGAGGACCTCACTAAGAACTAGGCAGGGAGCAAAGTTTGTAATTGACAGGAAAGAGCCTATGGCACAGCATAGGGCTTTCCTTACTTAAAATCAGCCAGAGTCTGTGGTGTAGGATCGATCCTATAGGTAGAGAGCCAAGTGGTATCTCTGTGTTATAATTCTCTTTCATTAACTTGGAACCTTTACTAAAGTCTTGTTAAACTTTCTACACCGATCTTAGATATTATAGGAATGGAAAGGAATGATACGTTTCCTCACTCATTATAAGAGTCACAGACAACACTCCTATAACAAAAGACAGGTTAACAAGAAAAAAGCATAACAAACTTATTTAATCAAAGTTTTATGTGACACAGGAGCCTTCAGAAATGGAGACCCAAAGACCCAGGGAAAACTATCTTTTTTTATGCTTACGTTTGATGAAGAATGTACAACCATAGAAATGTGATTGGACAAAAGGGTATAATCTAATGGTCATAGACAAAGGGGAGAATCCAGCAAGGCCTATCTGTTCAGAGTCCTCTTGGCCTCTCTGTGTTGCATTACTTCCGCCTACGTATGGGCCAGGCTTCTTCAGAAATGAGAGTTTTCAAGGGACAGAGCAGCATTTCTCAATTTTATGGCTTGCTTTGGGGGAAAGCAGTTCTAGTTTCATTGATTTGCCTAAAAGAAGAATAATTCTGGTTTCTATGACTCACTTTACAGAAGAAAGAGGGGTGGATGACAGGAGGACAGGAGAAGATCGGGAAGGCCTTGCATCTGAGGCCCTTCCAATTTTCAGTTCAAAATATTCCACATGCCAAGGTGCCATACTTTGAGATGTTATGTTCTGAACCCCAATAATATGCAGGGAAGACAAAACTTGCATTGCCTAGGGTTTTCTGGGTTGCAAGTGACAGAAAATATCTTGTATTCATCTAAAGTAATAAAGGCCATTTATTGGCTTACAAAACTACAAAGTTGAGGAGTCAGCTTGCTTAATTCCTTGCTAGATCTGGAAATGCAAATGGGTTGCTGGAGATCTCTTTCTATCCACCCCTTGGCTCTGCTTCTCTTTCTCATAATGGCTGTGTTGTTTCTCTCCTGCTGTAGCCTTTCCTAGGGTGGCAGAGGACGCTTACTGGCCACCTTGAGCCCCAGTCTCTCACCAGTCCTTGTTCCACCTGACTTCTTGACAACCAAGGCTTCGAGTCCCAGTTATGGAAAAAAAAAAAATCCTTCCATATGCTAAGTTCTTTATGTTTCAGATGGGAAGAACAAGAAAAGGAAAATAGAACTTCTGAATGTAAGAAGAAAGAATATCATGAATATGGCATACTGCCTTCCTTATGCATTAGAAAAAAGAGTCAACCTATCTCTTTCCAAATCTAGGTAAGAAGATGGCAAATGTTTCCAAATATATTATCACTGAAAACTGCAACATCAACGTTTGAAAATAAAATTTTAAATCAGTTTTATTGATTTTTAGTAATCATAGCAACAAAGGGAATATAGTCAGGACCTAAGATAAAAATGCAAAACTGCCATTTGCTTAAGGAAAAAAATTAGTGAAATGGAAATGAGATACATTTAGGCCATGGAAAGAGGTAAATCTGTTTTATATCCACAACGTGCCATTTCTGTTTTCCCCTCAGAAGTCAGTCTTTTTCAGCTGCTGATACCCTTTTCCTTCTGTAAACTGTGATAATAAATAGGAATGGGAAATCACTATGGAAATAGGATTATTACTGCTGTTGAGGGACCTCCTTTCCTCCAGGCATCATAATTCCATGTGGAGGAATTTAGGATTAGCACTGCTCACCTCTCACTGTCCTTCCCTCGCTCCTACTCAGGGGAGGGAGAAAGGCAGGGCACAGGGGTCTCAGAGTTTCTGAGCTGTCTCATCAGACCACCCGGTTTGTGCTCTGCCAGGCTCTCTGGAGCCCACCATCCCAGAGGAGAGCTGCAGGAGCCCAGCTGTCAGAAACTGCTGTGTGTACATTTAAGGGTATAAAATTACTAACCCCTTTGGCTGCACATCTAAAGTGACATTGTGCAGTTTATCAGCAGCAAAAGTGATACTTTGGCTTTCATCTATCTGACTCTCGGTTCTTTTTCCCAACTGGTTCAGAACTCAAGTAGTCAGGAAAAGGGCGCTAGGTATTGACCCAACATTATTATTATCATAACAAACCACAGCAAAACTCATAAAATAAAGGACGGTGTCTTCTAAAGTTGTTTTTCACAGTAGCAAGGGAATGACTACATACGAATAGCTTTAAAAGGTGTGGTTTCCAATACGGAATTGAAACACATGCCAAATCGTTTTCCTGCCTGTGGAGCCAAAGAAAAGAGAGTAATTCAGGCTAAAATGCGAGGTACACCTCCAGCCTTGTGTGGAATCATGGAGCAGCCCAGAGATAATCAACAACTTTGCTGCTAGCTTTCTGCTTTGCTAATGTATGTGTCTTCATTTTTCTGAAAATTAGACCAATCTAAAAAAATTCCATAAACATTTTTTTCTCTTGCTTTATTCTAAATACCTGCTTCAATATATAAATGACCATTTTGCCTTTATAAGGAGAAATGAAGATGGTATTTCACTGTAGAAGTTGCACCATTACCTCAACGCTTGCCTCTCCTGCCTCTCCTTCTACCTCCTCCACCTCTGCCACCCCTGAGACACCAAGACCAACCCTTCCTCTTCCTCCTTCTCCTCAGCCTCCCCAACACAAAGATAAGGATGAAGACCTTCATGATGATCCGCTTCTACTTAATGAATAGTTATTATATTTGATCTTCCTTATGATTTTCTTTTTTCTAGCTTAATTTATTGTAAGAATACAGTATATAATACATACAGTATATAACACATAAAATATGTGTTAATCAACTCTTTATAAGGAAGGCTTCTGGTCAACAAAAGGCTATTAGTAGTTAAATCTGGCAGGACTCACAGGTTATACTGGGATTTTTGACTGTGCTAGGCATCAGTCCCCCAGCCCCCAAGTTGCTCAATAGTCAACTATGTTTGCTTGGTTGTATTTTTTGGCGCCCCTTTTCCTTAGTGCTTTTAAACACTAGGCAGGGTATAAGCATGGATATAGATTAGACAGACACAATTCATGCTGATAGTATTTAAAGGCATTACCATCTAATTCTATGTCTCAAATTATGCTCCAAAACCCAGTAATATTGACTTTCCTTTGTGGCTTTAATACTTTAAATTGATTTTAGAAAGGAACTTGACCAAAGAGCCATTATTACTCAAGAACAATGGTTCTTACACATAATGTGAATCATTTAAAAAATTCTAGATTTCTGAGACCCAGGTTCTGAGGTAGGACCTATGCAATGTGCTGTGATTACAGAGGATGCTGCTGTCAGCTAGACTTGTCCCTGCAGACAGCACAAACCTCCAAATATTTCAAATAGAAATTCCTGGCCAGAAGGTAAAAATGGTATGCAAATACAACCCTTACTCTCTGAAACTGGGTCGTTTACCTCCAGTTCTCCTGTCTTATGAGCACCTCCGCCGTCCTCCCACTTCTTGAGATTAATACCACAAACACATCACACACACACACACACACACACACACACACACACACACACACACACACACACACACCCCCCTCTCCCTGGAAACACAATGTTACCATTTTCTTCTCTCTCAGGCTAGTCGGTGATAAGAACTATGTTTAAAGGCCAAAATAGAACAAAGCTAACCTCCTTCATTGCAAACGCACAAGATGCCATTTAGAAAAACATTGATGCAATCACCCTGGCCCTGTTAAATAAGGGGACCCTAATGTGGCCCGCGATCAAACTCACTTCCTCATTAAGAGCACAAGCCTAAGGTAAGACAGAGCCTCCTTTGTTTAAAAAGAGGCTGTGTGAACTCTGCCACGGGTCCCCAGACACCCCTAAGTCCTCTGTTCTGAACTTGCAATTAAATCGTAAGAAACCAGGTACCACAGCAGCAGCAGTTTGACAGTAGATTCTTTCAGCACCAGCCAGATGTGAAAGGCTTTGAAAGGGACCAAAAGACACTCCTGTTGCCCAGGGAGGCAGGAAACGGTAACCTCTGGTTTGCAGCCCTACCATCATCTGATAATGCCGTTTCTAATATATTTCAATTCACTTTAATAATAGCAGCTGTTTTTTGCAAAACCAAAGGTTATTGATTAACCCAGAGCAAGTAGGAGGTCACTATTTGATTTGTTATATTTTTCAGCCTAAAATGACTTAAAAACAGCTCAATAGGAATGCTCACATCAGTGATATTTTACTACTTTCTATGCTCTTTTTGAAGTGTGAATAGAGTTTCACAAATTAAAGGGAAAAACGTTTTCTTTTAAAAAAATTGTAGGTTATTTTCAGAGAATTTGCTCTATGGAGAGGCATAATAAAAAATCTTCCTCCGGGAAGACTGTATTATAGTGTCACTAAATTCAGTTCTATTCAACCTCTATCAGCAATTTGGAAGATGTAGAGGATGACTTTTTACTGTCTGAAATTACACAAAGCTTAGAGGGATATTTAATGTAATAAGCTACTTCAAGATGAAAAATTATCTTGACATTAGAATCAATAATACAAAATTTGTCAGCAATAAATATGAAAATTTACATTTAGGATTTAATAATCAATTATGCAAGAACGGAATAAAGGAGGCTGGGTTCCTTTGAATTCATATGAGAAAAATGCCTCAGAGTTTACTTTATCATAAGTGCACTAGGAATTGGCCACATGGTTTGGCTATTTAAAAATCTAACATAATTTTGGACTATATTAATAAAATGTAATTTGTATATTTAATCATTTTGTATTTACCCTAGTTGGACCATATCTGCAGTATTACAGTAAACTCTGTACCTTGCATTTTAAGAGTGACTGGGCTTGTCCAGATGGTTCAAATATCAAGGAATTTTAAAATTCCGTCAGAGAGTGTTAAACAAACTGAATACATTTCTTCTAATACTGCCTCCCAACCAGCATGGAAAAATACTGTTCAGCATCTATGCCTGATGGTCACTTATCTTGTTTAGAATATGTTTAGTTATACAGAGATCATTACTCTGCATTGTCAGGCAGGTCTCACTTTAAACTCCTTTCGAACTCTTCCTCGTGTTATTGCCACTCTTTAATTCTAGATTATTAGTAACCTATTTTTCCTTGCACTTTCTCTTGACAAACCATTATAAACTTGAAAGCCTACTATGGCTTCTTCAGAGGATGTAAAGAGATTCTTTCTTTCTTTCAGAAAAATCAACTTGCAAAAAAAAAGAAATGTATTAGTCCATTCTCATGCTACTGACAAAGACATGCCTGAGACTGGGTAATTTCTAAAGCAAAGAGGTTTAATTGACTCACAGTTCCACATGGCTGGGGAAGCTTCACAATCATGGCAGAAGATGAAGGAAGAGCAAAGGGACGTCTTACGTGGTGGCCAGAAAAGAGAGAATGAGAACCAAGTGAAAGGGGTTTCCCCTTATAAAAACATCAACTCTCGTGAGACTTACTCACTACTATAAGAACAATATGGGGGAAACCACTCCCATGACTCAATGATCTCCCACCGTGTTCCTCCCACAACACATGGGAATTATGGGAGCTACATTTAAAGATGAGATTTGGGTGGGGACACAGCCATACCATACAAAGAAAAGCTTATATTGATAAGCAAAGCTTATCAATACAATAATAAATATAGATGTCCATAAAGTATTTAAGACCCCATGGTAAATACAGATTATAATTTCAGAAGGCTATTATTTAATTACTGATAAATAATCAAATTTTTAAATTTGATCAATTTTAAAATTCTTCACCAATTTTTATGTTTTGTCATTTGAGAGCCTTGGCTGATCTTTAAACATGCTTAGTAAATTTACCTGAAAGACCCACTTCGAATTGGTACAGGATACTCCTCAGCATTCATTTCCTATCTATTCAATTTCATGACTAAAGCAAGCTGTAGCTGGTGGCTTGAGAATTAGTTTATTTTTGCCTTTAGGGAAATTTAACAAATAAGTAATGTTCTGACTGGTGAAAGTAATAATTTACTATTTAAATTAAATTATTTAATTAAATAATTAAAGGTCCTAATTACTATTTACTTCACTGAAGACTTACCACACACAGGTAAAGAGAAACCATCCCATGGAAGTTCAAGCTTCCCCTCTAAAGTGTAAGTCTGCTGAAATGAATTGACAATACACATTAACAGAAGAAAAGCCATAACAAAGTTATTCGATCATAGTTTTATATGACATGAGAGTTTTCACATTGATGACCCAAAGGCTCAGGGTGAACTATCCATTTTTACGCTTAGGTTCTATTAATCATGGACAGCCATGTAGGCATATGATTAGGCAAAAGGCTATGATCTAATAGTAATAGACCACGGGGGAAACGCAGCAAGGCAGGTTAGAGCAATATTTTTAGAGTCACAGTTTTAGGTCTTATGGCTGGCTTTGGGGAAAAGGGATCCTGGTTTCTATGACCGCCTTAAGGAAGAGAGATTCTAGTTTCTATGGTGTGCCTCAGGGGGAAATGAAGGATGAGAGACAGGAGGGAAGGAGAAGGCCAGAGAAAAATTTTGTTACTTCTGAAGTGTTCGCTTTGGGGTATCATTGTCTGAGCCCAACACTATCAAAGATCATGGGTTTTCATGTCATGTCATGTTTGTAATTAATGATTTAAGGCCTATTGAGAGAAAGAGGAGGAAGGAACATGCAAGAAGTGGGAGCTAAATAATTCCAAATTAGAGCCAGCTCACTAATACCCCTAAGTATCAATATACCAAGCATGTTGAGAGAATCTCACACCTCAGCCCTCATGTGTTAAATGCTCCACCTGCCTCTGACACAGGCGATGATCTCAGAGGCAGTCCCATGTCCTTAGACTTACCTCCCAAAAGGAAATTTGTTATCCATCACTCCCCTACATTCTTCAGACAGCTCTGGTTTTTCCAAGTAGAACTTTCTTCAGTCTATCTGTAGCAATAGCAGAAAATATTTCCTTGGCTTCCAAATTCAAGGAGACTTGTGCATAGAAATTCTATTTTTTTTTTTTTTCATTTTTGGTAAGTTTTAGTGTCAGGGGCAAATGTCAGGTTTCCCTGAGGTCATTTGGGAATTGAGGATGTCCCCATGTGAGATATTGCCGTACATGAAAAGGGCTCTGGGTGATAGAGAGACAAGAGAGGAAAAGAGAAAAGGAGCCATGTGGAGACTGGAGGTCTTGGGTGGGAGTGCTGACAGGCACTGGGTGGGGAGGCCGAGTTTATTACTCTGTTAACAGGTTCCTTTGTAAATTCATCATTTGAGGGGAGTCCTGACGCAAGGAGTGGGAACTGAGAAAAGAGAAAACAGGAAATACACGCCAACAATAAAAAGCAGGCTTTCAAATGAAGAACAGAACATCCAAAATTTCAGCAATGAGAGATGTAAAATTCATGGAAACACTGACTCACGAGGTCAGTTAGCCATAGTTTAATGTCTTTAGTTCACTCTTTCTTTCCCTTCCTCAAAAGGAAGAATAAGGAGAAAATAAAAACTTTTATCCATAGTATATAATATCAAATGAAGTATATTTCAAAGCATTGCACAGAATTAACATCCTTGCTACTTTAATGCTGTAGTTAATTGTCTGGCCTATATGAAAAACTGAAAAATGAGAGAACAGTGAAATGAAGCAGATGCCAAAGGATTCTGGAATGAGAACAAAACACATCAATAATCCATGGGCAGATTTTCAGAAGTTTACAGATGATAATCCTGAAATATTGATTCAGCATTTGTTTTGTTTAGGACAGTCTTAAGTACTTAGAAAAAAAAATCTTAAAATATATATGCCTAGTCAAAGATTCAAAGAGCAAAATGAAGCTATTTATCTCCAATCAATGTATAAGCATGTAAATTTTTTTTGTAGGTGACTAGATAAAGACAGAGAAATCTAGAAATGCCACAACCTTTTAAGGTTTTGAATTGCATTTCAGAGAGTCTGATAGTACACAATATTCAGAAATTAAAGAGACGGTTCCCTTCTACTTTCTTTTCAATCGCTGCCTCAAGAACAGGGGACCTTTGTTACACTCCATGGTATACTGAGCATATGTATGGGAAATATCCTGTGTGGCTTAGGATGAAATAAATAACCTCCTGTGGTCACAAGCCACTCTGCAAAATGGCACTAAGAAGACTGAGTTTAAAGGCAGAGGCCTTTAAGCATGGCCTTTGGAATCAATTGGTTATTAACATTGTTATAACACAGTTTAATTTTTATATGAACATTAAATAACACTTATTGAACAAGCTCAATTTCAGGACTTTTCTCCCCATTTATCTCACAAGTTTTTTTTTTTTTTTAAAGGCAACAGAAAAGGTCTCCCTATATTAGAAGTCCTAGAGTGACAGAGGAAATGAGTCATCAAGATAATTTATGAACTTTCCCATAGCTTGCAATGCACGAGCATAATAATCCTTTGTTATTTAGCCTACTCAGAGACCAAACTCCAAGACCTTGATGGAACACAATTAAAACAGGATTTCTGTAGACTCAAGTCTCTGCTTCACATCCAAAAATGGTTTTACCTTATTGCAATATACTCAATTAATTTTTTTTTTTTTTTGAGACAAAGTCTCGCTCTGTCACCCAGGCTGGAGTGCAGTGGCGCGATCTCGACTCGCTGCAACCTTCACCTCCGAGGTTCAAGAGATTCTTGTGCCTCAGCTTCCTGAGTAGCTGGAATTCCAGATGTGCACCATCACGCCTGGCTAATTTTTGTATTTTTAGTAGAGACGGGGTTTTGACACGTTAGCCAGGCTGGTCTCGAACTCCTGGCCTCAAGTGATCCACCTGCCTCGGCCTCCCAAAGTGCTGGGATTATAGGTGTGAGCCACGGTGCCAAGCCTCAATTAATATTATTTACTATTTTTCACTTTTCTACTGTAGTCACAACAAGCTAGTCTCGGTAAGAAATTATTTTTAAAATGAATTTTTAAAAAGTTTCTGGGTTTTAGGAACTTATAATTCATAGGAGAAAAAGAGAAGCCCCAAACAGCTGGCATACTCAGTAAAGTATATGGTGAAAGTCACAGGAGAGCTTCAAAGTATTAGAAAAGAGGTAATTTGCATTCCAACAGATTTTTGTTTTATTTAATAATTGAAGCTTCTGGATCAATGGGGAAAAACGAATCAGGCATGATGTTTAAAACTCTGGTTATTTTTGAGAATCTTTTGATAGGGAGTCAAAATGATGTTCTTCAACTCATTTCCAAAGAAAAAAGTGTTCAACAATCTTAACGACCTAAAAGGTGTGTAGAGACTTATATTGTTAAAGATAGTCACGTTTTCCATAGTTTTGTAAAACTGTACTTTCTAAATGCAATTGTACTTTCTAAATATACTTTCTAGGTATAGTAGATATTACCTTAAATATTCTCCCGCCTGTGAAATGTCATTTAGCTTGACTGGGTGTTGAAGGGTGTCCTCCAGGCTCAGAGCAAGGATAGCCTTTCACATCCTGTCTCCTCTCAAACACTGTGTCTTAAGGCACCTATCCTCAACACCTTGGAAAATTGGGCAAGGCCTGGCCTTCTGTCTGCCACATTATTTATCATGTGGATGTGATCTATTGACAATTCTAGACACCACGCATGGGAATAGGGGTTTCTAAGTTAACCCATCAACTTCTCTCCTGAGCAGCAAGAAACTCCATTCTATTTGGTAATATTTGCTGAGTCAAATTCTGGTTTGGTAAAAATATGTTAAGAGTGGATCCAATTCAGTCCTGAAACACATCTATGCACTCCATGAGGACCACACTGGATATTGTTTAGGCCAGTGCTTTTAGTCCTGGCTATGCTAGCCCACTTACCTGCCTTCCAGGAGACTGCTAAACCGCATGTCTGCACATGAGCACAGGTGTGTGCTCATCACACACAGTTCTTACATTACATGAGGTTAGCTCCCAATTGCTCATTAGAATGTTAAATGCATTTTCCTAAAGGTTAAGCACTTACCAAATTATGCAAAACATAAAGATTAAGAATATTTTTTTCCCATTCCTAGACTATGGGCCTGTAGGAGTGAAAAGGTAATAATACCTTTTCTTCATATATTATGAGAGTCATGGCCAACACTCCTTTAACAAAAGACAGGTTAGCAAGAGAAAAGCATAACAAAATTATTTAACAGTTTTCTAAGACATGGGAGCCTTTAGAAACGGAGACCCAAAGACCCAGGAAAAACTGTGTTTTATGGAAAGTTTGAAGAGGAATGGACAGCCATGTGGAAATGTGATTGAACAAAAAGGGTATGATCTAATGGCAATAAGCTGAGGGTGGGGTGATGGGGAGCAGTGTGGGAAAGGGAGTGGTATCCCAGCAAGGCCTGTCTGTTCAGGATCTTCTTGTCTTCTCTGTCTAGCACTCCTTCCCACCACATATGGGGCAGAAGTCCTCTGGAATGAGGGTCTTATGACCTATTTTGAGGCAAGGTAGGTCAGATAATTCTTTTACAACCATGCTTCACACAGAAAGGTGGAGGAAAGGCAGAGTGACCTTGCTTCTGAGCCCCACCCAATCTCCTTCAGTTCAAAGCACTTTGGGATAGTGTTTTCTGAGCCTGACAGGCTCTAGTTTTTGGTTTGAAAAATGTGATCACCAAGTATATACAACAACGCTCCTGACCCACATTAGTAAGGCATACTTTTTTGCAGTTTCCTAGTAATAATCAATCCCACTTAATTATATGAGAATAATAAATGTATTTGTAAGATGCTTGGCTAGATCTTGAAATATTGTTTGAATCAAGTTACAGCCACTACGTGGAATAATTGGGGACAAAGGGAGTATTTTTTTGAAAATGATGCACTACACAACTAGGAAACAGTAAGATGCACATAAGTCCCACACAGGACCAACAACTCGAAAGAAACCAGTGCAATCACAAAATTCTACTCTATTTTCCCATCGCTCAGATGCTTATAATCCCTTTTCCAGGAAAGCTTTTCCAAAATATGATTCTTTTAAGGCATACAATTTGTGCACCCATGCACTGCTTCCAAGTCGGGCACTTCTACTTAGAAAGATTTCTACAATATGTGGGATTGACTCTTATGTTCATTGAGGTTAAAAAATTGCTAATTAGCCAGGGTGTTTAATAATAATAAAACACCTAGACCTGATGATTCAAGTGCTAAACCTAACTTTATATTATGTCAATTTAACAAATAATAAATAATTATTTTTTTACTTAAAGGATGAGGTGGGGTGGAAGAAGCAGATTTTTTTTAATAGTCTACTATGAGTTATGTATTTTACAAACAGTATCTTCCTTCCACTACATAACAAGTTCTGTTCTTATCCCTTTCTTACTTAGGAAGAGGACATAGAGACTCAAAGAAATTAATAACTAGCCTGATGTCACACAGCTAGTAGTCAGCAGAGCTGAAATTTGGTATTTGCTTGGCTGCAAAATCCAGGCTCTTTTCAAAACTCCAAGCTGTTTCTTTCTTACCCAAGTTGGGCTGATATTGCCCAAATGAAGAAGAGTAAGCCAAAAACCTAAAACCAAGGAAAGGCAGGGGGGAATGTCCCTGTGTGTTCCACGTTTACTTTATTCTTTCCTGGCAGCTCAAATAACCACAGAATCCCTGGTGATCCTAAGCATTTGACGATGACTGTGAGAAGCACTTGCATTGAAGAACTAACTAATCAACTAAATCACTCCAACATGTAGTACATTGCAGCCTTCGTTTCACAGTATGCCTGGGAAAATGAGATATAAAAGAGAGAAAGTACTTCAGGTCCTTTTATTGGAGTGGAAACATAAAAGAGGAGGTTAAGCAATAACACATATGAACAGTCATTTGCAATTACTTCTAACGCAATCTGGATCCATGGGTCATATGATCAACTAGCAGTTTGGGCACTTCAAGGCATAATAATTTCCTCTCTTTTCATAGATCAGAGTCATAGAATAACTCTCCCAAGTCGTAGGTTTCTACATGTCTCTATAATTAGCCTTTTGGCGCTACCCAGTCTGCTTTTTAGCCTTTTAAGTGATCTTCTAACACTTTTCTCCAAAACCTTACGCCTGTGGTTTGCCAAATCTCCCACAGGTCTTCTTCTTAGGAATCACTTTCCTTTTTCTTATTTTTGCATTGTTCCCCCTTATTAATGACAGACTAAATTTACCAGTTGGGAATCTTCTTAAGGACAACATGTAAATCACGTATTTAGGATTAAAGTGAATTTCCAAAATGGTTATGTATACAGATGAGCCCAAAAAGTCCAGTTAATAAATGATCTTTCTGAGTTGTGGAACTGAGATACCATTGAGCCTATCTCTAAACATAATTTATAGCAATTTATAGCACTGTTTTTTTATCAGAAAAAGAATGTGTTCCCAGTTCTATATCCATTTATTTACTAAACACATATTAATGAATGCCTACCTGGGGCCAGATTTTATGGATAAAATGGTAAGTAAAAACCATGAGTTTCTGGAGCATTCAATATAGTGGTTGAAATAGTCAATTAAACACATTTATATACACCCCAAAACATATGAGACAGTGCAGGATGCTACTGAATATACTGCAGGGATATGTCACAGCCTAAATGATGGACAAGAGAAAGCCAGGTAAAAGTAGTGACAAAGGGAAGGGAAGAGGTGACAGGCAGAAAGAACATGTGTGAAAGATGAAGCAGAAGAGAACACAGTTCACTGAAACCACTTTGGAAAGCTGAGCAAACTGGAACTCAGGTACAAAAAAAATTAGTGACAGGTGTAGTGGGGCAGGTGAACATTGGTTGGAGTTCACAGGGTTTGGAAACTAAGTGAAAGGGTTTATAAACATATTTGAAATTTAATAGGACATGGCATCCTTAGCAGCAAGATGAATGGATAGACAACAACAATATTAAACTATATAGTAAAAATAAATGAAAGGGAATAGAGAAAATTAAATAGCCTGGAGGAAGCTATCCAATATAAAGTCAGGATCCCTTTCCTGGTTTTAGGAACTGAGCCCATTTTTAGGCTCAGAGCTTACTGACTGTGGGAGAGGCCAGATTCCTAAGGAAAAGGATCCTGCAATATCATGGTAATTATAAGAAGTAATAATGCCCCCAACCTTCTCCAAAGGAGGCCAATTGCTCATTTAACTGTGTTCTTGAAAAAGGATAATACCCAGATATGATGAGGTCTACAGTACATAGGGTTGAAGTTGACATTGGTACCAAGGGACCTAAAGCATCAAGGTGGCAAGTTGTTTCCATTGAGCTTTTTCTATACTAGAAAAGTCAGTGATTTGTCTTGGCTGGAATTGTCATGAATTCTGAGACAGGGCCTCAGCCAGCACCACTCTTTAAGGGCTTACAGAGTGTTTGATGCACTAACATGGCATCCTATCTATCACTCAATCAAACAAAAGAACACACTTTAAAATAAAAGTGAGGATGCAGTGGGCACATCCCCATGGGATTCACTGATCCTACCACATACTAGAGCACCTGGAAGTTGTCAGGCTGAAAAACAACAAAACATCCTTGTATTGATGCAGCTGAAGTAGTGGTTTGGAGATGATACTCATGAAGATGAGGTACATTCCTGCAGCACAGAGTCAACCACAAATCAATGACTATCATTTGTTGCTTTGTCCTCACTGAAATCCAGAAATCAAGAAATCAAGAGCAGAAACAGGAGTGGCCCCACTTATTATTGTGCCCAGTAATCCACTCCCTACATGGCTAGGGTTTACAAGCATGCAGTAGCTGCAAAGTCTTCTTAAGATGTAGGTATAGAGCTGGGACAGTGATGTTTCTGCTACATTTCACTGGTTAAAGCAGATCACAGGGCTAGTCCATAGTCAACAGGTATCCATTGACCTTTCCAGCATAAAGAGGCTTAATGTAAAAACTCACCATCTTGATGCTTCAGGTCCTCAGGTGTCAATGTTAACTTGGACTTTGTGTCCTGAATTCCTCAAAATATTCCAGTATTCTCTTTTCCCTGGAATACAGTTACATGAGTAAATTGTTATAAGCCCCATTGGGGAAGTCTGGGGGAATTATTATTACTCTATATACGTACCATGATGCTGCAGGGTCCTTCCTCCTGGGGACCTGGCTTGACTATGTTGCCCTCTTTAGGGACAACAAAAGGGCATGAATACTGGGAGTGCAATTCACTGGGAACCACTAATGTGTCAAACTACAACACTCTCAAAAACTGAATTCACCATTTCCCTAACATTATTGATTGGAAATCAGATTCTATCCTGTTTCAAAGGCAGTGACTTAAGTAATCTTCCAACATTGTATAGGAAAGCACCTCTAGGGTAAAGTGAGGGCTCCCCTTCTGAGCACACAATACCTGTTGTCTCCAAGGTAGGATTGCAGACGTGGGTTAATTAGTACAAATATCCTAGGTCTTTTCTTGTGTGGTCCTGTATTTCTGCCTTAGGGTTTTGTGTTTTTGTCAGGTAAACTTTTTCCTGGTAACTGTAGATCCTGTAAATATTCTTAATGTCTAGCTCCTCTGACACTTCTCTCTCTCATTTTTATTTATTAATATTTGTGGATAGGTAGAGGAGGGAGAATCAGGAGTAAATAGTTTCCTGTTTTCATAATTAAGAACAAGAGTTTGGTTCAGTAATTTAAGGCTAGGGTTAGTGAGGGAAGTCAGTGGGGAGAGGAGAGGATGAACAGCATAATCTAGGAAACTTTTCAAATTATATAGTTTGCTCTCTCGAGTTAGTAGAGAGCGGAGAGAGGGAATTTGAGGACCACCATTATTATCTTTTTAATGCAGAGCAGGTTGCAAATATAATCCTTACTTTCCCAAAGTTTATTATTGAGGGATATTTATCTATAATTTTCATCTAAACCCTAGTTTATCATTTATAATTTTAAAGTTCTTTTAACCACAAAATGTTTCACAGAAGCTGACTTTTAGCAGTTAACATGAGCTATCATTGCTTTTTTTTTTTTTTTTTTTTTTTTTAAGAGATGGGGTCTCAACATCTTGCCCTGGCTGGTCTCAAGCTCCTGGGCCCAAGCGATCCTTTCGCCTCATTCTCCCAAAGTGCTGGGATTACAGGCATGAGCCACTGAACCTGGCCTATCATTGCTTTTCGTGAAAGTTTTTCTTATGTCTGTACATACCTGATAGGTAAGATAAAGTATGAGATACAGTATGAAAATTTTGAAGACATAGAATGTTGTTTAGAAAGAAACTTAAAATTTGACAAAAAGTAAATGTATTTTCAGTACCCTATCTGTAGGCCTCTTTAGATACCTAAAATTACATTGTTAGTTTCTCAACGGGTATGATTTATGCATTTATCCTTTACACAGTGACTTTAAGGGATGTAGTCTCTGGGTCAAATTATTATTATGAGTGAACTGGAGGTTTCTGGGTTTTCTGCATACCACCAAAGTAGCTTGAGTCTTTGATCATGCTAAAAACCAACTGTCCTAAATCTGTCAGTGTACCCCTGCCAAACTCACAGTGAAAAGCGTCCCCTTGATAGCTCAAATTCCAATTCAAAATTTGGATTCTAAATGGAACCCAAAATTAAAACATTTAACAGGAGATGATAAATGGTTAATATAAAAATATGCTTAACTCCTCTCAAAGTGAAATGGAGATTAAAACTAAGCCAGGATACTATTGTTAACTATTATATAGGCAAAGATTTAAAATATTCCTAGTAAACAATTTTGAATACTCTATAGGAAGACAGGCATGCTTACATATTGTTGACAGGGGCATAAATTGGATACTTTTAGATACAACTGTTATTATTTTTAAAGACTTTGTTTTCTACAAAGATTTCAGGAAGTGTTATGGCTCTGTTTTACTCTAAAATGCAATCTTGAAAACAAATTTTTAAAGTTTTTACAAAATCATATTCAACCTAATCTCTTCCCACCATGTTCCCAAAAACATTTCTTACTTTTTTCTATCTATAGTCATCTCCAGATTCAACCATTTCCATCACTATTGACCTCTGCCTGCAGTCCACTAAAATGATCAGATATCCTGGAACTGAATCAGTGTGTTGATTAACTTGTTGATTACCAGTCCAAAAAATTCAGTAAGTGTTTTGCATGTCTTGCCAACATTTTAAATTTGGGTACTCGGGAGGCTGAGGCAAGAGAATTGTTTGAACCTGGGAGTTGGAGGTTGCAGTGAGCTGAGATCGTACCACTGCCCTCCAGCCAGGCAACAGAGCGAGATTTCGTCCCGTCACCCACCCCCCCAAAAAAATCTGGGAGTGTTCACATAAAAACCTGTATTTCTGGCCATCCTTAAATACTGGCAACTGAGTCTATATTTCCATATAGTGTCAATATAATAAAGCTGATGAGCAGTCGCTGAAGAAAGTCACATGTAAAGGAGCTTAGGAAATATAAAATCTGACTGCACAGCCATGTGCCCGGCAACAATTAAGTCTACCCATATGCAAGAAGGGGAGAATGAGATCTTACGGGTTGCTAGTGATCTCCACAATACCATTAGATACACAGTTTATCTAAAGCAAAGACAAAATGCACTTGGTATTCAACATTTTTTAAATGATTTTTTTATTCATTAGAGGATGGCCTTTCAAGAATGAGATTCCAGTTCCAAAATGGCAGCAGAGAGGCAAGAAGATTTCTCCCTGTGCCACTATATATGTATATATATATGTGTGTATATATATATATAGTGGGTATATATACGTGTGTGTATATATATATAGTGTGTATATATATATATGTGTATATATGTGTGTGTGTGTATGTGTGTGTGTATATACAGTGCTGAGATTTTCACCAGTAACGTGACAGAACTCATATACAAGGATGAGACAGTTCCTAGGGCCACAGAGAAGTTAAAAAACTGACAAGATGGTAAGAGAATCAGATTCCATATATGAGATGTCCCTCTCCCATTCTGCCTGGCACCAAGCTGCTGGAAAATCTCCCGCGAACTCACAGTTTCTACACTGGAAAATTGAGTTTGAGGTGGACAACCAGCTTCTCCACCATCCTGAGTTCCCTGGCAGAAGTTTCTACACTGGAAAAGTGAGTTTGAGGTGGACAACCAGCTTCCCCACCATCTTGAGTTCCCTGGTGGAAGACTTTCCCTGCTTTAACTCATGGAAGTACTGTGAGTGCCTAAAGAAAGACATGTCCCTGAGGTTAGGCAGAGACAAACAGGGGAGGCAGAACTACCATCCCCAGCCCTGGAAACTCTGCTCTGTAAATGGGCCAAAGGAAACACCAAATTACATTAGCTGTTCAGCAGCGCCATGCTGTACGAGGTATGTTCCACAGGCCCCTGGATACAAACCTCCAGCCAGACTTCCCACACTGCCAGGATAATCCCTTTGGGACCTCCCCCATTCAGGATAGGCAGCACTCTGAACATTTGCTACAGGTGAGGCCAACCTGGGCTTAAAGTACCACCTAGAGCTGAAATGGAGGCAGCAACCTAGCAGTAAAGATTTGCTAAAGAAACATATCCAATAAATAATGAAACAAGCTGTACAGAGAAAACTGGAGTAAATAATTAATCCTTCAATGCAAGGACATAGACGTATACCCACAAGTGACAACATCACATAGAGAATCAAGAATGAGGACTTGCTATGGTTTAGCTCTGTGTCCCCACCCAGACTGCATATCGAATTGTAAACCCAACATATTGAAGGAGGGGCTTGGTGGGAAGTGATTGGATCATGGGGGCAGCATCCCCCTTGCTGTTCTCATGATAGAGTTCTCACAAGATCTTACGGTTTACAAGTGTGGCACTTCCCTGCTTACCCGCTCCTGCTCTGCCATGGTAAGACGTGCTTGCTTCCCCTTTGCCTTTCACCATGATTGTAAGTTTCCTGAGGCCTCCCTGTCATGCTTCCTGTTAAGCCTATGGAACTGTGAGTCAACTAAACCTCTTTTCTTCATGAATCACCCAGTGTCAGGTAGTTCTTTATAGCAGTGTGAGAACAGGCTAATACAAGACTCAAAGCACATGTGGAAGCTTGATGAAGAAAAATAGCTACGTGCTATAAAAATACCAACCCATTAAGGCTTGATGTCACCCAAAAAGCTGGTGATTCTTAGTGAGTCAGTGCATGGTGCACCATCAAACTCCTACTGTGGTTTACACAGGGTTTCTGGCACTGCTGACATTTGGGGCTGGATAATTATTTGTTGTGGGTGTTGTCCTGTGCATTGCAGGGTGTGTAGCAGCATCCCTGTCTATACCTACTGGATGCTAGGAGTACCTTCCCATCCTTACCCTCCACTGCGGCAACCAAAACTGTCTCCAGACATGGCTAGGTGTCCCCCAGAAGCAAAATTGTCACCATAACACTGGCTGGGGACCAGTGGCTTAACTATAAATCAAAACTATGATTTTTATAAAACATGCTTTCAGTTGACCTCTTCTTATGGATGTATTGTTAACCCTCCATTTAATATTTAAACAGGTTCAATACAACACCACCTGCATTCTGAAAGTGATTTCTGTTAGCATCAGTAGTCTCTTTCCTTACTTTAAATTGGATTCTGCTGCTTCAGATGTTTTCAGTCACCGTTTATGAATCATTCTTGACATCAAGGTTTGGATTATTAGGTTAAGTAAAAAGCAATTTGAAAATGGTTCAGTGGTGGCAAAAATAAGACATTTATGATGAATGTAAATTATGCAGGATCTTAAGGTTGTAAAGAGTCAGCAACCCCTGTTTTTGAAGAAAGTTGACTGCGTATCAGTTGAGCTTTAACTCAATAGTAATACCTCGAGTCCAGAATTCGTCTAATCCTGTTGAGATCCTTGTTCATCTCCGACAAGATCAAAAAGCCACCAAGAAAAAAGGTTAAAAAAATTTTTCTACTTACTTTTTCTACCTTTGGATTGAAACAAATATTTAATTATCAAAGCACTAGCTAGATTCTATGGAGACTACAGGGTTCCTTCTTTCAGGGGGCTGATGGTAGGGGTAAGAGAGGGGAAGGTGGTTGGGAGCCTTAGCAAGACTTCATGCTCCTTCCCACCAAACTCTTCTGAAGGATTTAAGGAGAAAGGTCTTGTCACCTAGGACTGAAGAGTATCTCCTTATGGCTTTATCCCCTTGCATTCAGCCTGACAGCAGTGCCTGCCTAGCTCATAGAAAAATTTCCACACCCACAGCCTCTTATGCCTGGGTAGCCACATTTTCTCTCTCCTGCACGCCACCCCCTCCCGCTGCCCAGTAATGGTGGCTGATTGGATTGAGATGAACACGGGGACCCAAGGACATCTAATTATCTGGCAGTGACTTGTGACATTGTCTTGTCCTAAAAGATAAGCTAGACCAAATGTATTTCCTCTTGAGAATTTAATCTAGGAAATATCCAGTGGAAGCTGAAGTTGATAAACTGCATGGAAGAATGCACCATGAGGCAGTCGGGGCCTTAAGATGGACTCAGAGCTATAAGGCATTATGTCAAACTAAAGTTATGAATAAGAAACACATCTATGAGCATACAGAATCTAAAAATTAGAACACATATATTCAGAGGAGAAGAAAAAAATAAATCACTTGGGATGAAAATAAAAAACAAAAACTATTTTTTAATTCCCCCCCTCCCTTTTCACCAGAATTATTATAACAACTCCAGCAAAGGATAATATTGTGGACTGGTTAAGTAGGTCTGCTGTGGAGTCAGGCAACCTGGGTTTAAATCGCAGCTTGTCTACTTAATAGCTGAAGGTTCATAATTATGCAAATTAGAAAACTCTTTATGCAGCAGTTTCCTCCTGCCTCAGAATCTGGAGAGGATAAAACTGAAAGGAGTGCTTTTAAGAATCATTTTCTTATTATTAGGTGAGATTTTGGGGATGCTCACCACCTTTTGTTTCCAAGTCACTGACATTTTCTGGAGACTTCAGTGTCCCAGTAACCTTCCTAGTCCCCGAGTATGTTTGTAAAAGCACCTACCCATTGGAAACTAGTCTCTAGCTGAAATATCACACTCTGCTGGGGGGCTTTGGAGCAAGATGTCACTTTAGAGGACACTGACTACTCAAAACCTCCTGTATTCCTGCACAATACAGCTCCACCTCTTCCAGCCTTAGCTCTTTTTTTCCAAGATAATTGCTCTAGTCCTGACAGAGTTATTGATTTCAAACATTTCCCTAAAATACAAGTTTCCAAATTCGTTTATTTTCTATCTCTAACTGGAGTTTTCTGCATATGTCGCTCCTCTTCGCCTCTCCCGAATCCTCCCCTCCTATAAGGTCTTCCGTGAACTTTTCCCTACTCATTCCACCACACATTAGACTTGCCTTCCTCGAGTCTCCCTGTGTGTGCAGTTCATTTCCACCTGTGTATGCTGTCTGTGGCATTATTTCTAGGCTGCAGGATCTACACAAGACTGCTCCATGCTGTCTAGTACTGTGCCTCAAACACTGTGTTTAGTGAACAACTGTTAATTCTTTGGGGGAGGATCATATTTCTGTCAGTTTGCCACAAGACTCAGCAATATGGTGAAAAACCACCAAAACCACCAAAAAGAAGCTTTATCCATGACTTGTAGGAGCAAGGGAAGATCACATTGTTTCAGGTTGGATTGTCTAGGAAGCAGATTCTGGGATGCAGGTTAATAGGCAGGAGGTTCATCAGGCAAAACTCTCATGGTCAATCACTGCAGAAGGGGAAGGAAGGAAGGAAGCAGGATTGGGCAGAGAGAGAAATCAGGCTGCAGAGCAATTATAACAAGACCTCTGCACACCCCATGGGTGACCTTGAACCCAGCATAGCCCTTCAGAGACTTCCCAAATGGGAAAAAGGGCACAAGGCCTTTATACCCGTTCCCACCCCACTGACCAGTTTTTAGATGTGGACTGGCCTGGGAAGGGGCAGGTCTCTTCAACTGAGGAAAGACCCAGAGAGGGCTGACAATGGAAGCCCATCTGCTGGCATCATTCCCAGCAGCTGGAGGAATTTGTCCTTTGAGGATCTGGGAGACACAGCACAGAATCCAAAACAGACTTCTGCAAAGGCTTAAGAATCCTGGAGCTAAAAAGATCCAGTCTAGACAGTATCAGACAAGGTCCATATCTGTGGCAATAACCTGCTTTTGATTCCTCAGCAGGTTCTCTCCTGCCCATGTCATAAAGTACACACACTCTTCTGCCTGGCATCTAAGCCCCGCAAGGGACAAATCCAAAAACACAAGAATGATTTCTCCTTGGCTCATGGTTTTTCCTCCATATTCATCCTTTGACACCCCAAGCCCTGTCCACCATGAAAGCCAACTCATTTCTCCCATCTCTTCCTCCACTGAGCCCTTGCCCCAGCCTTTGCCGCCAGCTCCTGCCCGGGCACATGTAGATTCTTCCACCTGCTCCATTCATTTGGGTCCCTGAAAATTCCTACTGTATGTGGCTGTATACCTAGGAGATGTGTATAACCTGCTCTGCCTGTGAGATATTAAGCTCCTTGAGGGTGAGAACTGTGTTTCTAACACTTGGCAGAGAGCCGAGTGCACAACAGTCACCCAAGACATACTTACTCCTCAAAACCAGACCCATCTCAGGTCAGCAGTGTAGAAGAAAAAAATGCTCATCAATGAGCCTCACTTAGCTGTCTTCTCACGTGGGTTCCTGTGCTTCAGTAAGAACTCAGAAAGCACAGTTCATGAGACAAAGACAAAGGGGGAGAAATAAAGGAAAAGGCCCCTGCTCAGATGTTCTCCTCACTCACAGCATACTTCAGGACAGGAAATAGAAACTTCCTGCCAATTCAAACAACATTATTTTTGTAAAAGCTTATCCACAGGCATGTAGAAAGAGGTGCACATGAAATGAGTTCATCATATATCATATGAATTGGTTAAAATTGAATTCAAGTAAATCAGAAAATTTTGAAGAGCCACACAATTTTAAAATTCACAGTCATTTCCCGAAAGTACCGTCTGGTAAAATTGGCTTATCACCTCACTTTTAATACACATATGCGATTTCCTGCTTACAGCATTTCCCCAAGGAATGAAAAAAAAAATTACAACTGAGAAAGTTTTATAAGAGGGATTATCTATGGTTTCTGAATAAGAAGGCTTCTGCCTCTCCAAGCACACCTGCAGCTCCTAATGACCGATTTACGCAATTTTCCTCTCTACTTGAATCAAAAATGGTAATAAATGTTGTACATATCTCAAACAGTGAATTTTTTTAATTTTGTATTTACTGGTTCGTGGAAATGATTCCATCTAGTTTACCAAAGTGGAGGGGTAGGTTTGCATGGAGCAATAAGGGATAAGATAGCCAAAGAGACAAAGTCAGTTGAAAAAAAAAAATCTGTGTGTCTGGCTTTCTGTATGAATTATGACTATTCAAGGGGGAAAAAAAATCTGAACATTTGCCAAAAAGACTGGCGTGTAAAGGGACAGCTGGAGTTTTCTGTTAGAGGTTACAATGCATTGCTTGTTCCACAAGGGCAGAATGGAATCGCTTACCACAGCGACCCACACATTGCTTGAGACACTGGCACATCGATACCTCACGAAGCATTTTCTTCAAAAGAAAAGAACCAGATATTTCAGGAAGGTCATTGAAGATGCTTTGACCACAGACATGCTGACCTTACTGATAGAGATTTGTAGCCTTTGTGGCGTGTGGACTTAGTCTCTATAGATGCCTTCATTGTGCTATAACTTTTATACAGGATGTATTGTTTGAACTGCCAACCCTAATTCTAATTCCCTTGGGGACTCAGGAAATTCTAACTAAATAAAATAAAACCCCATTGTATTTTTCCTTGTTTGAGATGCAAATATGCAAATAACATTTTTAACAAGAATATGAATAAACACATAGCACATGACACACAGTTGGAACTTTCAATGGGACTCTAAAACTGAAATAATTTCAACAGCAAAGTAAAAATGAGGGAAGAAAAATGAAAATTGAACCAAAACCATGTTAAAACATCTCTCATCAGAACCAGAGACTCTGCCACCACTGTGCTGGGTGTTCCCAGCAGGTCTGTTTGCTCATCAGCCCTGAGAACACCACTAACCAATCCTGCACGGGCAACCCTCTTTACTGGGGTCAAATGCAGACACTTAGGGAGAATCATGTCTTTTTTAACCCTAGATTTAAAGAAACAAACAGAAAACTTTATTTTTTTAAATTTTACTTTAATTTCTGGGATACATGTGCAGAATGTGCAGGTTTGTTACATAGATATACATGTGCCATGGTGGTTTATTGCACCTATTGACCCTTCATCCAGGTTTTAAGCCCACATGCATTAGTATTTGTCCTAATGCTCTCCTTCCCCTTGCCCCCAACCCCCCATCAGGCCCCAGTGTGTGATGTCCCCCTCCCTGTGTCCATGTGTTCCCATTCTTCAACTCCCACTTATGAGTGAGAAAATGCAGTTTTTGGTTTTCTGTTCCTGTGTTAGTTTGCTGAGAATGATGGCTGCTTCCAGCTTCATCCATGTACCTGCAAAGAACATAAACTCATTCTTTTTTATGTCTGCATAGTATTCCATGGTGTATATGTGCCACATTTTCTTTATCCAGTCTATCATTGATGGGAATTTTGGTTGGTTCCAAGTCTTTGCTATTGTGAATAGTGCTACAATAAACATACATGTGCATGTGTCTTTATAGTAGAATGATTTATAATCCTTTGGGTATATATCCAGCAATGGGATTGCTAGGTCAAATGGTATTTCTGGTTCTAGATCCTTGAGGAATCATCACACTGTCTTCCACAATGGTTGAACTAATTTACACTCCCACCAATAGTATAAAAGTGTTCCTATTTCTCCACATCCTCACCAGTAGCTGTTGCTTCCAGACTTTTTAATGATTGCCATTCTAATGGCATGAGATGGTACCTCATTGTGGTTTTGATTTGCATTTCTCTAATGACCAATGATGATGAGCTTTTTTTCATATATTTGTTGGCCACGTAAATGTCTTGTTTTGAGAAGTGTCTGTTCATATCCTTCACCCACTTTTAGATAGGGTTGTCTGTTTTTTTCCTGTACATATTTTTAAGTTCCTTGTAGATTCTGGATGTTAGACCTTTGTCAGATGGGTAGATTGCAAAACCTTTTTCCATTTTAACAGAAAACATTTTAAAGACTGATTTAACAAATCGGTTTTAGTGAGCCATGATCTGTTCACTATATGTAATTAATGTTCACATCCTAGACTCCCCAAATTGGCAGAACAGTCAGACTCCATCTCATTGGTTAAGCATATCAGGACATATTAATTAAAACATTTATCTCATATTTAATTTGCCTTAGAAAGCCATATGTTTAAATAAGTACTCATGATGCGTATGGAGGGAAAAAATATTTGCTAAGTTCAGGACTTGGAGCATAAACCAACTTCAGGCCAAATGGAGAAGACTCCAGGATTTAGAATGAGAGACTTCTAGAGGGCTGTTAGCTGGAGACTCCATTTGGTTTCCTTAATTGCGGCGTATGTACCAGTGCTTGCGTCGTCTCAGACCATGGCCAGCACTGAAGCTGCAATAATGGCCCAAGAGTTGTTCAAATTCAAGGGCAACTCTGAATCACATAACTGAGAGTGGGCCACTCTCTGGCCATTAAACAACCCCCAACATTCTTTTTAGATCTTTAGCATTTGTCGTGAGACTTAAATAGGAAGAAATAACTATAGTAGATAAATGATGTTTTCCAAAAAGATTCCAGCTACCAGAAGAATCTCCTATCATTTAAAATGACTACTGTCAGGTATACTGAATAAAAATAATCTATTACAAAATTTTTGAATGCTCATATTAATGATAAAAGATCTAAAAGAAAATAAGAGAAGTCCACATTATGTTTAATGCTTTATTTGTTCAGATCACATAATGTTCCAGAAAGTAGTTCATTATTATTTCTATTGAAGAAATCACTTTCTACTTCATTCATGAGGTTTGCTTTCTTTATTATTCCACTGACTAAAGGAGTCCATTTAGCATTTTTGTCATTGATCTTTTATCTTTATTCACATTTTACTCTATAATAGCTTATATGACAGTATATATTTCTTAGAATGGGTATTGTCTGTAAATTTTTACTCAAAAAACAAAAAAGGACATCCCTAGTAATTGATTTAAAAACTATAGTTTGTAACCACAATTATTATCATCATCATCTAAGTTTTTTAAATTGTGGTCAAATATGTATAATATAAAATTTACCATTTTTAAGTGTACAGTTCAGTAGTAGTAAGTACATTCACATTGTTGTGAAAGCAATCTTGAACTGTTTTGATTTTATAAAACTGAAACTCTGTACCCATTAAACAACTTCCTATTCTCCTCTCCACCCAGCCTGTGGCAGTCACCATTCTACCTTTTTTTCTAGGATTCTGACTACTCTCGTTACTTCATATAAGTGGAATCATGCAGTATTTATCTTTTTGTGACTGGCTTATTCCACTTAGCATAATATCCTCAAAGTTCATCCATGTTGTAGCATGTGTCAGAATTTCTTTCTTTTTTAAGACTGAATACTATTCTACTGTATGTATATGCTACATTTTGTTTTTCCATTCATCCACCAATGACCATTTGAGCTGCTTTTATCTTTTGGCTATTGTGAATAATGCTGCTATAAACATACTTATGTAAATATCTCTTCAATATCCTGATTTTAATTCTTTCGGAAATATACCTAAATGTGGAATTGCTGAGTCATATGGTAATTCTATTTTTAATTTTTTCAGGAAGCACCATACTGTTTTCCAAAGCAGCTATGCCATTTGACATTCCCACCAACAGTCCACGACGGTTCCAACTTCTCCACATCCTTATCAACACTTGTTATTTTCTGTTTCTTTGACAGTAGCCAACCTGATGGATGTGAGAAGATATTTCATTGTGGTTTTGATTTCCACTTCCCTAATTATTTGTGATATCAAACATCTTTTTATATGCTTTTTGACCATTTGTATATCTTCTTTGGAGAAATGTCTATTCAAGTCCTTTGCCTATATTTTAATCAGGTTATTTGAATTTTTATGTTGTTGAGTTGTACAAGTTCTTTGTATATTCTGGATATTAAGCCCTTATCAGACATATGATTTGCAAATATTTTCTCCCATTTTCTCTAGGTTGCCTTTCACTCTGTTGATTGTGTTCTTTGATGCACAGAAGCTGTTTATATTTTTAGAAGTTTTCAATTCTGATGAGGTTTAGTTCATCTAGTTTTACTTTTGTTGCCTAAAACCACAGTTCTTCAGTTAGCTTTTTACACTGTATACAAATTAATTAGAATTCTATATCCATCATTGAATTTAGTGCTGCTCCCATTTGGCAATAATTTCCAGTAGTTTTTCAATGTTTTTGCTTCATGGATGAGATGATGACATCATCATTTTAAAGTGTTAATTGAGTTGATGAAAATACAGAGATTAGGGTATATTTAGAGAAAAGAATTTTTTGCCCAGCCAAATTTATGCTACCCACTCTTTTCTGGTTAAAAGTAAAAGGATTTTTAAATTACCATATATTTTAGCTTTCGTAAGCATAATAAAAGGGAGAAAATTATGCTTTAAATATATAATCAGAAATCTATGCATTTGAAACCAATCAAC
The DNA here is from genome assembly GCF_000001405.40 of Homo sapiens. Classification (NCBI taxonomy): domain Eukaryota; kingdom Metazoa; phylum Chordata; class Mammalia; order Primates; family Hominidae; genus Homo; species Homo sapiens. Next base: position 82,753,802 of record NC_000005.10, read on the forward strand.
CAATCAAAGCAAAAGATATTATTACTTTCTATAAGTACAATTAACACAGTCTGCCATTCTCCAAAAACCAAATCTTTTGATCTACATTGGGACTAAACAGGAGTTTCTTTGTATACCTTAGAAGCCCTGAGTGCTGAGAAGCTAACTATGCCGGATAAAATATTAAAGAAGCTCTCTTTGTGTTAACAGAGTTATTTCTCAACATTCATGCAAGACTTAGTACCCCACTTTGGTGAAAGTACTACTGTAGGATCATAGTTTCCTGGTGAGAAATATTGTTGCAAACTATCAATAAAGCATATGTGTGTTTATAGGAAAAGGAAGAAAAGAGTAACAAGAAAGTACAAACATTCGTTATTATTTTTTAATCACCACCATTAAAATCTTTTGCTTACTTCCCTCTATTTCTTTGTGGCATGTGTTCAAAGATCTACAATGTGGTGTACTGTGTTATTGTTTTTGGCTCAATGCTATATTTAAGCAATAAGAAGTATTTTAGTTTCCTTTTTTCCTTGATAATCTAACAGCTATTGGAGTGCATAAAGTTTAGGGTCCACTGTCTTTCATTGCAGATTCGTTCTTACAGGTCAAATTGAATTTGGTTTCTGCAGAGCATTCAAGGTCTCAAGGCTATCTCAGACTCTGCTGCCTTTTGTCACTTGATTTTCAATTTACTGGAAGAAAGTATATTCCTGCTGGTCATGAGTAACTTCTTGTTCCTACGTTTATGAGATTTATAAGGGCCAAAGTTATTTATTGATGACCATATGTCACCTCCTAGAGATGAGTACCTGGTCAGATGATGCATAAATGACTCTTAAAATAAATATTTGACTATCTATGGAAAGGCAAATTAGCCTGGTTAGATTACAAGAAATATTTTCTTTCTTGGTGTTTTTTCTTTATTCTTTATTTTTTGTTACTTTGATATTAACATTGCTTTTATTTGATGTACTTTTGTATTAGAAGGAGAATAAATGTTATGGTGAGCAAATTTAGAAATAAAATGGAGAGTTAAGAGAAATGTAATTAAAAGAAATAATGGAGAGTAAAGAGAAGGGAGGGAGAATTGCTAGGAGAGTGGAGTAGGGAACTGAAAAAACAAAAACAAAAACCAGAACACTTTAACTTCCCCCTCTACTAGTTTCTTACAGCTTGGGGATTTATACAGTTTTGTTGTGGTGGTGGTGGTGGTTTTGTTTTTTTGTTTTTGTTTTGTTTTGAGATGGATTTCACTCTGTCACCCAGGCTGGAGTGCAGTGGTGCAATCTTGGCTCTATGCAACCTCCACCTCCTGGGTTCAAGCGATTCTCCTACCTCAGCCTCCCGAGTCGCTGGAACTACAGGTGCATGCCACCACACCTGGCTAATTTTTATATTTTTAGTAGAGATGGGATTTCACCATGTTGGTCAGGCTGGTCTCGAACTCCTGACCTTAGGTGATCCGCCCACCTCGGCCTCCCAAAATGATGGGATTACGGGTGTGAGCCACTGCACCCAGCCAGATTTATACTGCAGTTTTAATTCAAATAACTTTATGTGTTAGTACAGTGAATTCAGAAGAACTGATTAACTGGGAATTTTAGGTGAAGGAATCTTTGAAAGAACTTCATCTAGCTTAGCCCCACAATTTGCAAGAGAAGATACTACACTGTGAAATCATTTTCCCAGATTCTCCCTGGTTGTTAATAATAGAACCAAAATTAGAACTAATGACCAAGTCACTGTTATAAATTGATAAATGGAGGGTAATCAAAATTCTAAGATTGAAACAAATCAAAATTTAATGAAGACCACTTTCCATATGTTATACATTCTAAATCATGTCATTGCAATCTGTGTGAATAGTGCCCCAGGAGTTGTACAACGTGATGGGAGTGCTTCAGAGGCCCTGAAAAAGAAATCAGGAAACTTGGGTTTAGGCCCTGCTACAGTAGGCAAATCTCTTCACCTTTCTAGGCTTCAGTTTCCTCATGTATAACATATAAGGGTTAGACAAATGTTTTCTAAAGTCTTTTCCAGGTCTGAAAATAAAGCTATAAGATTATCCTCATTCAAGTTCACATATAATTCCCCATATACCCTATCCTGCAACACTTTTCCCAGAGCAATCTTTGCCCAGTCGATTTCATTGGCATGCAGTCTGCCACATCCATACTCAATCACCTTGTTTGGCCAGCCAAGGTTTGGAAGAGCTTTGCTGCTTTACTCGCTTTGAAGCAAGCAGAGCTACGCTTCTTTTCTGCATCTATACCACCCAAGAATATATTCCTGATCTGGCCAAGCAAAGTTGCTGAACAGTTCAAAAGGGCAGGGTTTTATTTTTTCTTTTCCTTTTTAAATTCTCACCGGAGAACAAAGCAAAGGGCATTAGAAGAACCACATATATCTCAGTTACTGGGCTATGCTCTGTACACAGTCCTAGAGAGAACAGGTCTCCTTCAGCCCTGAAAATATAAAAAGCAAATCTTAAATTTGTACAGCATGAAGTCAACTCCATTGCTCTGTGGGAAGAACCTCAAAAATAGACTTGGTTTATTGAAGAACAAAAGAATAAAAACAGATGTAAGCCTTTTGTAAACAGTAGAAAATGATCTGCAGATGATGCAGGGACGGCCATAAGAGCTGACAAACTTTTAACAAGTACAGTAAGCATGCATCCAGTTTGCCTGAGACAGCCCTGATTATTCCTGTTATCCCAAATTGTTAATAGTACCTCCTTTAACTGTAAAAATGCCCCAGTTGGAACATTAAATGACATGGTCATTTCTCAAATAAGCGACGCTGCTGAAAGGAAGTCTTCCCCATCCCAGAGGTGGCGGGGACAGCTCTCTTTAAGGATCCCTTTCAAGAACCTCACCTTGATTTCAGTGTTCAGGAACATTGGGCCCTGTATGCCTATAGTGTTGTTCAACTCCAAGAGCACTATTCATGTAGACTGCAATGACATGATTTAGAATGTATAACATATGAGGAATGGTCTTCATTAAATTTTGAGTTGTTTCAGTCTCAAAATTTTGCTTATCCTCTATTGCCAATTTATTACACTGACTTGGTCATTAGTTCTAATCTCAGTTCTACCATTAACTTACCAGGGAGAACTTAGAAAAACCATCTCATAGTGTAGTTTCTTCCCTTGCAACTTGTAGGGCTAAGCTAGATGAGGTTCTTTCAAAGGTTCCTTCAGCTAAAATTCCCAGTTAGTCAGTTCTTTTACCACCAAGCTTTATTGTCCTACCTCAGTTGCCTATCAGCCAAAACATGAGAAAGCTATTTGATCACATATAGGGCTGATCCCATTCCTATCTAAGCCCACGTGAGAGCCAGTTCCCAATTACAGCATATTCTTGGCCGTGTGTCGTGGAACTGGGAGGAGAAACCATCTTTGTTGAGACATATTGCCTTTCCACAGCTGAAGAACGACCTAGCCCTTATTCTTTCTTTTGCTGGGAGAGTTTTATCCCAACAAGGGCTCCTCAAAGATAAGAGATAGGAGAGGGTGTAGTGTGGTAACTGTGAACATGCACCATATGCCAACAATAACTAGAAGGGACAGTTTTATACTGGCATACAAGATATTCAAGAGCTTTTTTGTGGTCAAGGGAAGTGGACTGTCAATCCACTGTGTATTTTTATAAACAGGAGCCAAAACAAATCTTCAGATTTTTTTGTATGGATCATGTGCTTGGGGAGAGTAATGGTTGTCACTGGGCAAGACATGTAACATCATCACTCATAGGGAAAGTCAGATCATCACAGAGAAACACATGCACATAAAAGTGGCCTCTGTCGTTCACTGTGAGCCCAGACACATCCTGGGGGCACAAATGGGAAGAAAGGGAATGAACCATCCGCAGGAGGCATGTTTACTCTGTGGCAGCTCTCGTGTGTGTGTGTGTGTGTGTGTGTGTGTGTGTGTGTGTGTGTGTGTGTGTGTGTATTTTCTGACAGTGGGTTTTATTTTTAGTTTTTTAAAAGGAAACAATTAACTAGCCAATTCATTTTTGCTTTGTAACAAACGGAGTTTCTCTAAATAAGCAGGTATTCCTGCATTAGACAATAATCATCCATATCAAGTATATCTTCGGGAAAGAACAGCAAGAAGGATAAGATGTATACAATTTGTGACTACGTGAACAGAAAAAAAATTATTTTGCTTTGTTTTCTTTTGTTTTTATTTTTTTTTGTCTTCAGAAAATGCTAAGTGGAAATTTTAAGTAACCATATCATACTCTGGGAGTTTTGTTTTTTATTTGAAGCATTAATTGTATCAAGACATGTCAAAGTAACATAATCAGAGTTAAATAAATAACTCACCTCTTCATAAGATAACAAATATTAGTGCTGTTATTATTGGTATGAATATTTAAGTAGAAGAGAAAAAGCCATTTATTGTGAAAATATTTTAGTAAACTCACACTTCGTTTTCTGGAAACACACCACCACCACTCTCATGTCTGGCTTGTTCATCCTATCTAAAATTTCTTTTTTTCTTTTTTCGTAGAAGTTTGTCATCACCCATAATCCCTGAAGCCATGACTTTCTATAATGTTCTTTTGATGACTTTGGAGTAAAGCTTTTCTTCCTCAAAGCTATTTTAGTGAGCTTGTAAATACTCTTAAAACTCACAAAAGGAGCTGAATTGAACTAAACCCATTCCTTTTCAACTTATGGTTATTTGTCCAATAGTTTCTAGAGAATTTTCCTGAGATACACAATGAAGACAATAAAATAGGAGGCCTTAAGTATTTGTGTATAACTATGTAATTGCATTGAATTTGCATAGGCCTCCATGGAACATTAAGTTTGTTTTCTGCCTAAAAATATTTATTTGTTAGGCTTAGATTTGTTTTCCCCTGATATTAAATCTTACCCATATTTGTATCCATCATGCCATTTATTTAAAAATATTTGTTGAGCCTAACTGTCCCATAAGTTGATGAGAATAAATAGGGAATAAATAAGTTCAGGCAGTCCTTGGGAGGTTCTTCATGGAAAAGATTTCAATCTTTGTCTGACATTTTTGTTTTTTTAAATTTTCTGTTTTTGTTTTTAAAAACTTTGTTTTGGTTCCAGTAAGAAAATATTTCAAGTAAGAGACTCTTAAGTAACACTCTGGATCTAGTTTGCCTCTGTCCACATTTTTTTTTAAGTCTCTGGCTTGTTAAGAAAATCTAAAAGTGGGAGAGAACCAGGAAGGGGAAAAATAACTGGAGTGGGGTCAGGGGAGAGCCTTTGAGGAATACATTATAGCCTCACCTAGTTTCATGTCCACTACACTCCCGTGGTCCCTGAAGCATACCCTACCTCTCTGACAGCACGCATCACTGTGTTTCTAACTACTCTGTTACATGACCATTTTCCCTAATCTTTTAATGGTTCGATTGCTTTAGGAGAGATGTCCCCTGAGAATATAAATGGAAGAATCTTGAGCCATTCCTCATGATGTACCTTACTTATTAGAATTTATAACTGTTTTTTCAAAAATTAAATAAAAATCTGCTAAGTTAAACTGCATTATTGTCTCTTTTGCTTATAAGAACTAGGATGATTCGATATCTTACTCTTTTTTTAGGGGAGAAGTGTGGGGATGGAGTCTCGCTCTATCACCCAGGCTGGAGTACGGTGGAGCGATCTCGGCTCACTGCTACCTCCGCCTCCCGGGTTCAAGCAATTCTCCTGCCTCAGCCTCCCGAGTAGCTGAGACTACAGGCGCGTGCCACCATGCCCAGCTAATTTGTGTATTTTTAGTAGAGACGGGGTTTCACCGTATTGGCCAGGCTGCTCTCAAACTCCTGACCTCGTGATCCGCCCACCTAGGCATCCCAAAGTGCTGAGATTACAGGCGTGAGCCACCGTGCCTGGCCCTGATATCTTATTCTTATTAAAACATCATACTGCTATAAAAATCCTTCTCAGTTATACTGTCTACTAGATGCTTTCTTTGCCCTTTAGACCGAAGTAGCAGTCTCACTTTCATCTCTGCTCTGGGTTTAAACTTACTTGAAGTAAAATAAAAATAATGTCCAACTTCTTCACACATCAGCTTTCTTCATACGTGAAAACATTTGCTTTCTTACTTCAGAGCAATGATCTGATTATTCTCTTTTTAAAAAATATAGTCTTGGAGGGCTAGGGTTCATTGGTATTTGCATTTCATTTATTTGGATTATACCCCTTTGAGAAAATGGCAAATCCTTTCAATATGCCAGCAGGAGAGGTGGTGTGCTTATATACAAAAGCGGAAATTACTTTTGTTTTCAACAAATAATTTTTTTCATCTGGCTTTCCATCCAAACATGGATTTCTGTACAAACCATCAGTTGATTCTACCACACAGTAAATTAGACGCAATTGTTTAATTGACAGGAAATTAGTTTGAATGGGTTTGGATTTTTTTTTTTCATTTTAAAGAAAAGAGTTCAGCCTCCAGGAATACCACTTTAAAATCAGAACTTAATTTCTTTTCAGAATTACAACCACTCAATCTTCTCTCGTTCCTTATTCTTTTTTTACTTAATAGTTTTCTAAATCATTTGTTAACTATTTTACAACTATAATACAACTTCATGAAGCAATCATAATACATAACAGTGAAGAGCTATTTATAAATACTAATCAAAAGGGAACAACCTAATGATAGGAGCAGGAGGCAGGGAAATACTGGGTAGAAGAGGGCAGTCCCCAGTGAGGTCCACACCCTTAAGCCTGGAACTGCAGCCCAAAGTGAGAACATGCATTTGTTTTCCCGCTTGAATGTTGCTTTTTGGCCTGCCACCCCGCACCCCCAATCCTGTACCCATAAAAACCCCAGGCTCCACTGGCAGAGCAGCAGACCAACAGAGTGGCAGGAAAGGAGAGAAGAGAAGAAGCACCTTGACATCAGCGAGAAGCAGCTTGACTTCAGAGCAATGGCTTGATGGCAGGACCTCAGAAAAGAGTTCAGCAGGGGATGGCCAAACTCCAGAGGAAGACCACCTTCCCACTCCATCCCCTTTCCAGCTCCCCTTCCTGCTGAGAGCCACTTTCATCAGCAATAAAATATTTCACATTTACTATCTTCAATTTTTTCGTGTGATCTGATTCTTCCTGGACGCTGAACAAGAGCTCTGATACAGAGGCTGTCACACTGAGCTATTAAATATTTCAGCTGGCTGTCCACGGATAGCAAAGCTAAAAGAGCACTGTAACACATGGCCCCCGGGGCTCCAGGGGTCACAGGCACCCCCGACACTGCGGGGGCTACACGGAGTTCTGCCCCTGCTGGAGCCCAGAAGCACTTGTCGCAGCCCCTGCGCCCGTTCACCTGCATGCTCCCCCTCCCACAAGGGGTTGAGAGCTGAGTAAGGGGCTGAGTAAATGAGCCACTCCCTTCATGAGTCCCACAAAGGGGTCAGGGAAATTGCCTGTTTCACTAACATTTTAATATTCATGTAGAGTATTATCCACCAAATAAATGGTTATCACCTGGTTTGGCTAGTCAACCATTTTGTGTGTTAAATACACAATACCCACCACTTTCTCCAAGTCAATTTTGCACTCATTTGCTGTGTTTAAAGATATTCTTAATTGACATGTAACTTCTAGTAGAAAATGGGAGGTACTAAACAGTACTGGAGAGATTTTTTTTTTTTTTGAGACTGTAACGTTCGGTATTGATAGGAAAAAGGAATCTCTCTACCTTCTGCATCTAAAGTGAAAGTTTATTTTTTATTTGTACAAATTTATGGGGTACCTATGCAATTTTGTTACATGCATAGATTGCATAGTAGTAAAGTCAGGGCTTTTTTAGGGTATCATTACCCAAATAACATACATTGTACCCATTAAGTAAATTATCATCATCCACCTCTCCCTGACAACCTCCTGCTTTTATTTTTTACAGATTACCTTGTGGTGATATTGAATTAAATAGGTCAGAGCATGTAGTGTAGCAGAAAGCACATTATAGTTGAAATCAGAAAACCTTTCTGGCATGTGATCTTGGAGAGGTCACTTGACTTTTCTGGAATTAGTTTCATCATCAGTGAAATGAGGACATAGACTAGATTTCTTTATAGATGTAAGTTTCTAATAATCCATTTTATTAAGTATAAATCCTTTTTATTAGGGCACTTTATTTTATACATTCGCTGGAAAATAACAATAGCCAACAGACACCATGCTGAATATTTTATTGTCTTGTTTAATTTACTTCTTAAAACAACCTATGGAATATATGTATCTCCATTATACTTCTAGGAAAATGGAGGTTCAAGTTAGAATATTGTAAAAGGTTCAGAACAACCTCTCTATGTAGAGCGCTTTAGGGAGGTGATTGTGAATCAGCCATGGTTGTAAATTAGACTTAGTGCAGTGCTTCTCAATCTTGCATTTCGTGATGATTAATATTGAGTGTCAACTTGATTGGATTGAAGGATGCAACATATTGTTCCTGGGTGTGTCTGTGTCTGTGAGGGTATTGCCAAAGGAGGTTAACATTTGGTCAGTGGAGCTAGAGAGGCAGGCCCACCCTCAATCTGGGTGGACTCTATCTAATCAGCTGCCAGCATGGCTGGACTAAAACAGGCAGGAAAAGATGGAAGAGCAGACTTGCTGAGTCTTCCAGTCCTCATCTTTCTCCTGTGCTGGATGCTTCCTGCCCTCAAATATCAGACTTCAAGTTCTTCAGCTTTCAGACTCTTGGACTTACACCACTGGCTTGCCAGGGGCTCTCAGGCCTTTGGCCAAAGACTGAAGGCTGCACTGTGAGCTTCCCTACTTTTGAGGTTTGGGGACTCAGACTGATCCACCACTGGCTTCCTTGCTCCTCAACCTGCAGATGGCATATCGTGGGACTTTACTTTGTGATCGTGTGAGCCAATTCTCCTTAATAAACTCCTTTTCATTTATACATATATCCTATTAGCTTTGTCCCTCTAAAGAACCATGATTAATACACACACATATTTAAATCCCCAGAGGATCCTGCTAAAACTCTGATTCCAATTTAGTATGTTTAAGATGGGTTTGAGATTCTGCATCTCTAGCAGGCTTCTGGGTTTTGCCAATGTTGCTCATCTGTGGGCCACACTTGGAGTGACCATCAGATTGAGGAAGTTTCCTTCTAGTCCTAGTTTGCTGCAATGTTTATCAGAAACGCATGTTGGATTTTGTCAAGTGCTTTTTTTTGCATATATTGATATGATCATATACTTTCCTTGAATAGTCTGCTGAAATGATAAATTACATTGATTGATTTTCTATTGTTAAAAAAATGCATTCCTGACAAAAACTACATTTGGTCATGATGTATCATACTTTTTATATATGCTGAATTCAGGGTGTTATTTTTTTATTTTTTGTAACTATGTTAATGAAGGGTATTGGACTGTTTTCCTTTCTTGAAACCTTTTTACCTGATTTGGTATAAGAATAATGCTGGTTCATAGAATGAGTTGGGAAGTATTCACTCCTCTTCAATTTTCTGGAAGAATTTGTATAGAATATGTTTTTTTTAATATTTAGTAGAATTTACTAGTGAAGCCATCTGGGTCTGGACTTTTCTTTGTGGGAAGGTTTTTTAACTACAAATTTATTTTAATGTTATCTATTTCTTTTTGATTGAGCTTTGCTAGTTTGTGTCTTTCAAGGAATTGGCTCATTTCATCTAATTTGTCCAATTAATCGGCATAGAGTTGTTCATAATATCTTTTATCTTTTTGATATCTTTATGATTTATAGTGAAGAAATGTCTTTCATTCTTATTATTGGTTGTGTTTTCTTTCTTTTTTACTGATCTGTCTGGTTAGAGGTTTAGCAATTATATCAATATTCTCAAAGAACTGGCTTTTAGTTTCATTGATTTTCTCTATTATTTTTCCCTTTTCTAATTCATTGATTTCCACTCAGACTTTTATTATTTCTTTTCTTCTGCTTACTCTGCACCTAATAAGCTTGTCTTTTCTAACTTCTTAAGGTGGAAACTGAGGTCATTGATTAGAGAACTTCCTTTTTTTTAGGCATTGAAAGCTATAAATTTTCTTCTATATATGACTTTAGCTGCACCAGAAAGTTTGATATGTCGTGTTTCCATTTTTGTTCAGTTCAAAATACTTCGTATTTTAAAAATTTTTTTCTTTGACCCATAGGTTATTTAGAAGTGTATAATATGATTTGCATATCTGAGAATTTTCCAGATATCTTTGTTATTGATTTCTTAGTTAATTCCACCATGGGCAGAAAATATATTTCGTATGACTTGAATTATTTAAAAATTTTTTGTCTTTAATTTTATTGAAATATGTTTTATGGCCCAGAATATACTGTGTTTTCATCAATGTTCAGTGTGCACTTGAAAATAATGTGTATTCTGGTGCTGTAAGGTGGAGTGGTCAATAAATGTCAATTAGATCAGGTTGGTTGATAATCTTCAAGTCTACTACATTCTTACCGATTTCTGTCTTTGTATTTATTGATTGTTGAGACTAGGTTTTGAAATCTCTGACCATGATTGTGGATATGTCTGTATCTTGCAATTCTATTGATTTTTCCTCCATATATTTTGAGGTTGTGTTACCTAATACATAAATAATAAATACGATTATGTCCTTCTAAAGAATTGACCCTTTTATCATTATGAAATGACCCTCTTTATATCTGACAATATTCTTTGCTCTGAAATCTATGTCTTGTATAAATAAGGTCATTCAAACTGAATTTTTATTAGTTATATAACATATGTTTGTCCAGTCTTCTAATTTATAGACTATTTTTGTCTTTATATTTAAAGTATAATTATGTTCTTTTTAATTCATTTGGACAATCTCTGCCAAATTTGTTTAAACAATTTGCATTAAATGTGACTATTGATATGATTGGGTTAAATCTACCATCTTATTTTTGATTTCTATTTATCCCATTTGTTATTTGTTAACATTTTTCCTATTTTTCTGTATGCTTTTGAATGAATTGAGTAGTTATATGATCTTATTTTATCTTCATTGCTGGCTTATTCAGTATACCTTGATATATTATTCTTTAGTGGCAATTCCAGCATTTATAGTATACAAATTTTACTTATCACAGTCTACCTTCCAATAATACTATTCTATTTCCCATTTAGTATAGGAACTTTCAACACTATTTCTCCATTTCTCCCTTCCTATCTTTTAGGCTATCGAAGTCATATATTTTAGTTCTATATACAGATGCTTGTCAACTTAACAATGGGATTACATGCTACCCAATAAATTCATCACAGCTAAAAATGTCACAAGTCGAAAATGCGCTTAATATACCTAGCCTACCAAACATCGTAGTTTAGCCTAGCCTACCTGAAACATGCTCAGATCACTTACAGTAGCCTATAGTTGAACAAAATCAGCTGACACAAGGCCTATTTTATAACAAAGTGTTGAATATCTCATGTAATTTAGTAAATACTGAAAGTGAAAAACAATGATTATGTGGGTTCTCAAGTAAGGTTTCTACTGAATGTGTGTCACTTTTGCACCATTGTAAAGTAGAAAAATTGTTAAGTCAAACCATTTAAAGCTGGGAATTGTCTTTATACTACAGAGTATACCTGTTATTTTTGTTTTAAGTGAGTAATTTTTTTCCATAAAGTTTTCTTTCATTTAAAAGATCATTCACAAAGATTGTATCCATAGATTTACTTTCAGTCATATAGCTAAAGTATTTGGAATTCCATTCTTACATTTAAAAGGCAACTGGATTGCCTAGAAGTTTAGATGAATTCTTTTTGTTCTTTACTTTTTCCACATTGAAGATGTAATTAGGTCATCTGAAAACATTAGGTTTGATTATAACTACATAGTGCATGTTATTCTTAAGTATTAGTATAACATTGCACAAATGGTTCTTATCTCCAAAGCAGAGAAGATCACAGGTGGAAGGAAGGAAAGGAGAGAGAGTTCTGTAAATTGCTGAGAACTTGTAACATAAACAATGTAAGAGAAGCCAAGGATGACAGCCAGTGATGAGCTATTATCTAAGCGCACCACACTGCACAAGCCAGGCTAGCCCTCAGCTCTGCAGTCATCCTAGTGAGGGTCTGCTTTCCTTAGGTTTCTAGCTGCTAACTGACCCTAAACTGCTCCCAATGGGACAGACTGCGACTCAAATGCTTAGAAATTTTTCATTTGTTTACACACCGGTGTGTAAGCTCAAAAGCTATTGCCTAACCTTCTACTCCTGGGTGAGTGCTAAATGCTGTAGATGAGAACAATAAACTTTGTCCCAAAGATGAGGCAGCATACCTGAAAATTTATTGTCATCTACAGTTATTTTAAGGTTCTTGACAGCTCCACTTAGTAAAAATTTCAATTCATCAAGTGAAATAAAGTGTCAGATTCTAGGCCCATTTTCACTATGAATTAACAGGACAGTGGGAAGCACAGCATCTCATTATGCTACTTATACTAAAGAACAGATGAACACAAGAGAGATGAAAAGCACAAGGACAACAGAGATTTGGGGGAGAAGCACTGTCAGCCTTATAAAGTTAGCCCAGTGCAGCTCCAGCACCACCAAAATGGGTGATTATTTTCTAAAAGCCCTTAAGTATTCAGAAAAAAACCTTTACATAAACCCATATAGTTGTGATTTCTGTGGCTTTCATTCCTTTGTAAAGATTCATATTTCCATCTGGTATCATTTTCCTTGAAGGATTTCCTTTACCATTTCTTATGGTGCAGCTTTGCTAATTTAAAAATAAAAGCTATTTTAGCTTTTATATTTAGGAAAGCTTCTTTATTCTACTTTCTTTTACAAAGATATTTTCACTGCTTAAAGAATTCTAAGTTGCTAAGGTTTTTTTCTTTCACTCAGTATTTTAAAGATCCTGTCCGCTTTCTTCCAGCGTGAATTGTTTCTGATGTAAAATCTGCTGTCTTCTTTATGACTGTTCCTCTGTATATAATGTCTCTATTTTCTTCTGGCTCCTTTGATCTCTGTTAATCAAAATGTGTCTTGATGTAGTTTTCATTATATTTCTCGTGCTTGAGGTTTATGGAGATTCTTGGATCTGTGGGCTAATAGTTTCATCAGTTTAGACAATTTTTCTCAATTATGTCTTCAAATATGTTTTATGTCTCACCCCTCTCAACTCTCTTTTGGTTACTCTAATTATTTGGTCATTTGATGTCATCCCACAGATCACTATGCTCTGGTTTTTGTTGTTATCATTGTTTAGCATTTTTTCTCTGTTTTTTTTTTTTTTTGTGGGAGTGGTGGGGAGGGAGGCAGGCTGTTTCTATTGCTATACTTTTAAGCTTCTTAATCTTTTCTATTGAAATGTCTATTCCGCTATTAGTCCCAGCCAATGAATGTTTTAATCACACAGTGTGGTTTTTATGTGTACAAATTAAATTTTGGTTATTTTTATATTTTATATATTATAAATATATATAATATATAATATATAAATATATATTTTATATATTATAAATATATATAATATATAATATATAAATATATATTTTATTTATATATTAACTTTTTCAATCTTGCCTCTAGCTTCTTTGGCTTATGGAATACTGATACGGTTTGGCTGTGTCCCGACCCAAATCTTGAATTCTAGCTCCCATAATTCTCATGTGTCATGGGAGGGATCTGGTGGGAGGTAATTGAATCATGGGGGCAGGTCTTTCTTGGGCCATTCTCGTGATAGTGAATAAGTCCCACAAGATCTGACGGTTTTATAAAGGGGAGTTCCCTGCATAAATTCTCTCTTGCCGTCCACCATGTAAGATGTCCCTCTGCTCTTCCTTGATTGTGAGGCCACCATGATTGTGAGGCCTCCCCAGCCATGCAGAACTGTGAGTCAATTAAACCTCTTTCCTTTATAAATTACCCAGTCTCAGGTATGTCTTTATCAGCAGTGTGAAAATGGACTAATACAAATACAAATATAGTAATGATTGCTTAAGTATCCTAATCTACCAGTTCCATCATCTGTGTCAACTACAGATCAGGGTCATTTCCATATGAGTGATTGATCTTCTAATTATTTTCTTATGTTTTTTTTTTTGGCATGTCTTTAGGTTCAAGACATTGTGAATTGTACCTTGCTGAGTGCTAGATATTTTTCAGTTACTTTGTTCTTGATGGATCTTATTTTTAAGCTTTATTAGAAGAATCCCAGCAGCATTTCATTTAGGGTTAATTTTTTCCGCACAATTTTTGCAACACTCTTCTTAGTTCTCTGGCAGATGTCCTCTGAATTGTGAGGTTTTCCCCTGTAGCTGTTGGAAACAGGCAGTATTTCTGGCCCCTTGTGAGTTCCGCTTACTATTTCCCCCTATTCTTTCAGGAAAATTTTTCTTCAGGTTTGGGTACTTTCCTCACACACATGCTAATATGGTTTAGCTCTGGGTTCCCACCCAAATCTCATCTTGAATTATAATCCCACGTGTTGAGGAAGAGACCTGTAATCCCCATGTATCGAGGGAGGGAAGTGACTGGATTATGCGGGTGGTTTCCCCTATGCTGTTCTCACGATAGCAAATTCTCACAACACCTAATGGTTTAATAAATGGTAGTTTTTCCTGGACTCTCACACACTGTCTCCTGCTGCCTTATGAAGAAGGTACCTGCTTCCTCTCCTGCCATGATTGTAAATTTCCTGAGGACCCCCCCACCCATAGAGAATTGAGTCAATTAAACCTCTTTCCTTTAAATTACCCAGTCTCAGGCACTTCTTTATATTAGTGTGAGAGTGGTCTAATAGAGTAAATTGGTACTGCAGAGAGTGGGCATACTTGAAAATGTGGAAGCGACTTTGAAACTGGGTAATGGGCAGAAGTTGGAACAGTTTGAAGGGCTCCGAAGAAGACAGAAAGATGTGGGAAAGTTTGGAGCTTCCTAGAGCCTGGAGACTGGTTTTGAGCAAAATGCTGATAGTGATGTGGACAATGAAGTCCAGGCTGAGGCGATCTCAGATGGATGTGAGGAATTTGTTGGGCACTGGAGCAAAGGTCCCTCTTGCTATGCTTTAGCAAAGAGACTGGTGGCATTTTGTCCCTGCCCTAGAGATCTGTGGAACTTTGAACTTGAGAGAGATGACTTAGGGCATCTGGTGGAAGAAATTTCTAAGCAGTAAAGTGTTCAAGAGGTGACACAGCATAAAACTTTAAAAAAATGCAGCCTGACCATGTGATAGAAAAGAAAAACCCATTTTCTGGGGAGAAATTCAAGCCTCCTGCAGAAATTTGCATACAAACTGAGGAGCCAAATGTTAATCGGCAAGACAATGGAGAAAACGTCTCCAGGGCATGCAGAGACCTTTGTGGCAACCCCTCCCATCACAAGCCTAAAAGGAAAAAATGGTTTCCTGTGCCCAGCCCAGGGCCACCCCTGCTCTGTGCAGCCTTGGGACTTGGTGTCCTGCATCCCAACAGCCAGGGCTAAAGGGACCAAGGTATAGCTCTGGCCATGGCTTCAGAGGGAGCAAGCCTCTAGTCTTGGTGACTTCCACATGGTTTTGGTGACTTCCACATGGGCCTGCGGGACACAGAAGTCAGCTATTGAGGTTTGGGAACCTCCACCTAGATGTCAGAGGATGTATGGACACACCTGGCTGTCCAGGCAGAAGTCTGCTGCAGGGGCAAAGCCCTCATAGAAAAACGCTGCTAGGGCACTATGGAAGGGGAATGTGGGGTTGAAGCCCCCACATAGAGACCCCACTGGGCCACTGCCTAGTAGACCTATGAGAAGAGAGTCACTGACCTCTAGACCCCAGGATGGTAGATCCACCGACAGCTTGCACCGTGTGCCTGGGAAAGCCATAGACACTCGACACCAGCCCATGAAAGCAGCTGGGAGGGGGTTGTACCCTGCAAATCAACAGAGGCAGAGCTGCCTAAGGCCATGGGAGCCCACTTCTTGCATCACTGTGACCTGGAAGTGAGACATGGAATCATTTTGGAGCTTTAAGATTGAATGACTGCCCTGCTGGATTTGGACTTGTGTGGGGTAGTAGCCCTTTTGTTTTGGCCAATTTCTCCCATTTGGAATGGGAGCGTTTACCGAATATCTGTACCCCCATTATATCTAAGAAGTAACTAACTTGCTTTTGATTTTGCAGGCTCATCAGTGGAAGGTACTTGCCTTTTCTCAGGTGAGACTTTGGACTGTGGACTTTTGAGTTAATGCTAAAATGAATTAAGACTTTGGGGGACTGTTGGGAAGGCATGATTGGTTTTGAATTGTGAAAAGACATGAGATTTTGGAGGAGCTGGGGTGGAAAGATATGGTTTGGCTCTGTGTTCCCACCTAAATCTCATCTTGAATTGTAATTTCCACATGTTGAGGGAGGGACGTGTAATCCCCATATGTCAAAGGAGGGAAGTGATTGAATTATGGGGGCAGTGTTCCCCATGCTGTTCTCATAATAGTGACTGAATTCTCACAAGAGCTGATGATTTTATAAATGGTTGTTTTTCCCTCATTCTCATACACTTTCTCCTGCCACTTTGGAAAGAAGGTACCCGCTTCCTGCCAGAATTGTAAGTTTCCTGAGGCCCCCCCACTAGCCATGCAGAACTGTGAGTCAATTAAACCTCTTTCCCTTATAAATTACCCAGTCTCAGGCTGGGCACGGTGGCTCATGCCTGTAATCCCAGCAGTTAGGGAGGCCAAGGCAGGCGGATCACAAGGTCAGGAGATCAAGACCATTCTGGCTAACACGGTGAAACCCTGTCTCTACTAAAAATACAAAAAATTAGCCAGGTGTGGTGGTGGGTGCCTGTAGTCCCAGCTACTCAGGAGGCTGAGGCAGGAGAATGGTGTGAACCTGGGAGGCGGAGCTTGCAGTGAGCCGAGATTGTGCCACTGCACTCCAGCCTGGGGGACAGAGCGAGACTCTGTCTCAAAAAAAAAAATATTACCCAGTCTCAGGCAGTTCTTTATAACAGGGTGAGAATGAATTGATACACATGCCCTAATCTGGACTCAGCTGAATGAATACTCTCAAGGGGGGTTCCTCTATAGATATCCGGAGTTCTCTGTGCAGCCTTCTCCTCTCTGGTACTCTGCTCTGTGATCTCTTACTACTTTGGTGTCCCCAGACTCACAGCTGGCTCTCCAGCTCATGAGATCACTGGACTCTGCCTGGGTTCCCTGTCCTTGCACTGTGACCTGGAAACTTTCTCCAGGCAGTAAGCAGGGCCATTGTTTGGCTCACTTAATTTGTTTTTCATATCTCAGACATCCTTCTCCCTGTGATGTCCAATGTCTTGAGAGTTGTTGTTTTATATATTTTGTCTGGTATTTTAGTTGTTTCAGTCATAAGGGTAAATACAATATCTATTCCTCCAGCAGAAATGGGTTTTCCAGAGTTGTTTGTGAAACATAAATAATTTTACATTAGTATCTTGCTGCAAACCTTCTAATAGCTTCCTTTCGAAGACTTCTTACTAACTTATCCACATCCACAGATTCTACATATTCTAATCTGTGCTTACCTTTCAGAGCTTATCTACCATTCTCACCCCACTTTGTTCTCAAAGGGTGTCTTGTTTTTCCCCAATATGCCAAGCTTGTTCCTGCCTCAAGGCCTTTGCTATAGCACAGCAGTCCCCAACCTTTTTGGCACCAGGGACCAGTTTCGTGGAAGACAATTTTTCCACAGACCAGGGACGGGGGATGGTTTCAGAATGAACCTAGCACATTATATTTATTGTGTAATTTATTTCTATTATTATTACATTGTAATATAAAATGAAATAGTTATGCAACTCACCAAAATGTAGAATCAGTGGGAGCCCTGAGCTTGTTTTGCTGCAACTAGATGGTTCCATTTGGGGGGTGATGGGAAACAGTGACAGATCATCAGGCATTAGATTCTCATAAGGAACATGCAACCTATATCCCTGGCATGTGCAGTTCACAGTAGGTTTCCTGCTCCTAAGAGAATCTAATGCCCCTGCTGATCTGACCAGAGGTGGAGCTCAGACAGTAATGCAATGGAAAACAGCTGTAAACAGAGATGAAGCTTCACTTGCCCGCCACTCACCTCCTGCTGTGCAGCCCACTTCCTAATAGGCCACCAGTACCATGGCCTGGGTGTTCGGGACCTGTGCTATAGCAAACCTGTCCACCTGGTCCATCTTTTCCCCACATTTTCCAATAGCTGACTCCATCTCTACTTAAGAGTCCACTCAAATATCACCTCCTCAGCAGGGCCATTTTATCTAAAATAGGTGTGTGTCATCCCCTCACTATATTTCTTTAACTGCTGAGCTTTTCTAATGAGCCCTTATTCCTGACATTATTTTATATAATTAACTTATTTGCTTATTTTCTGTTTTCCCTATAAAATAAGGGAAAGGACTTTGTCTTATTCACTACTCTATCCTTAGAGCTTACAACATTGCTTGGCACTTAGTAGATGATCATTACATATTCATTGAATGGATGGCTGGATGGATGAATAGAACCTCAAAATTAAAGGGCAATAGAGAGGACCCTATACACAGGAATTCAGGTACTGGTTCACATCTCAGACAGTTCTTGTGTCATCAGCCAATAGCATGTGGCTGAAGAAAGAAATGTGTTTTTGTAGGAAACGGTAGTTTAAAAATTACTGTCTTCTTGCCTTTTCTGAATTCAAAGGAATTCCACAGTCCAGCAGTCAGAGGCTGGGAGTGTTGAAGATTTGCTCTAAGGACCTTCGACCCTGATTTTTGTTTCTTGTTGCTTCAGCTGTTGTTTTTCTTTCCTTTCATCTGAGAAAATCCTCTATGTGGCTCAAAAGGCAGGTTCCCTACCCCTATGGATGGCTGCATTCATGGTTCTTTTGTCTTAAGTCCTATAGGGATGCTTACTTTTGCCTGTTTGGCCCAATGCCCCATTACCTTTGTAGCGCCCGTCACATCTTTGTCACTTTATAAGGCATAAAAATAAGTCTTCAGAGCAAAATTTCCACGCTACCTTTCAAAGTCATCTTTGGGAAAACATTTTTTTCTCCACTAATACATCTGTCATAAGGCCCTAAAATTTGTCTGAAGTCATTCTTTCACTGGAGTTTATTGCTGAAATGCCAAACATCCTCAAAGATGGCATGCTCTGTGCTCCATACTATAGTTTCAAGACACAAAATTGCCAAGTTGCTATTAGATATGATTAGACTGATGCACTGAATACTCTTAACCAAATTTTAAATACAAAAATGTATATTTTTCTTGATGAAAGCAATTCTGCTAGGAAGTGAATATGTGGATTTTATCCATCTGTCTTATTTATAAATATATGCATTTATAAAACATAAACCTGGAGGGAAGATTCTCTCATTCCCCACCCCAAACCCTGCAAAATAAACAAGTTGAATGTCTTATCAAGTTATGCACTGATCGGGGTATATTTACTCCGACATGATTTCCCAAAAATGTTGCTATAGCAGGACTGCTGGGGAGGAGATATCTATATATGAGGAGACAGTACCTGATTAATTCTTTGGGCAGAGAGAGAGGCACTGGATTTACAAGTCGAGATTTCCTGACTTGAAAACTCCTATTTCCTTGGTTACATATGATTACATTCCTTCAGGAATGTTTACGATGAAAGCTTTTCATGAATTGACCTGGGAACCTAACCACCACATATTATATTGTTTCTATAGGAGAGACATAATATTTGTACAAATAACTACATTATATCTGAACTTTTGAAACACAAATTCTTTATAAGCTGAAAGCCATCTATATTCAGGGAACAAAAAAACATAATAGCCAGTAAGTGCCCTTAGGAAGAAGAAACAGCACTTGCTTCCATAGAACAAAGTAAATCCAAGGAATGGAGAAGTGGTCTGGATTGTAGTCTAGTGGAGAGTAGTAGATTGGGTTGGGGACCTGACTCCTTGTCCTATCTCTTTTGCTGCTAGCCTCACTTGGCTGTGGATGGCTGCTGCTCAGCCATCTATCAGCCCATGGTATCAGCCTAGATCTGCTCTCTGATCCCCAAAGGCTTAAGGACCAAAAGAATGGCTGGATGGGGCCCTATTGTTACCCCGTTACCCCCTTGTAACCACTGAATCGTGTCTTTCCAGTTTCAGAAGTGGGAGTCTGTACCTACAAGTCTCCTGCGTCCAGCAGTCTGCAGAGGTCATCCTCAGGAACAAGATCTAGACAAAATGGAGAAGGTTGATTTAGTCTCTAGTTCCCCTTTCCTGTCCCTATCCTGGTGTTGTCCTTCCTGATACCCCAACATTCCCTCTGACTTTGCGGCCTTTTCTTCCTCTTTTAAAATACCCAGAATGGTTAAAGTGACTCAAATCAGCTCCATATACTCCTTCTTTCTGAAGTGTGTGCCTTATAACACAGAACAAGGTCAATGTTGGATTAAGCCAAAGGAAGACATCTCAAATTGTAGAATTTTTGTGCATTAAGGTGTAGGTAAGGGAGGAACTCAGGGGAAAGTGGATTTTTCCAGCACCCAAGAAATTATACTATATAAATGGCTAATCCATCTTACCTGCCCTTTAAGAGGCTGATAATACAGTAGTGATTTTCAACCCTGGCAGCATTTTAGAATCTCTGAGAGTTTTTTTTTTTTTTTTTTTTAGAAGGAGTCTCACTCTGTCGCCCAGGCTGGAGTGCAGTGGCAGGATCTCAGCTCACTGCAAGCTCTGCCTCCCAGGTTCACGCCATTCTCCTGCCTCAGCCTCCCCAGTAGCTGGGACTACAGGCGCCCACCACCAAACCTGGCTAATTTTTTTCCTATTTTTAATAGAGGTTGGGTTTCACCATGTTAGCCAGGATGGTCTCGATCTCCTGACCTCGTGATCCGCCCGCCTCGACCTCCCAAAGTGTTGGAATTACAGGCGTGAGCCACCGCGCCCAGCCAAATCTCTGAGAGTTTTAAAGACATATATGATGGCACAGGCCCTGCCCATAAAGATTCTGACTTCACTGATCCAAGTGGAACGTGGGTATTGATATAGTATTTTTAAAGTTTTGCCAGTAATTCTAACAGTGAGCCAGAATTGAAAACTATTTTATGTAGGTGCAAAAGCTCCTGTGCCCTTCCCTCCAGAGACTCTTCTCTCCCATCCCTACCCTGGACTCTAGACCCCTAGCAGGCCTGACAATTCTTCATTTTTCCTTCTCTTCTCACCTCTCTTTCCCTGCTCCACAGGGCTGAGTGGGCAAGTGTGTCTGTGCCCAACAGCCCTGTGATGGACCGGGAGTACTTCCTTGCCTACGAAGGAGTTTCTCTACAGGAGAAGGGTGTGTCCGCAGAGCAGCTGATTTGCCTCTGTGGGCCTGAGCAGGCAGAATGAAGCCTGCAGGGTAGGATAACATGTTCCTTATTCTTTGAGAATGTTCCTTAGGAGATAGACTTGCCAGGGGGATTTTCTGAGCAATTTGATTCCAATTACAACTTATTTCTGCCTCTTTAAGGACCACAAATCAATACAGCAGTTTCTATTTTAAGTCAATGAGCTTGAGCATTGGTACTAATGTTTTATGTGCTGACAAATCTATACATTTACTCAGAGATATTTTCAGAAAACTTTGATCATATCTCTTTTTGCAAATTCTTGAGAAAGGTATGCACATCAAATGGATATTTGAATGAATTAGGTAAAGTTTCCTGGTTCACAGCACTTGATTAATTAATTGTTCCTGCAGAAAACAGAATTCACTTGGGCCAGTTTCTTAATGGTTTCCAATTCTGACTGTACATGGAATCATCTCCAGAGTTTTTTAAAAATTTCTAATTGCCAGGCCCCATCCCAGAGGAAAAAAAAATGTCTGGGAATGGGGCCCACGCAATGGTACTTCTGAACAATGCCCCAGGCCTGGAGATTTCTGTGTGGAGACAGGGTTGGAAGTTGCCACTCCTCAGCAACACTCAGCAGGCTGTGTTGGGGGCAAGCCTACCACTTCAGCAAGTTCACTGGCACCTGTCCCACATAGAATAGGTTGAATCTTCTCAGGGATGTTAGGTTTCATTTTGTTTTGTCTGCTTGGTAAATCCCATAATGTTAAATTTTGAGGAATATTGTTGACCAGAAACAAATGTCAGCAAACCTTTGGGAATGATCTATTTTTCTGTGTTTGGAAAGCTGTTTTCTACTTAATGTCATAGAAACTACCAACATTATTGCTTTTTCTGCCCAAATTTTATTATAAAACTTAGCAAGAAAGAAACTGGCCCATTGTGAGAATGAGACATTTCTTTAGCACTTCTAAAACACAAGAATCCTGAAGCAACACAATCATCTCCCTCTCCACAGCCAGCAGAAGGGCGGGATGTCATATGACCTGACGTGAGATGTGAGTATCAGGAAACTCTGAAATCAGAGATTATTTCTGGGAAGTTTTTTTTTTTTTTTTTTTACCTGTAAGGAACAAGACACGAATTTTCCTTGCCTCTGACATTTAGGACAGCCCTTTAAGTCTCTACATTAAAACTTTGGACATTAGGATCTGAACATTCTGTTTACCAGCCTTGCAGTAAATGTCCTGTACTACCACAACAGAGACTTTTCTTCGGGTAAAGAGGAGAATGTAATCTGGTCACTCCTGATTCCATGGAGGCAGCCAAACAATGTCAGCGCCCATGATAGACTTTATTAGGTGTGCTGGGCAAAGACACAGTTGAATTTAGCTTTCTAGTCTATGCGGACATCTACATACCAGGGGAAGGTAGATGTTTGATGGTTCTTCATTTCACCATCTTTAATCAGAATAATTGTTAAATAATTGCTAAAAATGTTTTTTGACTAACAATGGACAACTTTATTTGATGATAAGATGGGTTTGGGTTCAAACCCTTGCTATGTGACTTTAACCAAGCTACTTCACCTCTCTAAGACTTAGTTTTGTCATATTTAAGAATTTGAGGTAACTCACAACACAGCAATGTTGGAAGTATTGCATGGAGGAATGGGGTCTAGCTTTCAGCAGAACACCTCACGTATGGTAAGCCATCCATAATGACAGTGACAATGGGAATGATGAGTGAATGCACTTTGGGAGGAGCAAGGGACAGGGTTGATGGAAGAGGAAGAAATCAGTCTATTAGGAATCTGCAAGTTTGAAGCAAACATCCAAGCAAAAACAACAAGGAGAAAACATCGTTTTTTAATGGCTATGGTGATAAACAATAGAAAATAGCCGAAATAGCACCTCTCACCAGCAGTGGGATAGAACCCACTCGCATATACATACACATCCACACAGATCCACACGCACACACCACACTCATGTACACGCTCAGCCACATACACTCACTGACATATACACGTATATGTACACAGACTGCATGGTTTGGAAAGCTGTAGAGAGTGAGACCTTTTTAATTATGTGTTTAGCTTAAATATTCAACCTGCCCCAGTCTTACTGTCAGGAGTGTCCGGGGCTCTTTCTGGCACAGTTCTACCCCAGATACAGGTCACTCACTTGACTACACTTTGACTTGACCTTGTAAACAAGCTTCTTCCCCTTCTGAAGTCCATGTGGTTTCTATGGTCTTTTATCTTTTAACCTGTTAAAACACTTTTAAGTTCAGTTTTGTGGTTTTGACATCCCTCTCCCGCTGGAACCTGACAGTGGTTTCCTATTTCTGGTTTATTGCTAAGGAATGATGAGAATTAAAAAGCATTAGAGCAAGGTCACCACAATATAGTAACTAAGAAATCTATCCATGGTGAACATTTCCAAAGAAGGCTTCCTCTCAGGGTGATGTTCTCTTTGTCCTGTCTTAGAAGATGAGCTATAATTCTCTGAATTATTTGCCACATTACTTACTTTATCAAGCATGATATTTCAATCTTCACATCTGCTTGTAATTAAAGAGAAGAGTCTCTGAATGTCACAAGGACACTGGAATACATGCAATGGGACCTGTAAGCTGCTGCAGGAAGATTTTGGTAGAATTTCCCTTGATTCTCAAAAAACAAAACAATGTCTTACTAATACATTTTCCCTGTGAGTGCTGGTAACCTACAGCTGGGCCAACTTGTTAACACGGGTCTCTGTTTAACCAGATGATATTTGTTCTAGTTTTTAAGAATCAAGCCTATCTCCAGAGAGTTCAAGTGCAATAAAAGAGAAGATGAGAGGGTAGAACTGATTTCTAATCTCAGAAATGCTTGGTAATCTGGATTAGGAACAAGTCAAACATACCCAAATGAAAGATGATAGTGTTACCAACAGAGGAGTCATTTGAAAAGTGCTTATGCTCATGAATTCTCAAAGTGTGAAGATCCATCTTTGTGGACCCTGTGTGCCTATTGTGTACCCACACTACTTCTTAATGGATTTAGCATGGATGAAATCTATGAAAACATTTCTAAATATCAAGTGGAGGCAAGCACAGGTGAAGGCAAGGTAGAATGTAGTAAAGGCCAACCTGGTACATTTGCATGATGCAAATGTACGGATGCAGGCCTCAGCAGAAGTATCCATGGAAACAAACTTTCTGGGGCTCTGAAGGAGCTGTGGATGGAAGCATATTCAGTCCTCACAGAACCAAATGAGTACCAGTTTATGGTTCAGAAAGCCAAGAATTCAATATAGAAGCACATCAAGGGAAGAAGATATAGGGGCCTACAGTAACCCATTTTCTCTATTCATTTAAACATAACTCCACACATCATAAGGAAAATGTACAAGAAAATTTATGAAGCTATATGAAATCCAGTCTAAGGGGAAAAAAATTCTAAGAAAAAGGTACTTTTATTTTAAACTGAACGATTCCAAAATGTCTCTTGCCCAAAAGACAAATGAGGTAACTCAGAAGATAAGCATCCTCAGAGATTAGAAGTGTGCAGCAAACAGCTAAATCAAACAATTATAATCTGTAATTTTCTAAGATTTTTCAGATTAAGATAATAAACATATTGATCAAGAAATAAACATCCCACTAACATGCCAATTACATTCTCCTTCCTAAGGACACAATGCAATACATGAAGAAATGGCTACTATGCAATATGATAGGAAATATTTTCAAACTCACAAAATAATCGCAAAAACTTAAAAACAGAAGGAAATAATACCAATAATTAGGCTTATGAAATCATACTGTTGCTCTTCTGATCTAGTCTTATTCCTCCAAGCAGCAGGGCTCCTAAACCATGTAATTATGTGGTGAACAAATGGCATAACAACTTTAAATATAGCCTGTTTCTATTCAGTGTAAAATGTCTGGAGATAAATTTAATGCCTTCTCTTCTGTTTTTTGTTGCCTGTAATCCTACAACATGACCAAGTTTTATCTTCAAGGTCCTCTGCTTTATTTTTCCTTCAGACAGGACACTGATTCATTATTTGTTCACTCATTCAACATTCAACACACACTATGTGGCAGGCTCCACTGGCCTGAATGATCATGTTCTCTACTAGATAACCCCAGACCCTTTCCTTAACTACAGCTCATTGGACCTGATGTGAGAACTGACCCAAAGATGGTGGCTCCATTTGCTTCTAAAACTTACGGCTTGTGAGGCTTGGCTAAAAACTAGGTAGAGCCGATCTTCCCTGGGAATTTGGAGCCTGAAGTCCTTGGCTAATCAGCAGATGAGGGTCAGAAACATAACTATAAAAGGTTTCATGATGTAACAAGGACTGGATCAGCCCCTCTAAGTTATGTACAAGCTGAATAAGAGGTAGGCAGAGATGAAGATGGATCATAGACACAGAGAGTAGCAGAGACCCCATAACCCTGAAGCCCCCACAGAGATAGAGTAACCTCAATTCCTGATAGCTATACAATTTTAGGTCCCAGGACCTGGTTACATAATGAATCTAATTTTTGATTTCTATCACCCTTACTATATCTTTGTAAAAATTTAAGTTCTTAAGCTAGCTTAGGTGGGTTTCTGTTCCTTGAAACAAAAGAGCCCTGACAGGAACACTGCCTGATTACATATGTCCTGAAGAATATGGCTGAGTCCATGAATATGTGAAAGAGGCATTTCAGTACAGGTTAATTGGAAGTTGGGCTCACTCTTTTCAGCTAGCCATTGTCACCTTTATAATGATGTCCATTTTAACATCTATACTTGTAGTAAACCCAGCTATCCATTTATATGTAAAAATTGAATTTGCTATCCCATCATGCTAGGTACAATTTTGAACACACTACATATACAATATGTAGCAACTTATGGTTGAAACTTATCTTACTGGCAAGTCTGAAGTAAGAGTTGGGTAAGAAACCAAAGTCCCTATGACTGTTACTGTGAACATAACACTATATGTTTAAAACCTCTTCTACACTATTTCCTTTCCAAAATATAAACCTAGAACTTCTGCTATGCATCTGTGAGGTTATAGTCTTAAACTTCTGTTTCATCCCTCTATGACATACTTTAGATCATGAAACATGTTCTTTCATCTTGTTGAACATGTCATTATAATGTCTATTTTGCAGTAAATCTGAACCAATAAAAACTTCTAGAGTGAAATAATTCTTCAAGATTCTAATGTCATTTTTAAACTCAAAAATGGGTATATCTACAGTCCAGGAATATGTGGATGATCTGTGTTTTAGAAAACTAAATTGTGTTCTTCCTCTTTATATAAAATAAGTGGTAATATTTTAATAACATGGACACATCAGTTGAGTTTGCGTTGTTTCCCTGGAATTAAAAAAATTAGTCATTATATCAGTGTTTACAAATGAGCCCTAATGGTAAAAATAAAATATGTACGTAGTTTAATAGTGATGAGTTAATTGCAGCTCATGAGATACTTTTTATACATATTTATAAAAGGAAGCATCTTCCATAATACAAAACAAAGCAGTTAGAAAAATTAATTGGAAAACGCAACCAATAAATGTTTGTCAAATAGGGAAAAGTTTTTGTGGTCAAGAAAACCACATAGATAAGAAAAGTGTTAACAAAATGCTGGGTAGAAGAAAGATAGATGAATTCATGGTAGCTCTGACTACCGCAATATAATATATACATGGAAATGTAAAGGACATAAACTAACCAAAGCAATCTTGAAAAGTAGAACAAAGCAGGAGGACTTAGCAATATCTGATTTCAAGGATTACTATACTATTGTAATCAAGAGAGTATGGTGCCACTGTAAAGCTCAATGAAATAGAATAGAGAATTCAGAAATAGACTATGAATATTCGGTCAATTGATTTTTGATTAAGCATTTTCAACAAATGCTACAGGAACAATTGGATATATATATAGGAAAAAAATTAACCTCAACTCTTACCTCCTACCATACATAAAAATTAACTTGAATGGATTATAAACCTAAATGTAAATAATTAAAGCCATACAATTTATTTTTTTAAAAAAGCATAGAAAAAAATCTTTATGACACTGGTATGGGAAAGATTTCTTGGAATTCGAAAAGCACAAGCCATAAAAGTAAAAATTGTTCATTGAATTTCATCAAAAGAATTATTTCTGCTCTTAAATAGACACCATTAAAATATGAAATAACCAAGTCATAAGCTAAGAGGATATATTCACAATACATACATCTGATAAAAATCTTGTATTCAGGATATATTAAGAATTCTTAAAATTTAGGAATAAAAAGACAAACAGTTCAATTAAAATAAACAGGGAGAAGATTTAAACTGACATTTCACACACAAAAATATGAATGGCCAATAAACACATAAAAATATGTTTAAAATCATTAGTCATCAGTGAAATATAAGTTAAAACCATGAGATACCACTTCATACCCACTAAAATGGCTAATATTAAAAAGACTGAAAATCTTGGAAATGATGTGGAAGAACTAGAACTCTCATAAATTGCTGGTGGGAAAGTAAAAGTGGTGTAGCAAAACCAGCAGTTTCCTACAAAATGAAATGTACGCTTACCACACGACCCAGCAATTCCACTCAGAGATAGTTACTCAAAAGAAATAAAAACATGTTCTCATAAAAACTTGTCTGTAAATGTTTCTAGAAACTTCATTCAAAAAAGCCAATAATTAGAAATAACCCATATATACATCATATGAATAGACAACCTGCAGTATGTCTATACACTGAAATATTGTACAGCCATCTAAAGGGCAACAACATGGAGGAAGCTCAAAAACCTTATACAGTTGAAAGAAGCCAGAAATATAATATTCCATTTATATGAGATTATAGAAAGAACAAAACTAATCTATAGTGAGTAAAAGCAAATCAGTGGTTACCTGGGGTTCTGTGGTCGTGTGTGTGTGTGTGTGTGTGTCGGTGTGTGTGTGTGTAGGGAGTGTGGTTGACTGGCAAGGTACACAGAGAATTTGGGGATTAATAAGAACATTCTATATTTTGCTGGTTATGGTGGTCCTATAGATCTATGCATTGAATATGTGAAGAAGGAAAACCCATCTTAGAGTTATGACTGAAAATCTTTTGACCAAACTAGCAAAATTTAACTATACAGAGAAAGTTCAGCTAAATGACCTGTGTGTGCGTCTACTTGGAAGGAGCATCCAAGTTCCACTGTCTCAACAAGAAACTGATCCACTGATTATCCAGATCTTGTGGCTTATTTTGGCTAAGGAGGTGTTCTTTTTCTTTTTGGCCTGGTAATGTGTCTCTAACCCTAGGAATATGTTAACATTATATTCTTAAAACCTTTGGAAAATATCAAAATTAACATAACTAAAATGCCAGTCTCATATAGAAACTAACATATAAAAAAGAAGCGACTTTAAACCCATAGTGTTGGTGTTTTAGAATAAATTTATATATAACTGTATTCATTTGTGCATATTTGTCTGATTTTTAAAATATTTAATTTATGCAAACTATTCAGCAATACCAGTATTTTAGTTGTTTAAACTGTTTCAGGAAATTTAATTGATTAAATTTGTCATTAATGACCAGATGCTTCAGGAAAAGTTTCTAAAGTTTTTATCTGATGTAAGAATTTAATAATTCTTCCACTCAAAGTGTTATGTGGTTAAATGTCTTTACATCTTTATACAAGGTACACAAAACCATCTTGCCGTAATTAAAGAACTACGGTTGACTCTTGAATAGTCTTGAAGTATGCAGGTATACTTATACAACACTTTTCTTTCGGCTCTGCCACCACTCCTCTTCCTCTTCCTCCTCAGCCTGCTCAACATGAAGACTACAAGAATGAAGACCTTTATAATGGTCCATTTCCATTTAATGAGTAGTAAATATATTTTCTCTTCCTTATTGTTTTCTTAATAACATTCTCTTTCCTCTAGCTTACCTTATTGTAAGAATACAGTATATAATACACATAACACACAAAATATATGTTCACTAACTGTTTATGTTATCAGTAAGGCTTCCAGTCAACAGTAGGATATTCATAGTTAAGTTTTGGGGAAGTCGAAAGTTATATGTGAATTTTTGGCTGCATAGTGGGAGGCAGTACCTCTAACCTCTGCATTGTCAAGGGTCAACTGTACTATACGCGGCTCCCCATGAAGCATCAAAGAATCTGGGATCCAGCATTTTCCTAGGAAAGGACTTGTCATTTGCATAGTTAGGCTCATCTCAATTTCAAGGAACAGAAAAGGTTTAGGCAAATAAAGAAATAAATTATGGGCAGCGTCTCAGCAGCCACATGCTTTTAAGCACTTCTGAGGCTGAAATATATAGCCATGACTTGACCAAGAATTGTGGGCACCCTGTTGTCATAGTTTGGGTTTACCCCAAACACAAAGCCTGAGCAGAAATTCAGGTGCAATGATTTACAAAAGACCAATAAGGGAGTGGGGAAGCAGGATAGGAAAGGGGAAGAAGCTAAGTAAGTGATTTTAGCCTAATCTCAAGGGCATCACAAGCTTGAGATGAAGGAACTGGACTTATATCCCACCCCGGTACATGTAGGCTACAAGCCACCCTGGAAGGACAAAGGTCGAGGGAGGCTTGAGAAGAAAAGAATGGGAAATTTCAGAAGAATGGCAGCTCCAGTGGCTCCAGTGGCCAAGGGCAGTTGTAAGTGACAGTTGTTAGGGACAAAGCCCAGCAGTTTGAGGGATGCACTCACAGAGCTAGTGATCCGGGTGGGATGGCAACACTGCCCACTGCACTCGTGCGGTCTAATAATGTCACCCCTTCAACCCAATATTCTCCAATACCAGGAGACATGCTAAGAATTACTTGGAAAAAAAGATAGAAAGGACAGACTTGAGTGGCAGGGCTTAATCAATTTTCCAAAGAAAACCAATTTTCCAAAGAAATTCAAGTTTGACTCCAAAATGCAAAATTCATCCAGGAAAGAGAAACATCCCCCAAATAAAAGCCTATAGATAAGAGATTTTTCCTTCTTCAACGTGAGTTTAGGAATTATGTGAATACAATGTCTAAGAGACATTGATATCCCTTGAGATGGATCTCCCCGTACCTTAAAAACCTTTTTCAAGAATTCCTTTCAACCAAATATAATACTCTTTCTGAGAGAAGTTCTAGCGAGTACATCTTGTTACAGTTTTAGGGCTGTTTTAGCATCCCTTATAGATTGGTGCCACAGGCAACTACCCAGTGGGCCCCCTTTCATACAACTCAATATAGCAAACCTAAAAGTGGATTAGAACAGTGGGACATCATCTATTGGCTGTCCATATACCTAACTTCATCACCTCCTTCAAGTGTTTGCTCAAACATCTTCTTAGTATGACCTGCTCTGAATACTCTGTTTAAAATTGCAAGCCCCCACCTATCAGCATTATGAATTCTCTTGATCCCCCCTTACCAAACTCTACCTTTCTTATCCATAGAATACTTACCACCTTCTAAGTGATAGTGCTATTAATCTATTATATCAATATCTTATTGTCTGTTCCTGTCCCCATTAAAAAGAAACTACATGAAGTTAGGGCTTCATTTATTATGTATTTCAAGCATCTGGAACAGTGTCCAGGGCACAGTCAGTGCTCAAAAAATATTTACTACTTTAGTAATCCTACAGTTTAAGTGACTCAGATAACCTGTTGTTCTCTAAGAAGCATGAGCCCTTTGTTCCCAGTGTTGGTGATTCAACCATTCTCATAATTTAGCCACAGCTCATGGCTGAATAGGTGTGATCAGTTATCATTGATTTGAAACATCTCTAGGGGATATGCTTCTCAAGACAAACCAACGGTTTCCTATGTGTGTGCTTAAATGGTGTTTCCTAAGGTATAGATCCATGCACCAATCAACTGTGGCCACCATAACAGGACTACAGGACATGACACATAACAACTTTTGCAGAACAAATGTCCTGTGGTGACCTTTTCCCATGCCACAGGGTCTGTGGGTATAGACTGGTGTAGTATGAACTGGCCAATGCCGTTTAAGCTAGTCATGAGCCCTTTTCCATTGTGCTGAATTTTTGCAACAATTCATTTTCTTTTCCATCTAAATGAGGTCAGTGGGAAAAGTTCATACTTGGGCTGCTCCTGAAATGTTCATTTTAAAATAAATATGTATGTAAATATATGTGGATATTAACTGATGACTTCAGGGCTTTGGCCCTCTGTCAATTGACTCTCAATGTTACCTGTTTCAGAAACCCTTAAGAAAAGTCATATCTTATGACAGAGTTGCTGGCAAGGAAAACAGCCCAGAAGAGAGGTTTGGAGTTTAGTAGAAAACTGCAATTGTATCTAAGTAAACATGTTTATAGATTACTGTCTAAATGTGGGATTAAAAAGTGATGTGGATATAGTAATTCCTTTGACTTCCACAAGTCCATAAAAATTAGAAAGGAATAAAATAAAATTTAATGTTGTGGAAAGAACTGTATACCAGTATTCTCACTTAGCTCTGTCTCTAAGAAATTATGCAACACTGGCTAAATAATTTAACCTCTCCAGGACCCCATTCACACATCTTTAAAACAATAGGGCTGGAAGAGAGAGCCTCTAAGGCTTGCCAGTCATGACCACTTAGAATTCTGGATTCAAAGTACTTGGGCAAACAGTCTGCTAAACTCCCCCAAATCCATCACCTACTCAGTAAGTACATTTTCCACAGATAGCATTTTGAAACCACTACACACATTTTACATTTTAAAAGCTCTATTCATGCAGAAACTAAAGAAATAATATTTACAAAATCAATTTCTGTTATTATCTGGCATTGTTTTATGCCATGTAGACTATTTTAACCACTTAAGAAAGATACTCTTTTATCCATAAAATATTAGATGTGGTACTAATCCATTGTAAACTAAATGCAGGCCATTTAGTTTACACAGGGCCACAGATAATCCTGCAAGTACAAGGTTACTGCATTATGCTGAGAGAAATAGATTATACAGCACAGTGCACTGCCTGTATGATTAGGTCATAAAATTCATGAGTTTTGTATTGCTTTGCAACAAGAATTGTTAGTCTTTTAACTAGAATCCTGCCATGTGCACCCTATAGTGCTGCAGACTTTGTTCAGTGGCTACTGTTCAACTGTCCTTTGCCCATGATATCAGTAAAACATACAGAAGTTTATCTACTATTTATTTAGTAAAATGGTTCATTCTTTTGGTTTCTCTCTGGGACTAGACTGAGTATGCCATCAGAGAACTCATAACTCTTGTATCCTGATAATACAGCAGTTTGTCTCCAACCCTAAATCAGCTGTAGAATGATAGAACACAAACTTGGTGTCCAGCTTGTCTAAATCCATCATTTAACACCTGGGCAACCTTTTAGATGAAGTGACAAGTTATAATGTCATTTTTTAAAAGCCTACAGAAATAGTAACAAGTATTAATACAGCCCTTATATGTGCCAAGCACTGTTTTAAGGGTTGTACATGTACTAATTTACTTAGTCCGTTCTTCAACCTGATAGTTAACAATCCTGAGGGGCGTGCTATTTATATCCTGTTTTACATATGTGGAAACTGAAGAAAGAGGTGCTAAGTAACCTGGTTAAGAACACACAGCTAGTATGTGAAAGGGCCAGTATTTGAACCCAAACAGTTTGTCTCCACATATAAACATATATGTATGTATTAGAAGAGAAATAGACTCCCAGTAAATAAAAGGCTTTTTACTAGAATTTAAACACACAAATATTCGCATTTCACTCATTTGCACTTCTACACCAAAAATAACAATCTGCTTTCATGGGTGAGTTTTCTTTTGTTGAATCATGAACATTATGCTGGAGAATTACGGTGGGTCTGAACTTATTACCAGCATGGCACACTGGGAACTCAGTTTGGATTTACAACATGCTCATCACACGTCATGTCAAATAGAAGCATTGACAGCTAACTTTCTGGCTTTTAGTAAGACTAATTATATAGGTTTAGTCTGCTCTAGGATTCAGTGAATGAATTTAACATAAGAAATATGCTATTTGGCACAAAGTAAGTAGATTTAAATTTGTATCATGATTCAAAGGAATGAGGAGAAAGAAAGCAAATCCTGAACCTCTTTATAAAATTTTAAGGAAGGAATAATTAAGAAGCAAAATTAAGCTAGTAGAATCTCTTTTATACAAGCTGACCTTCAGAATAAAGTCAGCTTAAATTATTTTGCCCTCTACCAAGGGTGAGTTTCTCCTTAATTCTTTTCCCTTTAAATATCTTCACAGTGATGGTTGTTGTAACGGTTAATTTTATGTGTCAAATTGACTGGGCCATGAGATGCCCTGATATCTGATTAGACATTATTTCTGGGTATGTCTGTGAGGGTGTTTCTGAAAGAGATTAGCATTTGGACTGATGGACTGAGTAAATCAGGTGGCCCTCCCCAACCAGTTGAGGAGCTAAACAGAGTAAAAAGGTGGAGGAAGGTTGATTTACTCTCTCTCTGCCTGACTGAGCTGGAACACGAATCTTTGGCCCTTAGCGTTCCTGGTTCTCGGACCTTCAGACTCCAACTGGAATCTATACTACCAACTTTCTGGCTCTCAGGCCTTTGAAATACACCACCAGCTTTCCTAGGTCTCCAGCTTGCAGATACCAAATTTTTGGACTTCTCAGCCTCCATGGTCACATGAGCCAATTCTTTGTAATCTGTCTCTCAATCTCTCTCTCTCTCTCTCTCTCTCTATATATATATATATATATATATATATGGAACATATATATTTATTTATATTTATGGAATAGATAAATATGGAATAGATGTATATCTCTCCTATTGGTTTTGTTTCTTTGGAGAACCCTAATAAATTTGCCATTGTTCTTAGAGATTTTTATCATTTCTAGTAAGCGTAGGTACTTTACATACATTGCTTCTTATTTCTTTTTTTTTTTCTTTTTTTTGAGATGGAGTCTTGCTCTGTTGCCCAGGTTGGAGTAGAGTGGCGCTATCTCCGCTGACTGCAAGCTCCACCTCCCGGATTCACACCATTCTCCTGCCTCAGCCTCCTGAGTAGCTGGGAATACAGGTACCTGCCACCACACCTGGCTAATGTTTTTGTATTTTTAGTAGAGACAGGGTTTCACCGTGTTAGCCAGGATGGTCTCGATCTCCTGACCTCGTGATCCGCCCGCCTCGGCCCCCCAAAGTGCTGGGATAACAGGCGTAAGCCACCGCACCCGGCCCATTGCTTCTTATTTCTAATCCTTACTATGATACCGCAAATTATTGCTATCCCCATTTTCAGTGTAAGAACTCGAGGTTCTAAGACAAAGTAACTTGCCTAAGGTTATACCACCATTCTTCAGGATGGCAGAGTTTATCATTATTAATATCCAAACCTAACTGCACAATGAGGTATCACCTCATACTCATCAGGGTGCCCACTATTTAAAAAAGAAGAAGAAAAGAAGTATTGGTGACAATACGGAGAAACTGGAAACCTTGTGCACTGTTGGTAGGAACGTGAAATCGTGCAGCCACTATAGGAGATTAAATGGCAGTTTCTAAAATAATTAAAAATAGAATTACCATATGATCCAACAATTTCACTTATGGGTATACACCCAAAAGAATTAAAAGCAGGGCTCAAAGAGCTGTTTGTATATTCCTGTCCGTTATAGCACTATCATGATAGCTGAAAGGTAAAAGCAGTTAGTGTCCACTGATAGATTAATGGATAAACAAAATGCGGCATATACAAACAATAGAATATAAATTTAGCCTTAAAAAGGAAAAAAAATTCTGACACATGCTACAACATGAGTGGACCTTAGGGTCACTACACTAGGTGAAATAAGCCAGTCACAAAAAGAAAATGCTGTATATATGATTCCACTTTCCTGAGATACTTAGAGTAGTCAAATTTATAGACATAGAGTAAAATGGTGCTTGCCAAGGGCTGGTGGGGGAAGGAATGGGAAGCTGTCGAATGGGTATAGAATTTCAGTTTTACAAAAAGAAGAGAGCTCTGCAGAAGATTTGCACAACAATGTAAATGTACTTAACACTACAGAGCTGTACAGTTGATAAAGGTTAAGATGGTAAATTTTGTGTATATTTTACCACAATTAAAAATTAGAAAGAAAACTAACTTTACTCAGAATGCATTACATGTGTCAAGCCGTGACACTGGCCATTTAATCCTTACAGTAATCCCATAAGGTAGGTATTATTATTCCTTTTCTACTGGTGAGGGTTGTGGTAGGCTGAATAATGACTCATAAAGATGTCAGTGTTCAAATCCTCAGAGCCTGTGAATATGCGCACTTTATAGATGTGATTAGCTAAGGACCTTGAGATGGGGAGACTAAACTGGATTTCCTGAGTGGGCCCAATGTAATCAGAAGTGTCCATATAAGAGGGAAATAGGAAAGATTTGATCATAAGAGAGGAGTCTGAGAGTGATGCAGCGTGAGAAAGACTTAACTAGTCACAGCTAGCCTTGAAGATGGCAAAAGGGGCCACAAACCAAGGAAAGCCTATGGTAGGAAAGTCAAGGAAATGAATTCTCCCCTAGTTTCTCCAGAAGAAACACAGCCCTGCTTATTTATTTTAGGACTTTCAGTCTCCAGAACTGCAAGATGATAAATCTGTGTTGTTTTAAGTCACCAAGTTTATTATAATTTTACAGCAGCAATAGGAAACTAATTCAAGAGCTTCTATAACATGTTCAATATCATATAATTACTAAATTTTACACTTAAGATGCCAATTCAGATCTATCCAACTACAGAAGCTTGAGTTCTCAACCAGTGAGTCTATGACAGAGTCAGTCAAATGAACTGCGTGGTACAATGAAATAAGAATGTGTTCATACCAATCATATGGTGATATCCGCCTTACACTTACTCATATATACATTCCTCTTCTTAAGAGTTCTCAGAATGTTTGACACTAACTTTTCAATTATTTGAAATTGATGTTAAGTAGCACCCACTGGGTAGAAGACTGAAATATAAAAATTAATATTTCTGCCAAATGTCATCTATACAAAAATTTTAACTGAAAATAGATTACTTTCTTATTGGAATATTTTTCTGGAAATAATTGCTTGAATTAAAGATAGGAAAAAATATCTGACAAAGAGGAGTTGCAAACATACCCTAATACTGCAAAAAAGTCAGATTGTCATCACCCTGAGAGATTTTCACTTATAACTTTAAAGCATCATTATTGTTTTCATTATTACATAACAATGTTCCCTGTTTCCTAATTTTTTCACTGAGGTATTATTGCATATAGTAATAGATCCTAAGTTTACAATCTGATGAATTTTGACTTAGATAGCCAATATCCCAGTCTAGATAGAACATTTTCATCATCAAATGATAACAAGGAAAGAGGCACCCTCTTCTCATGCCCCTTTCCAGTTTTGATCTTCAGGAAACTATTTATGATCAGATTGTAAGCAACCCATTTCTTACCCCCTAAGCCATAATTCCGCTATGCCCATAACTGATCATGCACATATTTGGAATAGAAATTAGGGTTATATTATATATGGTACACAAAGGGAATACTTATTCACCTTTCAATATGTCATTTCATGCTCTCCATAGTTCAGCCCCTACCTGCCTCCATAATTTTGGTCCCCTCCTTTGAGTTTTCTTCTTCAATTGTATGCTCCTATGCCCAGCATAACCTCCTCCCCTCCCTATAAATCTACATAATACCTATTCCTCTTTTAATATTGAAACTGCCTTTGCAAAATTATGACAGTAAGAGAAATCTGACATAGTTAACTCCATCTTGCTTCTAACCTCCAAGCTGTCCTTGGTCATTCCTGGGTGTGGGCCAAACTCACTTTGGGAGGAATTTAGCCTATAGTTTAACCTTAAAGCAAGGATGATAATAGCTCTTCCCAAAATTAAACCACCTTTGTAAAACTAGTGAAAGGCCAGAAGGTTAGAATTATGAAAGGAGCCTTAGTGCTGCTAAGATATACTTAAACACTAACCAGCCATTTCTCTGGAGGTCACAAGACTTGTAACCTCCCCCAGTTACTCCTGTAGATAATATCACTATTGTAGAACCTAAAATTGGCCTTTTAAGATTTTTTTTTCAGACTTTTGCATTTCTAATGACCAGCTGACTCAAGACTCACATAGTCCTGTGGCCCCCACTGAGAGGTTGACTCAGTGCACCAGGATCATTTTCCACACCCCTATTATTTCATCCCCAACCAATAAGCATTCTCCATTCTCTAGCCACCTGCCCACCAAACTATTCTTGAAAAAACCCTAACCTCTGGGCCTTTCAGGAGACTGATTTAAGTAATAACTCTATCTTCCACATGGTTGGCTTCACGTCCATTAAACACTTTCTTTACTGCAATACCACAGTCTCAGTGAACTGGTTTTGTCTGTGCAGTGGACAGGAAGAATCCATCAGGTGATTACAGTGACAATTCAAGGGCTACTTCTTTATTGAAACGTTTCCTGAAGTCTTCCCCAATCGATGAAGAATTACCTCCTCCTTTTTGTCCCCAGTGTGTCTTAATCACTATGCTCAAATAAAATCCAATATTGCATTTCTTTATACGTGTTAGGCCATAAAAGAGGGTTGCAAATCAAATGCCTTCATGACCGAGAGAGGCATAAGTGAGTGAAGCAGCTAGAATTAATATAATATGGAATGGTGAGAGTGTAGCAAAGTAGAAAGTGCATACCACTACCTATAGCATGCAAATAAATTTATTTTAGAACAAACAAAAACTGAAAAGTCTGGGAGCGAAAAACTTATGACACTATCTTTTTTAAATGTAAGCCACTAAAGTTGGTGTATACTCTTCAAGATGGAAGGGGACAAATACTAGCGACCAGCCAAGGTTTAAAGAAGTCTGTATGTTGAAGAGTTTCCCAGCTCAATCCCAGTCTAGCCCACTCTATTGCTTGTGAGAGTAAACCACAACTAATTGCCTTTACTTAAAGTTCTAAGTATTATCCGAGAAAACAGGAAACAATTTTCATCCCAATACCTAATTATGCACAGATTAATTTTACTTTCATAGAGAAAGTCAAAGATATGATTTCTCAAAAATGCAATATTACTCTGTTTGACATCATACAACAGCTTTTTCTCATTAAGCATTAAACTTGGGATTTTAAAGTATCTACAACATGTTCACATTTTATAGGCAACTATTGTATATCCTGTGTTTAATTGGGATCTAAATTTATGACATATTGTCAGATAATTTCCTCACTAGTGCCCACAAATAGTCTCTTACAATGTTTATTCGTTTTGACAGCATTGCTTTCTTGGATCTTTTCACTTTCTTTGTAAGGGGTCTTGCTTCAAACTACATTTTATGAAGTATGTGCTAAGAAAGAAACACAAGCCAAAAGTTTGAGCAATGCCACTAGTTAGATGTTGCATTGAGGAAATCAAGTCTCAGAACTTCCAAGGGAAATGTGGAATGAAGAACAAACTGTTTTGGTAAACTCTCTTTAATCCTCTAAAAGACTATAATGAGTGATTTTTGTTAGAATTTTAGATGATGCTGATGTCATCTGAAACATCTACTTAGGTAGGCAACACAGTGCAGATATTAATGTAACAGACTCTGAAGTCAGAGGCCTCAGGTCAAATCCAAGGTCACTTAATCACTTGATTCTCAGTTCCTCATCTATAAATTTGAATTTATCACCAAAACTATGATAGGAATACTAGCTACCTGTTAGGCATGTTAAAAAGTGCAAGTAACATAATTTGCAAAGTGCTTAGCATCACTTGACACATGGTAGGTGATATGGTTAGGCTTTGTGTCCCCACCCAAATCTCATCTTGAATTGTAATCCCCATAATCCACATATGTCAAGGGACAGACCAGGTGGAGATAATTGAATCGTGAGGGCAGTTTCCCCCATGCTGTCCTCATGATAGTGAGTGAGTTCTCACAAGATCTGATGGTTTTATAAGGGGCTCTTCCCCCTTTGCTCAGCACTTCTCCTTCCTGCTGCCTTGTGAAGAAGGTGCCTTGCTTCCTCTTTGCGTTCTGCCATGATTGTAAGTTTCCTAAGATATCCCCAGTCTTGCTGAACTGTGTGTCAAACCTCTTTTCTTTATAAATTACCCAGTCTCAGGCTGTTCTTTATAGCAGTATGAAAATGGAGTAATATAGTAGGACCCAAGAAATTATAACATGTACTATTGCTATTTACCTGGAATTATCAATAAGTTAGATGACATTTAATTATTTTTGGTAATAAAGAAGTTTGCGTACTATTGTTTTTCATACTGATTGTTTAAAAGCTTCAACATCTGTTTTGTACACATACACAACCAGATATTTGTAAACAATTTTTATAATAAGCCTATAGTATAAAAAAGGATAATTCTACCTAGAGTTATCATGAGGAGGGAATGATCTTTTATGCAAACCTCCATCAGTAGTGTCGGAAACTAGCAGGAAACTACAGTGTAATTACTACACATACAAGGCTCTGCATTCTTATTCAATTACTGCCTTCGCAGGCCTTTTATATTTTTACTCAAGCATAGTAAAGACAATATGGCATATTCAATCTCTACTTGGATAATTATAAATAATTAAATTTAATTAAGCCCTAATTATGCATAATGAAAAAAAAACTAGCATTTCCCTGGGATGTTCATGCAATCCCATGACTAGCTTGGCTAACTGTACACTGCAGCACAAAACTTGAAAATTATTAAGAAACCTAAAAAGCAGCAGATACCGCTAATTTAAGATGTGTCCTGGAACAAGCCGCTCAATTTCTGTGGGACTTAGCTTCCTCACCTACATAGCCCTGGGTGGAATTAATTCTTTCCAAGACGTCTTCCAGACTTCAGAGTCTGTGTTTATATGATTATCTAGTCTACCTTTTTCTTATCTCAACACAACTTAAGGAAAGCAGCACAATCCCATCTTTAGTGGTGGCAGAGATCCTCAAATGACGTGATAGGTGCCCCCTACTGGAGTGTCTCAGAATTGCTAGTGTGGTGGGAAGGAGGAATTTGTAGATTGAAAAACAAATAAACAAACAAAAAAAACCCGCCAAAGGAAAGTAAAGTGGGGTTTTACTTCTGTTGTCCCTATTGACTAAAGTATTCCAACCATCCAAATACTAAATTTTAAAAATTATTATATTTAGAAAGCCTTGTGGGGGCCAAGAGAGACTTCCCCTTTGCCCTCTGGGGAGTTGCTGAAAAATCAACTCACAAAAGGCAGATTAACTGGAGAAAAGGCACACATATTTATTTAATGTGCACATAGGGAGAATCACTGAGGGATGCCCACCATCCCAAATGGTTCAGAAGCTTAGATACTGCCTTGGCAGAACAGGTTACCCGAGAGGGGCAAAGAGAAATTCTGTTGAGGGGATTACTAGGGAGAATGAATGTCTCAGGGAACAGAAATTAGCTTGTCCATTATCTTGTGAAAGGGTCTGTTCAGGCATCATTGCATTCTTGGTTTTACAGGGAGAAGAAAAAACAATTGTTCCTTTTGGTGGGCCTGGATCTTAGGCAGATAAAGGTTTTGGGAGAGACGGTGGGTGGAGGAGGGCACTTACATGAGGTTTCTGCAGTTCAGCATGTCAAAACACATTTGGAGTTACTGATTTCTGAGCCCTAACAATCTCTAATCCAGGGATCATAGAAAAGCGGCCCTCAAACCATAAACAGTCTATATATGTGTTTTATACGGTCAATGTTCTTAAAATATTGGAATTTGTCACCAAAACTTACAACCCAAGAGAATTCACAAAATCCGAATTTCTGGTTTGCTTTGAAAATTCAGAGGACCAGGCTACAGTAGGCTCACCTTCTTGCAGCATGATAATGGTTGTAGCTGAGTAGCATTTGACTCCCTGACTACCATTCTCAATGGCCTCTTTAGCATTTGTCACTATGTGTTTCTCTCTTTTTCTTCTAGTAGAGAAACATTTTTCTGTATCTCAGCTCTATCAAAGGTAGGGAATCTAAAGACAAACCATGTTTCTTATGCCATCCGATTTCATTCATTCATCATCAGTGTCTCATATTTGACTCACCACTACTGTTTCCCACAAATTGGCCAGTCAAATAACAGGGAACTTATTTTCTGCTTTGTCACTTTGAGAAATATCGATTTGACCAGTTTTTACTCTTACTCTTTTTATTCATTTACTCTCAGGATGATTGCCAGATTTTCCCTTTCTCTGAAGCTCATTTATTTTAATAAAGTATAATATACTTTATTACTAATTTACATTCCCAGAAAATATATGTACTATATAATATAATATATAAATATACATTAAATATACAATGTAGGTATATATTACATTTATATATTATAATACATAGTATATATAATACTTATAATATATAACATTATATTTTCTATAATATATACATAATATATGTATAAAATAGAAAAAAAGATCCACAACAGACACAAATACTGTCAGTCACACATAAAAAAATGAGCAAAACTTCCTATCAATTATAAAATGTTTCTGAAAAATATAAAAAGTATCTAAGTATAAGGAACAATATGCCATATTCATTAATAGGAAGATGCAATAATACAAAGATATCATTATCCTAGCATTCATTTATAACATCAGTAAAATGCTTAAAAATTTTTGAATTTTTTTCCATGAAACTTAATAAGCTGATTCTAAATTTATATGTAATTCCAAAAGGGTCAAATCTATTCAAGAGAATTTTCAAGAAGAAGAGGTAAAAAGACTTATCCTAAAAATTACAGGACTTTAAGCTATGGAAGTTAAGATGGTAAGGTATTGTGACAAGAATAAAGAGACCAAACATAAATCTACATGTATGTACCCCTAATTCAACAATGTAACTACACTTAGTCTCTAAATACCATTTCCTACTAAAATGAACAAAGGCTCCTTGGAGAAAGAGCTGATTCCAGATCTGGAAACATAATTTACAGAATTGTCAGAAATATTTTGTCACTTTCAAGAGCAAGGAAGCTCTCCAAACTACCAGGGTCATGACAAAAGGACTTAGGAGCCAACTTAAAGAGGCTCCCAGTGGCCAAAAATAAGCATCAATAAGAATAATAACCAAAAAAAAATTACGGTATTGAGGTATATATGTATAGATTCTTGAGATAACAATGTGTCTACACAACAATTACCACCATGACAAACCTTGTTCATCACTTTTAAAGGATGCCAGAAAGCCAACTCATTTTAGTAGCTTATAAATAAAGATAAAGAATCAAATATTCTTTCTGACTTTCCAATAAAAACCATAACCCAAGGGAACCAAATAAGTAATGAAAATTTCTCTTTATAAATGATTTCTTGCTAATAAATGAAGAAAAATGACAGAATGAGAATATCACCATTTTACAACCCTTATTGAAATAAATTAATGGAGGCAATGATTGCTAACATCATCAAAAGTAAGAAAAGACATTACATGCTTTCTAATAGAAGTACATGTGTTATGTACCCATGGGATTTTAATTTGTAGAGGTGACTGGGTGACAACATAGAGAAGCTAATGCCATTGAAAGATTTTTATTATTTACATTGCACAAGCGGAGTGGGTGTATCACAGCATTCAGGGCCACATGGAGAAATGCCAGGTTTGGTCAGTAAGCAGAAGGGGTGCAGGGACAGCACGGTCCAGAGCCTTTATTGTGTTTTCCAAGGGGAAGGCAAAGCAGAGCAGTTTAGGTCGGGTTGTTTGAAGAATGTTGGCAGTTGCTAGACTATAGTGGTGGTCTTTGGTTGTCTGGTACTTGGCCCTCAGTGCTTAGGACAGAGGAAAACTGCCTCTTGGAGATAAGAGCCAGATAAGAGGTGCCTCAGAGTACAGACTCCGGTTGGTTAGTTTACATGTGAAAGACATGCTTCTAGGCAAGTCTTTTACTATGTCTTGCTAGCCCTGGAGGGACAGTCTCTTCCCATTCAGAGAGGCCACTAATGCTAGAGCATTAAAAATACAAAACTAAGAAAACATAGTTAATATAATACATACTGCCATGTATGAAATATTACTGGAAATTCTTACATAATACCCTAGGATAGTACTGTGGCTTTCATGTGTGTCCTTCCAAAATTCATGCTGAAACTTAATCCCCAATGCAACAGTATTAAGAAGTGGGACCTTTTGTGAAGTGATAGTCATGAAGGCTCTGTCATTACAATAGGATTAATACCTTTACAAAAACGCTGGAGGGAACTTGCTAGGCTCCCTTTTCCCTTTTCCCTCCAGAGGACATAGCATTCATGGCGCCATTTGGAAGCAAAGAACAGCTCTTACCAGACATTGAATATGCTGGCACCTTGGTCTTGGACTTCCTAGCCTCCAGAACTGTGAGCAATACATGTCTATTGTTTATAAATTATGCAGTCTCAGATATTTTGTTATCATGACACTATTGGATTGAGATGGAAATAATCAGCAAAACTCAGACTATGAGAAACTTTATGTCAAATATCCCTGTTTCTTCAAAAAATGAATGTAAAAGTAATAAATAAATAGAAAAAGGGGGACATGCAGATTAAAAGAGACAAGACATCAAAATTTGGATCTTATTTGGATCTCACACAGATAAACTATAAACATGTATAATACAACTGGGAAAATTTGAACACTAACTGGATATGTAACTACGTTAAAAGATTATTGTTAAAATTTTTAGGTATGGTAATGATTTTATCATTTTTTTGAAAGAATTTTTTTGATTTTATCAGTTTTTTTGAAAGAATTCTCATATTTTAGAGACATCAAATGAATTAGCTTCAGATGCAATAATGTGCTGTTAGTGACTTACTTTAAAATATCAAAAAATGATAATGGAGTGGGCGTATAGAGAGTGGCTGTGTGCCTAAACCAAGACTGACCATAAGTCAGTAATTATTGAAACTGTAAAAGAAGTACATCAAAGTTCATTATATTACATTTCACTGAGCTTAAAATTTTACATAATAAAAATTTTTAACAGAAAGCTCACAAAAATTAAATTAGAGCCTGAGAATATCTAGTTTTGCAAGGTTGTTGAGCACTGGGAGTATACCCACGACATGGAAAAATTTGGCAATATCTGGTAAATCTGAAGACAGGTATACTCCATAATGCAGCAATTTCACATCCGGATATATACCTCAGAGAAACTTTTTCACCGATATATGAGAATACACATACAAGCCAAAAAAAAAGAGAAAATAATCTAAATGTCTATTAACAGAAAAGAGGATAAATGCACTGATGCAAACCAAAGATATTCCACAAATGTTAAAAGTAATGAGTGAGAGCAGCATGCATCATCATGAGTATATACCAAAGCCATAATTTTTAGTAGAAAGAATGCAAGTTGCAGGATAATAGTTGTAATATCATTTACATGTAAGTTTATATAGAACTTTAAAATAAGCAAAATTATACTGTAAAGCATTTATGAATATGTAATTATACAATAAATGTTTAAAATATATGCAGTTATAATAAACACCAAATTCAGGACAGTGATTTTTCTCTGAGAAGGAAGGGAATGGTATAGAATCTCAGAGAAATCTCCAGGGGATAAATGTGTAGGTAACACTTTTGTTTCGAATACTTCTTCTGTGAAACAAAAACAAAACTGAAGCAAATACAGCAAATTATGAAAATTCACTAAGTGGATGGTGGCTACTTTGTGTATTGCTAAACTGTTTGCCATAGTTGTCAGCATGTT
Organism: Homo sapiens; assembly: GCF_000001405.40. Classification (NCBI taxonomy): domain Eukaryota; kingdom Metazoa; phylum Chordata; class Mammalia; order Primates; family Hominidae; genus Homo; species Homo sapiens. The sequence goes on from NC_000005.10 coordinate 82,798,744, forward strand.
TAAAATAGTTTAACATTCTAAAATAAAAATGGTGATGTGTTCTGTGTCAATAATGCAATAATGGAATGTTGCAGCTGTCTCAAAAGTGTCTAAAAATAATTAAATAATTTCAGCCAAGGCAAACATAATCATTCGAGGAAATTGAGAGCTTGAACCTCTGTGTGGTCAAATGGGCATTGTGACACCCAACTGGCCTCTTAGCAAAGGTTTAGCTTTAACGGCTGTTAGAAGGAGAGAATAACCTGTGTCATTACACTAGATTCTGTTTCTAGTGCACACAATGGAGATTAGCTGTTTATTTCTTCCCCTGACTTTTGAAAATCATAGTTTCCACTTGTAATATAAAACTTTATCTTAGCTTGACTTTGTGGGGTGACTGCATGATAAGATACATATAAATCCTCACTTGTAAAACATTTCAAAGTGCCCAAATGAAACATTTGCTTCTTTTTTTACATTACATTCAAAACTAGGCTGTAGAAAAACAGACACTTTAGTGATGACTCTACCCAAATACTGAAGTCAAATAAGGAGCTGCAGAACAGTCTTTTCCTTGTTGGTTACAAATAGTTTCTTTCCTAATGACAAAGATATTTCAAATACTCAGGGTTTTTGTTTTTCCTTCCTCCTTTTTAAACTTATTTTCTGTCTTTCTTATTCGTTATTAGTGTTGTCCTATAAAGGATGACCTGTGACATCTCTTAAATTCTGAGCAAGTTTCTTTTAATACTGTAGCCATATTTTAACGTCAGCAGTTGGCACTTCACATGTTCGTTCTCACGGAGTGCAATGTGTGAAATGTGCTGTAGAACTGCCCCATATGCATGACTCCACAAAGATGCCTTCTGTTGCAATCAAAGCCTGTCAGCAGTATCTTTGGGGTACAGCATAACACGTAGTGGTAAATGGAGACAGAAGGCCAGCCTCTGAGTACACTGCAAATGCTCAGCCTCTGTGAGGGTTATTCTCTGTATCTTGCTAAGGAAGCAATAGTAAGAGTCCAAATGTGTTTGGTAGAACCACTGAAAGAAAGCTCAATCAAAAATTTTTAGAATTCCCATCCCCTCAATTTCAGACTGTTAAGAAAGATCTACTTCTTTATTCAGGTGAGTGATGAAATGCCACAACTACCCTAGTGGCCTGCTTGAAGATAGCATTGCTTTTATAGTGTTGGATGATGTACATGATCTTCAGAAGCAAGATCCTATGTAACTATGTGTGTGTGATGTTCAGGGGGCATTAGCCCAGTGCTCTCTTTTTCAAACAATGATACAAAACAGAAACAAAACAGAAAATCACCTTCAGGTTTGGGAAGAATGGTCAGATTCTAGCCTCCTTCCTTTTCCTAAGTTTTTCCTAAACTGAAAAGCACTGAAAAATGGCCTCAGTTATATAGACAGCCACAGTATGTAAGACTAGATCTGTGCTTAAGCCAGAGAAAAGACCCTCCTCTGTTTCAGCAGCCTTCCTTTCTATAGAGGTAGTGGAATGGAATAAACTCTTCAATATCTTTTTATCTATGTTTATCTATCTATCTATCTATCTATCTATCTATCTATCTATCTATCTATCTATCCATCCATCCATCCATCCATAGCTTCTCAGCCTTTTGGCTAAGATCAGTGTATTTATCTACATATTTGCCTTCCATTTTCTTTCTAGTTCTCTTCTCGTCCCTTTCTTAATTTTCTTTCTCTTGTATTCATAATAACCTTTTCATTTGGTTCCTACCCCAAACCACATGTTTGTATATTTGTTCTTATAACTTCTGGTTATTGCAGTTGTCATAATTTTTTGCTGACTGCCTTTAACAATCTCATCAAACTTGGATATCTTTAGGAAGATAAAACAACATAAACTATCACTCATACTAAATTTCAATATCTCAAATTAATCCAAAACATCATAATTTTTCATGAAATCCTGAGAGTTAATGGGTCAGTAAATAATTGCATGGTTTTCTCCAAAAAAAAAAAAAGTATTTTTACCACCAAAGTGAACAGAGAATGTGTATTTACCCCCCAAAAGACTCTGAAAAATATGTGAATAATTAATTCCTGCAAACATAATTCTCATCCCCTGGTTGGAATTAATTTGACTGAAACCTTAGATGTATTCCTGAGTTTTTCTTGAGTCTACAAAGTCTACAATCTAGTCCTAGGGGTCACAGTTTGTAACAGTTCTTGGAATAACAAGAAAATCACTGCATGTGTTCAGCTCCTCTTTGTCTCTGTCTATGAACTTTCATTGGTCTAACATTTTGTCAACAGTTCATCAAGGAAATTAATGAGCAGTCTGACAGTTTTAGCTCATGGGGCCACCATTTCCATCTGTGCGGTCTTCAAGTTGTCTCTCTGGGAAGGAGTGAATACACAGGATTGTTTTAGGGGCTGGATGGAAGAACAGCATTCTTCCATCTTCATGAGTCTAATCCAATGATGATAACAAGCCCAAGTCATTCACTCTTTCTCAAAATGTGTTTACAAAATAATATTTGTTTGTTCAAGCTCTGTTGTTTGTGCAATGTTATGGTATATTTACCAGCCAATTTTCATTTCCGAAGATCTTTGATAGTGAGCTGTTCTAACTGAAACCACATCTTTCTCATTGTTGCACCTCCACTGCCAGCACAGTGTTTAATTGAACAACATGGTACGCAGAACTTTACAAACATTAACTCATTTAATATCCAAAAAAGCCCTGTGAGATTGATTTTTGTCTCCATTGTAAGGATTAGGAAACTAAAGCAATAAGCCATTTAGTGACCTTGCCCAAGGCCCAGATAGCAAGTGGCAGAGCCTGCTTCCGAAGACCCCACTACTGCTGTGCTAGATTATGCGTCAATGCTATGCTGCTTTGGGAGCGTCTGTGTATTCAGTACTAGTCTGTGGATGCAAGAGCAAGTGAAAAAGACTAAAAGAGGAAAAGGGAAGGGAAAAGAAAACAATTTGAAGAACAGTTGAAGCTAAAAATATCATTAGTAATTCAGAGACAAACTGGGATTTGAGTTTCCTTCTTATAAGATAGGATCATCTGAAATAAATGCTCTCATTTTATTTTAATATAATTTTGATAACTATAAAATATAGGTAACTTAATTTTTGGAGCATAATAATAATATAATGAATACCCATGAACCCACCACTTACCTCAAAACTAGAACATGACTCATCTGTGTGTTTTTTCTCTAGCTCATCTTCTGGTCTTCCCCCAGAAGTAAGAGCTACACTGAATTTTGTGAATATCATCCCCTTCCCATTTTAATATAGTTTTATCATATATATAGGTAGCCTAAACAAGCTTTTCTTGTTTTTGGTCTTTATCAAAATGATATGATACTATTTAAAATTCTCTTTTGCCTTTTTCACTTAAAGTTATCTTAACAAGATTCATCTATGTTGAATAGAATGAACTCTCCTTTATAAAATGTCATAGGAGTTTTCAAAACACTTTGTTTGTTTGTTTGTTTGTTTGTTTGTTTTTGAGACGGAGTCTCGCTCTGTCGCCCAGGCTAGCGTGCAGTGGCGCAATCTCGGCTCACCGCAACCTCACCTCCTGGATTCAAGCAATTCTCCTGCCTCAGCCTCCCGCATAGCTGGGACTACAGGCACGTGCCACCATGCCCAGCTAATTTTTGTTTTTTTAGTAGAGACGGGGTTTCACCATGTTGGCCAGGATGGTCTCAGTCTCTTGACTTCGTGATCTGCCTGCCTTGGCCTCCCAAAATGCTGGAATTACAGGCGTGAGCCCCCACGCCCGGCCCTCAAAACACTTCTATATAAATTATCTCATTTCATTCACATAAAATCTATTGGAAATAAGTAGATTGCTCTAATTTTTCCTATTTTTTAAATTGCGATAGTACCAAAAACCATGCTGGCAGCCACTAACAAATCTGGGTGTTTGGCTGGGCCCGCCCACGTGCTTCAAGGCCCACATGTCATTATGGGCTCCAGGTCTTGCAACAAACAGGGATATTACGAACTTTGCATATCAGTAAGTCTGTTTGAATGCTTGTAATTGTGATTTTATTTTCCATGTGGTATGGGTGTTCTCTCATTATATTGAGAGAGAAAAAATAAAATAAAAAAGCAATCAAAGCGCTCAGGACTTCTTGGAAATTCATTTTATTTCCATATGTATGGCACATAAATAAAGCTTTATGTTCATTCCAAATGTGACTGTCATGTCCATTTCACCATAGCTGATAGGATATGGTAAACAATAGCATATGTAAATTCCCACCAAAAATATATATCTGGAGGAAGTTCTGTCTTTTATTACCTTGCAAATTTCTTTTTTAGACATTCTTTCAGCTGCCTGGCAAGCATGTGAGGCAGTAAGAGACCTGACGTTCCTGTGGTTGGCTTGAGTTTTGTGTTATTTATTACTCAGGGATGTGTTAATATCTACTACCTTACAAAATAGCTACAGCAGAAAAACTAGAATTCTGCTTCCCACACGAAATTTGCAAAACAAATATGCCAGTGGGCCATAACACCTGTGAGATTAAGATCTCAGAAAGCTCAGTTGACTAAAATGAAAAAATGCCCAATTCTCTGATGGTTTCCTCCATGGCATTGGACTAACAGATAATTCTTCATCGGACATGGTATATTTAATGCAACATTAGATACTTTCTCCATAACTTTTTACTAAAGTTATGTCAGTATAAGGGAATTTATTAATAATTGAATAAACTAACATGGTAATTCAGAGCACACTTCCCTGACCATCAGGAAAGGGGTGAGGAATGGATTTTTCACATAAACTTTTCAAGTTTACTCTTACCTGTGGGTTGATTAGTCATTACTTCCAACGAGTAAAATACATGTATATACCACCATCAGAGTTGTCTGTAAAAGCAGTGAGAACTGCCTTGTGTTAAATAGTAAGACTAAAGCATTGACCGTCTTAAAGATAAAAACAAGTTGTTCTGTATCTTAAGTAGCCAAAAGATCTGCTTCCTTTTGAGGTCACATGATGTAAGAAAAAAATACTGAGCAAAAGTTGTTTTCCCTCGCCACATTGGCCTGCAATACCATGAAAAGTTTGGGAGCACACATTTAGAGTCTGTCGGACTAGGGTTCAAGTCCTATCTTTGCTACTTAATACATTTGTACCTTAAAAAACTGTCTTAACCTCATTGAACATCAGTTTTCAATATCACAAAATGGAGACTTTCTTCTGGTCTTTATCCACAGGCTTGTTATGAATATTAAAGGAGGTAAACCACCTGACAGTGTCTGACATGTAGCAAGGGCTCCTTAGAGAGAGTGTCTTCTTGGGCAATCTGATATCCTGCTGATATAAACAGCTCTATCATACTTGCCATTCTAGAACCATGTTTCCTGCAGACAGAGAGTTGGTGATTGCATTCTCAGACATCACTCAGCCTTTGGTTTCCATGTGTCCCACAGCTGGAGCTGGGGGACAGGAGTCAGTGCTCAGCAGCACATGAGCTGCCAGTTTGCACCAGAGCTGCACTTTCTGTGCTCAGCCATCTGACCTGCAGGAAGAGGTCCAGAAGCCTCCTGTCTCCTCAGTGTAATCCCTATGGAGAGTCTGTGTACACAACCCAATTTCATTTTGCCTCCACATGGCGATTGTTGTCCTTTTCTAGGGCTTTGTGTTTTCTTTCTTACTAGGTCCTTTTCATGTTGAAGTTGGGCAAGACCTACCTGCACAGCAGGCATGCTCACTCCTCCTGAGGAGTATCCATCTCTTGTTTCTACCCAGCATGGTTAAAGATGGTTGTTTTGTGAAACAAACAGGCTTGGCCCAAGTTAGGGCTAACAGGATGTGTTACTCCTCAGGGGTGAAAGAAAAGGAAAAGTCCCGCATGAGGTGCTCTCTCACCCCATTACTCTGTTGGAAATGGTCAGGAAGAGCAAAGAAAGTCTGGACAAAAGAAATAAAGTTAGATTTGCTAGTTTCGATCAGAGACTTTTGCCTCAGAAACAAAAGCGGGCATGATATTTTAAAGATAAAATTCACTTGGAAACTATAATCAAGCAGCATAAATGTACTTATGATATGAAACTGAAATTAGAAGTGCCATTCTCAAAACTGAGTGATCCCAAAGGGCTTCTGATGACTGGTGTTTAACTAAACTATGATGATTTTACCTCACCACTGAATAACATGTATCACAGAGATGCAGAATGAAAAAAAGGAGAGGGGTCCTTCGGATTCTGTTCAGGAATGGAACTTGGAAAGAATAAGGGGAGAGTGGAGAAAGGGAAATCTAAAGGAAAGTCATGGAGTGAGTTGAAAAAAACGAATCTCAAACAAGGAATGGCTGTTCCCTGAATTCAGAGTTCTTTGGGAGCTTCTTCCTTCCCCAGGACTGAAATCTCAAGGTTATTTCTTGCCCACTCCTTTCCTTCTCTTTAGATGTGTATGGACAGGCAGTCAGTTAGAGGTGAGAGCCATGCCTGGCAATTTCTTAGGCCGTATGTTCCTCTCATGGTATAGCTTAACCTTTGGCTGTTTGACTTGTCATTTCTTTTTCCCAGTATAATTCTCCTGCTTATGGTCATTCTTGAAGTCTATACAATAAACTGCATTAGTCAGGACTGCCTAGGGTTCTCCATTTAAACAGATTTTGAACACAAATATATTTCCATTGAAATTATCTTCATGCACTCTAGCACACATTCCTTAAAACACTTAACTTTTTAAGAAAAAAATAACTATTGATTGTGATGGTGGTTTCAAAACTCCTAAAACTGTACATTAAAAAGGGTGAAATGTATGTAAATTACACCTCCATTTTAAAAAAGCTTTTTAAAAAAGTAAATGTTGCCACATTATCTGCTATAGACAAGTAGAGCAAGTAGGGAATCATGTACTGAAACTAAGAACATCACAAGCCCTAGATTTTTAGGCCCAATAAGCCACTAATTAACTGTAGGATCTTAGGCATGCAATTTCGTCTTTAACAAGTCAGTTTTATCATCTGTAAAATGAGGAATGTGTTCAGATTAGCATTTGTGAAAGTATGTTTGGCAAAATACTAATTTTTCAGAATATTTTTTAATTTTTTTTTTTTTTTTTTTTTTTTGAGACAGAGTCTTACACTGTCACCCAGGCTGGAGTGCAGTGGCGTGATCTCGGCTCACTGCAAGCTCCGCCTCCCGGGTTCATGCCATTCTCCTGCCTCAGCCTCCTGAGTAGCTGGGACTACAGGTGCCCGCCACCATGCCTGGCTAATCTTTTGTACTTTTAGTAGAGATGGGGTTTCACTGTGTTAGCCAGATGGTCTCCATCTCCTAACCTTGTGAACCACCCGCCTTGGCCTCCCAAAGTTCTGGGATTACAGGCGTGAGCCACCACACCCGGCCTTAATTTTTTAACTATTAATATTTTTTAATAGAGATGGGATCTCACTCTGTTGTCCAGGCTGTTCTGGAACTCTGATACTCAAGAGATCTTCCTGCCTCAGCCTCCCAAACTGCTTGGGTTACAGGTGTGAGCCACCACACCCAGCCATGTTTGTAGTTTTTATGTGAGGCAAAAAAAGGTTTCCTTCATCAAATATTTTAAAGAATGGTTACATCAAGTAAAATGAAGTAGATTCATGAAGTACAGGATATGTCACAGCTTTTTCACCATGTGAAAATGTATACACCGTTTCCTCAGCTTATCCAATCACTATAGTCTTTATCTACTCCACCCCACTCAGCCTTCAGCATCTGCGGGTTTAATGTATAAATGCTGGGAAACACTTAAGTAATCCTTCTTGACAATCATCTCCCACAAAATGTTCCTTCCACAAAATGTTTCTCAGGCATCAATTTTATTTGCACTTAAATTGACACATAGGAGCAGAATGAAGTTATTAAGTGGTTATTCTAACAGAGTGATTTGCCATTTTGTTAGAGTCTGAATATAATTGGGAGAAATCTTTACTTCATACTGCATGTGTAGACACAGATGTGGTCAGTGAATAATTGTATAAACACGTTTCAGAATTGCTTCAGCCTCTTTTGAGTGGAGTATATGTAGAAAGCAGGCTGAGGCTAGCAGAAGTGAGAGATAACAATAGATAGAAGTGTAGGCAAGAGTCAAACGAAATTCTATTGGAAAATAAAAACAATGGTGAACCTGAAAAGTGTTTGAACCCTGTTACAAACTCGCATCAACGGTTTTCTTTTTTCTCTGCGACAAATGTGACAGCCAAGTTACTGTATAAAAAGAGGCCTCATTTTTAGCCCCATTCTGGGAGCCCATGTAATTACTACTGGAGTATAAAGCTGGGAATAGGGGATCATTTTGCACTGAATGAACTATAATCAGCACCCCAACTTTGTGCAGTCATGTCTCCAAGGAAAAGCTCATCTGAACTTTTCCAAAGTTTCTTTCGTATATATCAAAATTATTTATATGCTGTCAAAAATTGGCTGAAACCCAGCTATCCACAGCTATCCACAGTTCCTAGAAAATTTAGCATATGATGTTTCTGGAGCATTTTTCTGCCTTTCTGCAAGGAACTTATCTAGTTATATTAATGATTATTGGCCTCTTTTACCACTCTTTTGCAAGAAAATCCTTCCGGACAATACAAATATTAAAAATGTAAATACAGTCACATATAATAAATGACTGCTTTTACAATACCTTGGCTATATGCTGTATGTGATGAATCCCAGCAGCCTTCCCTCTTTCCTAGTTATATTTATTAGCAGTGTTTTTCTTATGTAACCATAAATAATACTCTACTAAGCAATTCCTAACACATATATTTAATAAGTTAAATACAAATAAAGATCTTAGTAATTAAATTAATAGCATAATTTTCTTGGAAAGAAGTTGAACAAATGCATTAAGGAAAATTTCAAGTCCTCAAAGTTGCAGAAAATAAACTTGTAACACACACAACTGGAATCAGAAGGATAATAGTAATTTGTAGCCCCTCCAACGCAAAATTTCAGGAGTGGCCTCACTAGCCTTTTACCTAAAACTGATGACTTTAGGTGTCTACTCTATCACAATACTACAGCTACTTATGTTTCCTTTAAGCCTAAACAGAAAAAAGGAAAACACAGCAAATATTTTTTGCCTTTATATTAGAGCAGTGTTTAATCATCAGCAAAGTGAACAACTGGTCTTTAACAATAGGCTGCTTCCTTCTACTGAAACTTCTACTTACACTGCTATACTCCAATTATCCTGCAAGTAAATAAAGTGGATCCATTAAGGTCCCTAATAAACATCAATAAATATCTTGAATTTATTTCATTGAACTTTGATTTAGTTCATTATAGGCGCACCTTTAGCTCCTGAGCTGTAACCTTTAACATTTCCATATTCTGCCTGGTCCCAAATGCTCCTGGGAATACTTAGGTAAAAACCACACCCATAATTGCAATATTTCTATGTTGGGTTTAATATTATTAACATGGAATCAGATATAGGTAATTAAATCCATTTGCAGCTAATATAGAGATATTAATTCTTGACTTAAAGGTCAAAAATAAAAATCTTATGAGATAAAATTGTATTGGTCTTTAGATTTTTATTTTTTAAATTGCATTCAGTTCAAATATTTACAGAAGCACTTAAAAATAATATATTTGAATTTCTGAGAGAAAATAACTATCAGCTATGTATAGTTATCTTCTTTCTATTTTGTGGAGGAAAGAAAAGGAAGACTGAAGATATTATTTCAGTTTCCTGGTAACGTGTTCAACAGACACCACAAGGGATTTAAAATATTTATTGAATTGAAAGAATATCAGCTAATAAATAACAATTTGATAATTAATATCTACAAACCCCATCAGTCCAAGGTTGCCAAAATTAAAGTACAGAGTAAAAAGTTTCAAAAAGCTCCAGAATGAAATAAGACACTGGACCTTCTTTCCTGGTGCAGCAGAAAAGCAGACTGAACACATCCCAGGCACAAAGAATTTCACTATCCAGTGAATCTTCTACTGACCGTTTCTTTCAAAGGCCAGCAAATTCTTCACAGAGGGGAACGCAGCAGCCATCTTCTTTGTCCTTGGGACAGAGCAAGAAGGGTCTGTTCGAGCTGGTGACCTAGATTTGAGGAGCAAGAAAAACAAACGATGATCCCTGTCCCAAAATATCTTCATTTTTCCTAAAATGAAATTTCCTAAATGAGCCCATTTTTCCTAAAAAGAAGGTATTTCCTAAATATCTTTCCTAAATTATTGCCTCCAACTCCTGCATTACTGTCTCAAGTTAAGACTTGGAAGACTGTTGTAGTAGTCTGTTCTCACACTGCTAATAAAGGTTCAATTTATTGAACCTTGGGTTCAAATACCCAAGAGGTTCAATTGACTCACACTTCCACACGGCTGGGGAGGCCTCATAATCATAGCTGAAGGGGAATGAAGAGCAAAGTCACGTCTTTCATGGCAGCAGGCCAGAGAGCCTGTGTAGGGGAACTCCCCTTTATAAAACCATCAGATCTCATGAGACTTATTTTATCACAGCAACAGCATGGGAAAGAACTGACCCCATGATTCAATTACTCCCACTGGGTCCCTCCCACGACACATGGGAATTATGGGAACTACAATTCAAGATGAGATTTGGGTAGGGACACAACCAAACCATATTACCTGTTAAAAGGCAAATATTTGGGTGAGCAATACCCTTTACACTGCCATGGCAAATAGATTTGACCCCATATGACATCTCTGATAAAGTGACAGAGGTTGCTGTAATGTGCTGAAAAGATTCTAAGGCCATCCCCAAGCTCAATAGAAAAGAATACTCTTTGAATAGCAATGTCCACTGTGAGCACAAAAGAGACTTGCAACATATAAGTTGACTATTTCCTGACTGTTGTTTTTCCTTATCCAGCATCTACTCATCTTTCTTTTGCCAATATCATGCTGATTTTCCTTTAAGTATCCACCTCTTCCCTAATTTGCATTCTCCCATTTGCATTCCAAATTTTTTCCATCTCTGTTTTTACACATTCAAAACTCAGATCGGTTTGATTAAGCAAGAAATGTGTCAATAATCATAGATGTCCCCTCCTGGGAACCATGTAGGTGGGCTAATTTGTTGGTGCAGAGAAGGGAGATTTGCTCTAGATTCAGCCTTATAAGAAGTGAATTGAAGATAAAGCCTTAGAAGCTCCAGTAGTGCAGTTGGTTAGCACACGAAACTTAAATGAAGATAAAGCATTAAAAAATTGCATTGAATATTCATATGACTTGTGAGAACATCTGGCAATTACAGAGCATTTTGCCAAGACTTAATAAAATAAATAAGGAGAATAAAGATCAGAATATATTTCAAGCTAGTACAGGCTTGCTCAATATATTTTTTAATTGGTCAAGAATTATATAACAAAACCTTATGAGATAATCTGTAGCAGCAATTCTTTTTCTCAAAAATTAAAGAAGCTATTTAAAGAGAAGGGCTGTCCACCACAGCAACTTTCTAACACTGACCTACCTAGTTTCTTCTGTAAGGGGATACCTTATTGTATTTAATGTACTCTAAAAATACATTTACTTCCATGTTATTGTTTTATCATGACCATTTATTTATTCAATTTTTTTGAGATAAGGTCCTGCTGTGTCTCCTAGGCTGGAGTACAGTGGTGCAATCACAGCTCACTCACTGCACCCTCAAACTCTTGGGCTCAAGCGATCTTCCTGCCTCCTGCCTAGCCAGGACTACAGGTGGACACCACCACGTTCAGCTAATTTTTTTTTTTTAATTTTTTGTAAATTAGGGCCTCACTTTGTAGCCCAGGCTGGTCTCAACCTCCTGGCTTCACTCAACTCTCCTGCCTTGGCCTCCCAAAGCACTGGGATTACAGGCATGAGCCACCACACCCAGCCCTAACCATTTTTCGTGAGCATTTGATCTTGCTCTTCATGACACTTTTGAAGAAGTGAGCCCAGAGTTTGTCAAAGGGATGTTACATTTTCCATAACACAATTTTTTTTTAGGCAGAGTCTCACTCTGTTACCCAGGCTGGAGTGCAGTGGCGTGATCTCGGCTCACTGCGACCTCCGTCTCCTGGGTTCACACCATTCTCCTGCCTCAGCCTCCCAAGCTGCTGGGACTACAGGCGCCCGCCACCACACCTGGCTAATTTTTTGTATTTTTTAGTAGAGACGGGGTTTCACCATGTTAGCCAGGATGGTCTCAACCTCTTGACCTTGTGATCCGCCCACCTTGGCCTCCCAAAGTGGTGGGATTACAGGCGTTAGCCACTGTGTTGGGCCTCCATAACACAATTTTTAAGGCTTCTTTAATAGAGCTGCTCTTGGGATCTATGTTTCCAAAAAGAAGTTCAAACTGTCTCTCCGTTTCATTGCCCTGTATTTTCCTTTATGATACATCACAATCTGTATTTATTTTGCTATTTGTTTCCTTGTTCTTTGTCTATGTCATACAAGCTGTATGAGGTGGCACTTTGTCTGTCCTTTTCACTATGTCTCCAACACCAAGCAGAGTGCCTGGCACAATAATTATGTGTGAAAAGAGTGCTTAGTAAATCAATGAATCTATGAATCAATGAAATAATTCATAAATGAAACTGATGGTGATACAACACAGTGGAGGTGCTTTTACTTTGTAAGCAGCTTTGTTCATAAATTCATGAGAGTTCAGAAGTGGAAAGCTCATAAGTAGAGGCACTTCTGTTCTCCTTCCTGCTTATCTCAGACATGGCATCAATACCCATCTCACGTAGATTCCTAGGCAGCCACTTCAAATGGATTCCTTCCATCTCTGGGATAAGGTACTAAAGCCAAAGTAGGTATTCATGCCTCTGTTCGCCCTGACCCTGCCTTGGACTCTTTATTCCAGTAAAGCAAGCTATGGTACATTTTCCTCTCATCGTCTTGCCATTCTGTCTATACAAAAGTTTGGACCTTTCTATGCGTTGCCATGATACACTCTTTATACCATTCATAACATCTGGCTCACAGCTTCTAATAACCCACAAATGCCTTGACATAAGCAACAGCTAATTTCGTATTATGCAAGGTTTTAGTTATATTAGAAAATGACATAATGTATATAAAAGCGTTTTATGAGCTAAAAAATCCCATGCAAATGAAAGAGATAATGATCATGATTATCACTATCATTGTTGTTGCCTCAGCAAAGACGGAAAACTCTTTGAAGAGTCTTTTCACATTCTCCCTTTTTGGCTTTTAAGAAATATTGAACTACATGCTTCCAGAGAAGAAATTGTTTCTTGGCATTAAAATAGAAATTTTAATAAAATCACATTAACTCTTCCAGGCACTGTTACATTACAGAGGAAAACAAACAAACAAACAAAACCAGATCCTATTGTCCCAGATCCACTATTTATCTAAAATGTGAAGAACAGGCATTTCTTAGTAGTTTACATTTTCTTTTTTTTTTTTTCCATTAACTTTTATTTTAAGTTCTGGGGTTGAAGTGCAGGATGTGTAGGCTTGTTACATAGGTAAACCTGTGCCATGGTGGTTTGCTGCAGAGATCCACCCATCACCTAGGCATTAAGCACACAGTCCATTAGTTATTCTTCCTGATGCTCTCCCTCCCCCGCCCCTCAACCCTGACAGGCCCTAGTGTGTTTGTTCCCCCCACAGTGTAAGCTTTGAAACATACTTTCATTTCCTATGCAGAGGATGATTTTGATTCCCCACTTTACACAAACTATCCTCTTAGAGAGGAGACCCCACTAGGCCAGTCAACCCAGCAATATCTCAGATCACATCAGACTCATTGGAAGAGAAGTAGAAGTTGCCTAAACACTATAATTTGAAGCACATCAAAAAGGTCCACACATGGCTCTGCCTAGAGGTCTAGCCCTGGGGACTGAATAAATTAAATAATAAGCCTAATGTCCTTGAGCACTCTCAGCTACCAAACAAAAGCCATGCTAAGCAAATGGAAGTACAAAAATGGATGCATACAAACATGCTTCTTTCGCACACAAATGTTCCCAGAAAGTATTGAATTGCATGCTAGCAAGAGAGCTAGCCACAGAAAGGATTGTATAAGCAAATTCCTGTTTCCCAATTTTGACCTTTACTGACTGTTCAAGAATATTCAGCTGTCTCACACTACCTTGAGCAATATTACCATTTCCTATTTATCCAGATAAAAGAAAATGCATACCAAGAGTCTCTGGTAGCTATAACTTACGAAATGATACCATGGGAGCCTAAATAAGTTAATATAGATTTCACATGTATAATATATTCTTTGAACAATTGTACTTACAGCAATAATATAGCTCATCAGTTTTTGGAAGAGGCAAAGCACTTTTCAGGGCTTATTTTTGCAATATCACATTCTCTCCTAGCTTTCCTCCAGTTATGAGAAGTCAGAGGGGAAAATAATGAAACCCATCTCAGTCATAGGCATCTGACTGAAGAACTTTGTTACTATTATTTGCAAGGATTTGACACTGACTTGAGGTTTCAGTGATGATTGACATTTGTAAAGAAGCCTTTGCATAGCATTCAGCAGGCTGTTAAAAACATGTATAATTTAGCTTTGGTAGTTTCAATAAAGTAAAGGTTAGGTTCTGCCAATGACCTTTCTTGAACTTCTAGGAGTATATAGTCTTTTGGTGAAAAGGTAAAAAACAAAGACTATATTTTCCTACTTAGGTGGTAATTACACTTCAGTTTATGTAGTTCTGATGTTCGTGGGAGATCTTTATAATTTACCCCTGGGCAGGCTCTCGCTGTGAAGCTTTTTTTTTCCCCTTGAGAGAGTTGGTTGTTTTTTTTTTTTTTTTTTTTTTTTTTAACAAACATCCTTGCAAATTGGATAAGTGTTGCATTACAGTGATTTGCAACTCATTGATAGACTTACATGTTTGAACCTTAGGAATAGCACTTGAAAGAAAGATTACAAATCCCCTTAACCTGCAAGCATTCACTTTCCAAAAATACCTATTTGCAAGGCATGAAAGCACTGAATTTTGAAAGCCCTGGTAAATCCAAGCAAAGTGAAATGTACCTCTGCTCAAATGAGTTCAGTGGTGGTCGGCCTTTAAGAAGACAACGTGTTTTGAGGCTTTCTACAGATAGCCAAAGAAACTCGTCCTTCATTCAACATCACAGGGTTCCTCTGCCATCATGGTAATTACACATGTTGCCAACTCAATTAAGATTGCACAAGGAAAGATGATTATTCATTGTAGCAATTTCACTTTATAGTCAGTGGTAAATTCTGTGAGAAAACTTCATCCGGCAACTTTCCCATCCTCCTGGAAGGGGGGTCCTTGGTGGTCAGCCAGAAACATGCAGAACTATCAGTATAATTCATGCTGCTTAGGGGTTCAAAAAAAAAAAAAAAGAGGCATTTCCAAAGCCAGGGCAAATTAGCCTTTGGCATTGAAACTCTCGATTATTTATCCACTCAGGCGCATCTATACAATGAGAAACAACTGCCTTGAAAGGCAATAAAATGTTGCATACAGTTCCCAGGGGCCTGTCTGCCTGATGAAGCATTTAATCAACCAGGCCACAGAACCATTTGCGTTCTATGTATCTAGCTAGGGGAGGTAGTCAGTGAAACTCATTAAACAGTACTCAGAAGAAACTATCCAGCCCAGGTCTTTATTTTCTCCACAGGCTCTCAGGCAAAGTCCCAAAAGTCCATCTTTGGGCTATTGATGAGTGTTACCAAGCTCCAGCTCCATTTTCTCAGAAAACTCAGGTCAGGAAGGTGTTTCTTCCTTTAATCTCTTCCTTAACTCCCAGGCTGTGGTCAGCATCTCATGCTCTCATTTTGCATGCTTTTGTTTTCTTTCCCCAATAATAATGCAATCTATTGAGTAGGAATGATGGCATTCTTCTCCCACAGCAACTAAAATGATGTTTGGATAGATCATTGGGTCTTGAAAAGTACATTTTCATTGTACTGGGCTGGATGGTTTCTTCTGAGCACTGTTTAATGGGTTTCACTGACTACTTCCCCTAGCCAGACACATAGAATGCAAATGGTTCTGTGGCCTGGTTGAATAAATGGATTTGTACTTCATTGTACTACTAGCGGCTCTTCACCTAAACAAAATTTCCATTTGGAAATGGGAATATCCCTCTCACTTATGTAAACACTACTTTCCCTTTCTTTTGATCAAGGACCTTCCTTCAACTTCAAAGTTTTTCATCTCCTCTGTACACATGATGCTTCCGGATTCTGAAGTCTTGTAAGTCAAAAATTCAATGCCTAAAAATTTTTCAATGTACCATCTTTCATAGACACAGAGTAACTATGCATCAGAACAAAAGCACAACTACTTATTTATATAATGGTACTTTGTATATAAGAATGAAAGGGAAGGCCAGGTGCAGTGGCTCAAAGCTGTAATCCCAGCACTTTAGGAGGCTGAGGTGGAAGGATTGCTTGAGGTCAGGAGTTCAAGACCAGCCTGGGAAATGTAGCAAGTCCCTGTCTCTAAAAAAAAAAAAAAGAAAAAGAAAAAAAAATAGAATAAAAGGGGAAAGATTTTTTGGAACTCAAGCTATTCATCCATTGAGAAGTCTCTGTACAAATTATCTGGTCTCCTTATTGTCAGGAAGCTCACAGAACCTTTCTTTATGTATTTGAGTATTACATATGCATTTATTTGAAGAAAATTCACAGGCTTTACAATGAGTTATAACACCACTTCCCAGTTCCTTCTCACTGTGGAACTGTTAGCAACCCATTTGGTCATTTTAGGTGCACTATTAGGTGCATTAGTATACCTTTGAGATAATCTCAGATCTACTGCTTATTAGTTGCATGAC
Organism: Homo sapiens; assembly: GCF_000001405.40. Taxonomy (NCBI): domain Eukaryota; kingdom Metazoa; phylum Chordata; class Mammalia; order Primates; family Hominidae; genus Homo; species Homo sapiens. The sequence continues at coordinate 82,815,489 of NC_000005.10, forward strand.
GTGGCCACATTATTTAAGGTCTTTGCTTCAGTTTCCAAATCTGTGAAACAGAAATAGCAATAGCAATCACCTATGGGTTATCAGGAGGATTAAATGAGTTACTACATGTAAGGCACAGAGAGCCTGGCACTTGGTATGAACTCATCAAATAGTAACTTTTTTTTTCTTCCAGATCTGGGGACATTCTCATGTGTCCCTCATGAATTTTGTTCCATTCCAACTGAGAGTAGTGGGAGGATGCCACTTCTTAATTCAGGGTCCCCATTGCTAAGTCTTCGGCCTTTTGTTATGTACTCGTTCAAAATACAGGCTTCAAGTGATGACTCTGTATTTCTATAATCTCCACTTAGACAGAGATTCCTAAGGACAGGAACTCGATCCTAAGGTTGTTTCTATGGCCCACCATGTTTAAGGCAGTGTCTCACATGGAGTAAGAGCTCCATATTTATTTTTGTTGATATTTTTTACTGTTCCTTCCTCTCTGGTTACCCAACACTGATTATGGCAGCATTCCACTCTTTCTCCTCTTCCACACCACGTGTAATTTGATCCAATAGAGGTTACAGAGCCTGTAAGGCATACTACAAGGGACTTACCAGTAACCAAATATGTGATCCTTACCAGAACTCTTATTGTTTAGATAGGAGAAAGAGCAGATAATTTTTTGGACAGATGTGTGTCCTGGGTTGTGGGCTGCTTGTGGGTTTCTCATGTGCTGGCAAGCTGATAAAATTGAAAGGCAATGAAAAAATTTGGACAAGCATTCCAGTGAAGCTAACACAAGATTTCTTGATTTTGACCAACTTTGGCTACATTATTAGGAAAAGATAGCCCATGAAGGTGTTTTCTATGGGAAACACTCTACTATAAGAAGATAACCAATGAAAATTTTTAATTCACTGAGCCAGACTTCTTTCCACATAGTCTCATGTGATTCAATTACAAAACACTTTTTTCGGCAGGGTGCGGTGGCTCACGCCTGTAATCCCAACACTTTGGGAGGCCGAGGTGGGTGGATCTCAAGGTCAGGAGTTCAAGACCAGCCTGGCTAACATGGTGAAACCCCGTCTCTACTAAGAATACAAAAATTAGCTGGGCATGGTGGCACGTGCCTGTAATCCCAGCTACTAGGGAGGCTGAGTCAGGAGAATTGCTTGAACCGGGACCCGGGCGGCGGAGGTAGCAGTGATTGAGATCTCGCCATTGCACTCCAGCCTAGGTTACAGAAAGAGACTCTGTCTCAAAAACAAAACAAAACGAAACAAAAACAAAAACAAAAACAAAAAACACTTTTCTCTTACCTGCTTACTGGCATCTTTGAATGCAGATTCAATAGTGAACTGGACTTACTCTCTTCAGAAGGTACTCCTACTGATGCTAGAAAATGCAGCCACAAAGGAAAAACATTGTAGAGGAATTTCACTCCAGCAGAAAGAAGCAACTCCCTCATTACCAGATTGTTGTTTTCAGTAATTCTGTGGAAAGTCCCTTCTCTTGTTCAGTCCCTTGCTTCTCCATTTGGCTTAATCCCCCCAGCTGTAGTTTTCAGAGTCTTATGATTATTATTAATGTTATTGACTGGCTATTTCAGATAGCGTAGGTTCAAGTCTTCATGAGTTGAAACTTAGCCTTTCTAATCCATCTGCTCACGAAGGTCCCTCGTGGATTCTTTTCCTTTAAGTTGTGACTTGGCACTTTGGTTTCGTCTGATTTGTTCTGTGACCTATGTACAAGCCATGTTTTTTTCAGTATTGGAAACGGGCTATTTTTTTGGTGATCACTTACACATGTTGCTGTTTTCCCTCTGTTTCTCTGCTTACTCCATTCTAAAATCCAACACATGATATGCTGAATTCAAATGGTTTTTGGAACCAGGTGAGAATTGAGCTTTGGTCTTATTTTTTTTTAATGGGCAGGTTTTTCCAGTGAAGGATTTTCAAGCTTTTTTCTTTTGAATTTTGCTCCTTTAAAATCCAGATGCTGTTTAAAATTAGTAGAAGGCATTTGAACTGTATGACTAAAAAAACCATAAACTGTTAGTATTCATGAATTATATATTTCTTTTAGAGATGAAGGCTCCCTATGTTGGCCAGGATGGTCTCGAACTGCTGACCACAGGTGATCCACCTGCCTCGGCCTCCCAAAGTGCTGGGATTACAAGTGTGAGCTACCATGCCTGGCCACTTAGTGACTTTTAAAAGAAAAGGATTTGGACCACAAGAAATTTATGCTATTGTAGAGCATTAATTAGTGAGGATATCTGAAATAAAGAAATCTCCTTCCATTCAAATTGGCTTGAACATAAGAGAAGGACCGTTATATATATTTCAGGCCGGTTTCAGTGATGGCTGCCAAAGTGGTCTAGAAAATCCTTGTATTAGTCCACTTTTATGCTGCTGATAAGGACATACTCGAGACTGGACAATTTACAAAAGAAAGAGGTTTAATGGACTTACAGTTCCACATGGCTGGGGAGGCCTCACAATCATGGTGGAAGGTGAAAGGCGTGTCTCACACGGTGGCAGACAAGAGAAGAGGGCTTGTGCAGGGAAATTCCCATTTTAAAAACCATCAGATCTCATGAGACCTATTCACTATCCTGAGAACAGCGTGGGAAAGACCCAGACTCATAATTCAGTGACCTCCCACAAGGCCCCTCCCACAACATGTGGGAATTCAAGATGAGATTTAGCCGGGGATACCACCAAACCATATTAGTCCTTAACTATATGGGACTATGGTAGAGATAATTGCAGAAAACAGAGACTTCTTAGTTTCCTGAGCCTGAGAGAAACCAGGAGAAGAGGGTCTTGAAGGTCTTTCTTGCCCATCCAATAAGCCATCTCTTTTCCACCAGAATCTATAAAGGGGCTAAAAGTCTAGCATTAAATGTTGAATCAAATTGTTAGTTTCAGTAAGAGTAAAAAGCCTTTCAAATCTCCTGGAAGTAACACTAGGTGATTCCCCTCCCCGACCCCTCACCTCCACGAACAGCAAAGTGTTAACCTCTCTGTGCTTCAGTTCCCTCATCTTTAAAGTCTCTGTAGCATGCCTCCTCATGACCTCCTACATACATAAACAAAAATGGCTAGACAAGCCCTGATTGTTTCACAAGCTATACAGCCTTGACTCTTCATCACAGGCTATTTCTATACAGCTAAAGGGAAATGGAGAATTGAAGCTAATGTGGAGAATTGACATCTCATGCTCAATTTTACTCTTGCAACATTCGGAGAATGACTATTTTTTGAAAACCTATTCAAGTGTGCTGGAACCAGGGCCTGGATAAATAAATTTTTAAAAATAGATCTAATATAGGTGATACTTAGGAGCTCATTTGCTTCAAAATTCTACTGCCTCGAATCCACTGAAACAACTTGTGCTAAGATCACTAGTATTTTCCTAATCCTCAAACTCAATGGATACTTTGCATTTATTATCTTAATTGAATTCTCTGGACCATATGGCATTGTGCAAATGTGGGTCGCTGTCTCCACGTTGAAACTCTTTTTCCTTTGCTGAGGTATTGTAGAATAGACTAGGGTACAGATTCTGGAATCAGATAAATTTAATTCCAACCTCACCACTTTCTAGTTGGTAGTCTTAGGGAAGTTACTTGAATTTCCTGTGCCTCAGTGTCCTCATCTTAAAAATGAATATAATATAACTTATTTTATAAGATTATTGTATTAGTTGATTTACCTTATGCACAATGCTTAAACAGAGCTCTTCCACATAGATGGCATTCAGTAAATATTAGCTTAATTATTCATAACACCATTTTCCTTCCTTATTTGGATCATTGTCTCACAGTCTCCTTCACTGTTACTAATTCCTCTGCCTAGCCTATAAAACCAGTGTCCTTGTCTCTTCTTGTTGTACATAATCACCTTAGATGATCTCTTTTACCTCAAACCTTCACGTACAATCATTAGGTGAAAGCTTCTTAAATCTCGGTGTCCAGCCAGACCTCTCTCTTGAGTGCTGAGCTCTCTCTCCAACTCTTTAATGCACAATTCACCCTTGGTTGCACCATCAATACCTCATATTTAGTATGTCCAAAGAGGAATGCACCAGCCCCTTTCCTGGAACTTCAGCCACCACAGATGACAGCATGCCCCTCAAAGCAATGTGGTAGGGAAATCAAGGTGTGGGTGTTTAGTGAATGGTGAGTGTTCTCCATCTCAGTTCCAGCAAACGGTGGCTGTGGACAGGCAAAGAGGCTTGATTCTGAGTAGGTAGAATTAGCTTAGATTTTTACAAAACTTACTTATAATTGGGAATTCTGTTCTGTAGTAAATAGAGAATTATTGAAAATGTATGATAGAACAGTTCCTAAAAAATATTGTCACATGTTTCTAGCTCTCATTTCCATGAGCTATAGACTTTACTGACATCAGGGATAATCTCCAGTCTCTTCCTTTGTATTCTATGTATCTCTGTCAAGAACAAAAAGTCTGTTGCTCTCGGTTACTCTATGAGTGGCCGGACAAGGTCCAATATATGAATATGAATCTTTTCCACAATAGAAACCCAAAAACCAGCTGACCTGACTTCATGCCTCTGAAATCTTTGGTGCAATCAGATAATCCATTTCCAGTTATTGGACATCAAGCTAGTCTGATAGCTGTTGTTTCATGGCCAGTTATGCTGTGCCATTTTAACTTATACATGGGAGGGTATTTTTCACAGATTTCCTGAGTTATGGTAGTGGTTTACTATCAGTCATCTCAATAGATAATAGGTTCCTGTTTCTTCCATCAATATATTCATGTAGAAAAAGTCCTGAGGCCAGGATCCAAAATGTATGTTCACTGGTGATAATTTAAGTAATCCTACAGAGTTGGCAGGGATGCCTGACAACTCATAGGAAATGGCCTCAAGGCATCTTTGCTTTGTCATCTAGTAAGAAAATGTAACACAAGTCATAGAAGGTGTCCTGCCCCAAACCATCACCATAGCACAGGGTATATTAGCACCAGGCAAAAGATTATAACCATTCTGAGTGGGAGTAACGACAGGCACAATCATAGTGAGGAAGAGTAATTTCTGACTGTTACATGCCTGACACACAGAATTTACTGAGGAGGAACACTGATATTCATACCACTTCATCCAACAACTATTATTTTAGCAACTACTATATACCAGACACTCTTCTATACACCAGGAATATACCAATCAACATGCAGACCAAAGTCCCCATGCTTATGTAACTCATACCCTATTGCACTGAGAAAGGTTTGAGACATGGGAGAAAGGTGGGTCGGAGATTTTTGCTTAGTTGTTTATTGAGACCAAGTTCCTTGATTGTACAACTATGCTCTAGTATTTTTTAAAAACAGAAAAAAGTAAAGAAAGACACTACACACACACACACATACACATATACAAATACACATAAATATATACCTATTTATGTATATATTCATGCATAATCATATATATAATTAACAATACCACTCCCCTCACCCCATATGTGTTTCTATGAGGAAGAAGGTATTCGTTCTCTCAGATGGTTTCACAGTTGAAAAGCAAAGCAGATGGCTCTTCTAGAGGAGGCAGCTTGCTTGCTAAAATGTCATGGATATACAGAAATAAAACCGAAAATGAAATGAAAGGCAAGAAAATATTCTCATTTGAATAATGAACTATCTGATGTTTCCTTAGAGCCACACAGCTCAGATAACAAAAAGAAACACTCTCAGACCCTTTGTTCTGCATTTACGACAAAACTCAAACCACATGTCTGTCATGTAATAAGCCACTCTGGATCATTTTTTGAAGAATAATAATCATTGTTTGATGGAACCACTTGTAAAACACAGAAGGCACCCCAGAGAAGCTGGCACTCATAGTAAACTATCCAAGGGATAATTTGTGGCAACAAATGATACACTGAATATTGCATTTAAACTTTAAAACAATTGTTCACACACAAAAGAAAACTAATGGCTGAGCTCTCGCTCCACCCCAGCTTCCTGTCACTGTTCATTTTTCAGTTTCCCCATGGTTGAAGGAAGCCCTTGGGACTTATGGCAGCAGATAGCTCAAAACGATGCCTGTAGAGCTTTTGTAATTATTATTATGTTAAACACATAATTTGGTTGCTTTGTTCTGTGAGTATATGTGCTTATTTCAGCCTCATAATAGTTGCCAGATTCAGCTGTGTGATTTGTATCCTGCAATAAAATGCACCGACCACAAGTTTGCCTTTCTGCACCCACGTTTCCACCAGCACTGTGCAAACCAACAATGCCCATTATTGTCTCGGGAGTTTTGCGTAGACCTGAAGTGACAAAGGGGAGTAACTTCAGACAAATCAACAGAATGTAATTACAGGTAAGGCGTTTGGCTTTACTCCCCCTAAAGGTCTTTGAGGCCTGGGATAAATTTTGACGCAACAGCAATTGGACTGGCTTTAAGATCAGTTGTTTACTTAAATCTATTACATCCAGATTTCACATGAGCCAAGAGACCCACCTGCAAAGCCTGACCAAAGTTTGCTGTCTTTCCAACTACCTCCTGGGACAGGAAAAATCCCCAGAAAAAGATTAAATGAAAGATACTAGAGATGTGACCTCCAGCACTGTCAGTGTGGACTAGAACCAAGTTGTTAAGGCCCCTGGGATCTCCATGATAGGAAAGAGGAGCCAACCATTGTATAAACCCTTCTGATTGCCGTCCCACCCTGGGATCCCTCCTCCTCAAGCTTATTCTGAGAACAAAGCAATTTGCCTGCTGCTTAGAAACAAATCACCCAGGTCTGAACAAACAAAGCAGACACTTCTTTTATGGAGGAGAAGTTGAGAGACCCTAAAAGTACTGTGAGTTAGAAAGGGAAGAGGTTTAAAAAATTGATGAAATTGTTTTCCCTTAAGAGTAATTTAACTGAATAGTGAGCGGCCAATTGTTAGGATTTGAAAACAATTCAGAAGCTATAGAAATCCTTTTGACTGTAACCTCCCTTACCCAGACCTTGGTCTCATGAGAAAGAAAACTTTCTTAGCTTAGAGTCATAGCAGATAATGCCTCCACTAAAGTTCCCAGTAAGGGCAGATGAATGAATCAACAGGAAGCAGCCAGCAGTGCTTTGTGCTTTGACAAATCCTGGCTTTCAAACTCAGGCCTCTCTCCTATATAGTGGAGAAATCAGATAATATATTGAAGAGGTGATCACAACTTAAATTATCAAGGAGGCGTAGACAGACATTGGGTGCCTCTGGTGCAACATCCTAAGAAGGACATGACGTCACCTAGGTAGTCTTCCAGCAGAACACAGAAAAACTAAATCTAATCATGAGGAAACGTCAGAAAAAAATCAGGAGCATTTTATTTAAAAAATTAGAAGCATTTTATTTAAAAGGGGAGAGAGGCTGGAGGTTTCACAAACGGTGATGTGATAAAAGTCATAGTCACTGAAAAGTTGAGGAACTCTTGCAGATTAAAGAAAATTAAAGAGATATGAAAACTAAATATAATATGTGATCGTAGAGTGGATTCCATATGGAGGGGGAAATGCTATAAAGAACATGATCAGATCATTGAGAAATTGATCTGGCGGGCTCAGGAGTGAAGCCGCAGACCTTCACGGTGAGTGTTACAGCTCATAAAGGCAGTGTGGACCCAAAGAGTGAGCAGCAGCAAGATTTATTGCAAACAGCAAAAGAACAAAGCTTCCACAGTGTGGAAGGGGACCCGAGCCGGTTGCCACTGCTGGCTCTGGCAGCCTGCTTTTATTCTCTTATCTGGCCCCACCCACATCCTGCTGATTGGTCCATTTTACAGAGAGCCGAGTGGTCCGTTTTGACAGGGTGCTGATTGGTGCGTTTACAATCCCTGAGCTAGATTGTATTTTTTGTACAGACAAGGTTTCACCATGTTGGCCAGGATGGTCTTGATCTCCTGACCTTGTGATCCACCTGCCTCGGCCTTCCAAAGTGCTGGGATTACAGGTGTGAGCCACCGTGCTTGGCCTTATAAATTTTTTTAAATGAACTCAGTAATACTATAATAGAGCATTTAGTAAATGTAAATCAATTTCTAAACTTAATAATTAAGCTTCCTTCAAGCCTGTGTCCTTATCCTGGACACCTCATTTCTCTGGGTCCTGGTTTCCTTACAGCAAAATGGAGATAATAAAGCTACTTTAACTTCTTCAAAGGTTTATATGAGATAATATATGCATCATCAGTGCCTACAGAAGCGTAGGGGAAATATATCTATATGGTTGCATGTATATATCAGTATAACTTTTTTACTGTAAGGGACTGAAAACAGAACTCAAAATAGTTTAAAGAGTAAACCATTCATATCTCATTCAACAGGGTGTTCCAAAACAGCACATTGTACAAGAATAAATATGCTAACCATACTCTTCTTCCTCCTTGCCATCTCCTGCCTGTGTTCCCCATTGGTTAAAGCCAACCAGAAGCCAGAGGGCAAGAAATCCATTGACACAGACCATATAGGTCAGCCTTTCAGGGAAAAGCAGGGTGAGAAAAGTGAGTGATGGGTATGAGGACTGAAGAGAAGATATTTGCTGTAAAGTGGTTTCAGCTTGGTTGACTGAATACGTGACTCAATGACATCAAGGTTCTAGATCCTTGCATTAATCAGTTGCCCACAGCTAAACCCTTCCCCCAAAATGGGGGAAAATATTCCTCTCAGTCTGAATGCCCAGTTTAGGTCTCATGCCCAGCCATAATCCAAGGAGTCCTTAGGTGAATGCAATGCTCTGATTGGCTTAAGCCGAGGTGCCAGAATCCATCATAGGCAAGGAAATGGGTGAGTTACCATGATAGGATTAGACTGTAGATTCAACCTCAAGGTCCACAATAAACATAAAGCACCCATCACAATTCCTGGTACAAAATGGTTACTTAATAAATCTTTTTACCCCTCCTTATTTAACAAGGCTCTGCAAAGTACTGTTCTTCATTCTGTGGACATTAAAATGCAATACATGATCTCTTCTTTTAGAGAGTTTACAATCCAGATGAAGAAAAAGAGGAATGTTAACAGAAAAATGTAAAATATAACCTGAGAATACAAGATGGCATGTTAAGTGCCCAACTAGTGGTATAGATATAGAGCATTTAGGATAGTGGTTTCCCAGATATGATCTATTGTGGACTGGTGAACAGAGTAAGTAATTCTAAGGGTTTGGGAATTCAAATGCTCACCCAGGATTGACCGTGGGCGCTAGGCTGTAGAGGCAAAGAATAGCATATACTGTAGTAAAATAAATATGCATCCCAAGCACACACACATGTGCATCTCAGTCATGAAGTGGCCTCTGTGGTCTCTTCTGCAAACTCCATGGCCTATCATCTCTGTCCCTGCCACCCATGATGGTGTGCCAGTGTTTACATCAGCCCACCAGCAGGAACACAGCAGCCATCTCTTCCAGTGGCTCATTCCTACTCATGCATGACTATTACAAATGCTCCTAGGCTCCACTTCCACCAACGGCTTCTGTGGAAGTGTTTAGTATTTGGGGATGCCATCCCCCTACCATCACCAGAGTCTCCCCACGGCTGGTCCTAATCACTGGTGAGCAAGCTTCTTTTTGAGAAATGTATACTCCCATTCATGGCCACAGTATTGGAGTCCTCAGAGCACTCAGGATCTCCTCAGGTTTCCAGCTGCATGTCCACCCATGACCTGTCTGGGGAAGCCTTGAGAAAGAGGCCTGACCCACTTCTGGAGGTCCTAGGCCCATCACAGCCCTAGACTGGGCAGGCTGCAATGAGCTGAAAGCAGTTGGGTTATTTTTACGTCAAAGAGCAAAATATCAAAGAGGAAGTTGAGAGCACTCCACTCTTCACTATCCAAGTCACACCCCAGCTTACCTGATATCCTGTAACAATTTGCCTCGCACCAAGAAGAAAACAAACTTCCAGCAGCTAGCAAAAAATAATAAAATGAAATAAAATATTTTAAAAAATAAAACGATACTAGTATTTGTAAAAATGTTTAGATACAAGCTAAAGTATTACTAAATTCATTGTAGCTTTTTGCTATTATACATTTCACTCAAAATTGAAAAAAGAACAGCCATTGTCATAACACAATATCAAAATGCTTTTGTCCTTATAAGATATCAAACTGGAAAAAGTTGAGTCCCACTGCTTTAAAAGTTCTTAAACTGGAAATGATCATTGCCCTTTTAACCTTTCCCTATGCCGGCATATGATCATATGAGAATCATTTGGGCTGCTTCATTCTCATGAGGCTGCTCTGTGGCCTATCCACCTTATGCTGGAGCTTGTCTTAAATCAAGTACTGAGGAAAGGAAGAGATGGTGGCTTGAAGGAGATATTTTCCCTTAAAAGATTCTGCTGCCACATCCTTCCTGCTCAGCTTCCACCCAGACCACTGGTCTGGCTCACAGAGTATCCCATCTTCTCTCTAGAACACAAAAACACCCTGTCGTATGTCTTGGGTTGGAGACTCACCTTGGCAAGGAACTATTTTCTGCCAACCAATCAAGAGCTATAAGTATAAAGTATCTGGGGAAAAATTTTATTTTCCCTAATTTCACATTCTCAAAAGAGCAAGGTAATGTTTTTCCTGTAGAGACAATATTCTCCCTATTTTATTGTTTCTAGAGGATTTGGAATTAGATAGATTTTTGTCTCAAATCTTGACTGTCACTTACTAGTTGCATGAGCTCAAGCCTTATTTTCCCCATCTGTAAAAATGGGAGATATATATACACACACTTATGATGAAGGATGTGAATTATTTATCTTTATATCATCAAATATATAATAAATACTCAGTAAAGTGTTGAGCACATGAAAGTAGAATAAACACACATATTCCTACATCCCAGCCAAGCTATACCATGCTCTTTTTAAAGTTGTAATAATGAGACCTTGAGTGGCAAATATGGCTGGGGTGGTTTTGAGTGATCCAGAGAAGACGTTCTTTTAGGCCGAAAATCTCCAGCTATTCTGTTCTTGATACACATCTCAAAGAGGTTCATACACAGATCCAAGGGGACGTGTACAAGGATATGCGTTACAGCATTATATGTGGTGGCAACGAGTTAGAACAACCTGGTTGTCTATCAAATAATAATGTGGTAGATAAACACCAGGTCTGTAGCTGTTAGAAACAACAGGTTCAATATACACATGGCAACACATGAATGTATCTCACAACCATGGTGCTTAGGGACAATAAGTAAAACACAAACCCATTTACATACAGTCATGCAAAGCAGCAACGCTCATTTTGCAAGAAAAGCACACTAACAAAAGATTCGCAATAAAAGCATTAGAGAATTTGACTACGGGATAGAGAAAAATGACTAACTGGAATGGAGATAAAAGGAAATAGATAAAGAAGGAAGGGGAGGCAAGAAAGAAAGAAGGGAGGTAGGGAGGGAAGCAGATCCTTTGCTCTCAACAATGATTATTATGTGCCATGAACTGTGGACTGAAAGGTATAATTAATTGTTCCTTCTGCATTTAGGTCAGAAAAGAAGAAAGAAAGAAAAAGAAAGTAAGCCTGTGGAATAGTTCTCAAATATTTTCCCTTCCCTCACAGAGGTCCAATAGACTTCCATCAGGACCCTGATCCTCCAGGGCCTGGAGGAGAGGAGAACAGGAGGAAGGTGCGGGTTCTAGGGTTCTAGAGCAGAGATTCTCAACATTGTGCTCTGAGAACCACCTGTATCAGGTACACTGGAGGCTCTGGTTTATGTGCAGGTTAATGAGTGCCATCCCAAACCTACAAATCAGAACCTCTGGAGGAGAGGCCTGGGAATGCATTTTGACAAACTCCTTAGAAGATTCTCTGTCACCTGAAGTTTGAGGACCACTGCTGTAGAAGTATACCTCATTCATCTACTTAAATCAGACTGAGTCTTTTCTTAAGCTGAATTCAGATACATATCTTTCTGCCCATTTTTTGCTTTTATTATTATTTTTCATTGACACAATAATTGCACATATTAATGGAGTTCAGTGTAATATTTCAATACATGTATACAATGTGTAATGATCAAATCAGGCAAATTACCATATTCATCATCTTAAACACCTGTCATTCATTTGTGTTGGGAACATTCAAAATCTGCTCTTCTAGGTATTTAAAAATATACAGTAAATTATTATTAATTATATTCACTACAGAACACTAGCGCTACAGCGCTATAGAACACTAGAACTTATTCCTTCTATATAGCTATAATTGCTTTCTGTTAACCAACCTCTGGCTATGTGCCCCACGCCCCTTCCCTAGTAACCACAATTCTACTCTCTACTTCTCCGAAATCAACTTTTTTAGCTCCCACATATGAGTGAGAACATGCGGTACTTGTCTTTCTGTGCCTGGCTTATTTCACTTAACATAATGTCCCCCAAGCACATCCATGTTGCCAGATACATTTTTATAAACTGATTTGTGTTGCCTAGCTTCAGGCTGCGAACCTCTCAAGTAAGTAGTCATAGAAGCCATCTCCTTTCATTTTTTAACTTATTTGTGTCAGGCAAGATGGAAAAAAGAGGAAAAATCAGGCTTCTTGATCAGATGTTATAAAAACAGTGTACCATTCCTTTATACACAAAAGTAAAAAGCAAATTCAAGAAATTAGTTTGCATTGGCACTTCTTGGGTGCTTTAAATCACTTGACAATGGGAACTGAACATCAGTGAGCTGGTATCTGCTATAATTACACCTACTGTTGCATGTTATTTCTTCTTCCATGGAACATATGGCAACTTTCCAGAAACTTTGTTCTGTTATTATACTGTAATATTCTTCAATGCAGGGGGAAAGAGTATTTTTAAATTTTTTCCCTTTCCTTTGAAATTATTTCCCATGCCTTTCATGGACCTTGGTAATGTTCCAAAACTTTTCTAATCAATAAAACATTGTAAGCTGTCAGAATGGATTTTCTTCGCTAGAATTTATATGGCACTACACATTTAATATCTGTTCTACATAAATCGTTTTTTGGCATTATTTTCTTGTTTCTTGAGAGTCTTTTTTTTCCAGACCTATTGAATTATCTCCAATTTTAAAGGCTTTATTAAAGTAGCTCTAGAGTTCCATTTCCGGAAACACTGAACAGCAAAATCTTTTTGACAATTTGCTATCATGTTACTTAGAGACTGAGACTCATTCCATTTGCAAAGTGTCTAAAAAGAGGGTATTAGACATTTGAGGAGGATGAACTGCTTTGATCAAACTGGTTAGTACATTCAGTCATATAACCATTGAATTCTGGTAGCAAGCTTGATGATTGGGGAATTGTTTTTTGTTCCTTTAGTATATTGAGTGGTTGCCTTAATGAATTTACGAAAACACTGGGGTTTTTTTTGGTTGCTTGTTTTTTGTTATTGCCTCATTGTAGTCCATAACCATAAAAATAACCTCTTATTGAACACAAAAATGAAGCTTAACATTGAACAGTAATGGCAACTCAATAATAAAGCAAATTAAAATGGAAAAAATCTACTCTGATATGTACCAAATAAAATATTATTCTTTATCTAATGTCTTCTTAGCTGTGCAATTACAATTATGATTCAAGTTCTATACTGTGATATTTCAGCATTATAATAGTTTTGTGTTTTATTGTTTTTTTTTCAAGAACATACGTTGAAAAATATATGCAGAATTACATATATTATTTGCATTTATTAATACTGACCAACCAGTGGGAAGATATGGTAATGGATATGTACTGAAGTTTAAACCACTTACCTTTGTGCTATTCCTGTATTGTAATATGGAAATGAAAAAAAAGGAAATAAATGTTAAAGACTATGTGATGGCCTAAGAATAATAGAGACCAGCCAGGTCAGTGCTCATGAGTGAGTGAAAATATTGGTATTTTGCAAGATGATTCTTTCTGTTAATTTGTTTCTAGGGCTAAATGGCACTATATAAATACATTGAAGTTAGAATGCTGACAGAGTGAAAATGTTTTGCTTTCTGAGAATGCCACAGACTATTTCTGAAACATTTAAACTTTGGCATTAACTAAATACATTTTCCAAGCACCTTTCTTCTATTTGAAAATATGACTACATATAGTCCGTATGTTTCTGATTCATTTGCAACTAATTTATCAAAATTGGCAAGACTTATTTGCTAACCACAAGGTCTAGGAAGCCAGTTTTTTATGTGTGTGTTTTTTTAAAGGTATTCTTAAATTTTCCATTTGGACCACTCAGTTAATTCAGAGGAGATTCAAACTCTGATTATGAGAGTTTCTTAAAAAACAGAGAAGCTGTTGAGTGTTTCCTTTCACTCTATTTTTTCTATCTGATCTATTTTGCCAACCTGAGAGACCCTTTTTTCCTTTAGATGCCCTATTCTCAAGGTAAGTGGAACATGTTCATTGATAATATTAGTAATAACAAATTCAAAAAATATTTATTCTGGATAATGCTTCCATTCCCCATGGATCTTATATTCTAACAGAAAAAAAGTTATTATTAATAGAAGTCAACTGGCTGGGCATGGTGGCAGACGCCTGTAATCCCAGAACTTTGGGATGCCGAGGCAGGTGGATCCCTTGAGGTCAGGAGTTCAAGACCAGCCTGATCAACATGGCGAAACCCCATCTCTACTAAAAATACAAAATTAGCTGGGCATGGTGGCGCATGACTGTAATCTCAGCTACTCGGGATGCTGAGGCAGGAGTTTTGCTTGAACCTGGGAAGTGGAGGTTGCAGTGAGCCAAGATCATGCCATTGCACTCCAGTGTGGGCAACAAGAGCAAAACTCCATCTCAAAAAAAAAAAAAACAAACAAAAAAAAACAGAAAAAAAAAGAAGTCAACTGTATAATACATTCAGTGCATTTACTTTTAGTTTCTTTCATACTTAACTGACACTGTGTTTCAGGACACGTCTTTTACGTAAACTTTCCCCTGAAGACCCAATACAGAGACCGAACCTGCACATTAGCAATTAAACACTTGAATATCTACACATCAATCTATCTGTTAATTAATCAGTTAAATATTGCAGTTGTATTTCTCGTATTATCCAATCTCCCAAATGCACCTAATCATAAACTTACCTGGGCATTTATTTAACACACAGAATCCCAGGTCCCTGCTCTGGAGGCTGGGGACTGTGCATGTTTAAATAATACCTCAAAGTAATTCTTAGCAATCTGGAACCCATAGACACCGTGCTGGCTAATTATACTTTCTGTTACACAGAGTTCTCATATGACCCTGATTTCAGGTCATTTTCATCTTTTCAACAATGATAATGTTTTCAATGTGCAATTATATGTGACAACATTTAAACATCATAAGACCTTTCCTGCTAATATATTTACCAACAGAAAAATTTTCTGTCACACTACTTGTCATAATTTTTCCTTCAGAAAAAGGATCTTTATAATATTAAGTGTGGTCTCTTTCCTTAAGAAGATTGAATGTGCTGTTTAGAAAGGAGACAGCAAATGATGGTGACAGCCACAACCTATTTTTGGGAATTTTGGGGCAGGTCATTTAATCTATTTGAAGTTTATCTGGATTTTAAGGAAAATATCAAAATTGGAAATAAGTTTTATATTATTTGAAGGCAAAGCAACTCTTTATGTCATTGCTTTGATTTTTTTTGTCAAAATATTTTATTTTTATTTTAGGTTACACCACAAAAAGGGTTAAATGTATATATTTACATTTATGAAATGGAGCATGGATTAAAACAGATTGAAAAGTATTAGTTTAAAAGGTGTATTCATTTTCTATCGTCATAGCTAATTACCACAAATGTTAATTAATGTTAACAAATGTTAATTAATCAGTTAAATATTTCAAAGAACACACACTTATAGTTTCTGTGAGTCAGAAATCTGGGCACAATTTAGTTGGGTCTTCTGGTCAAATACTAACCAAAACCTCAATGAGATCTCATAAGGCTGCATACAATGTATTGGTTTGATTTGAAGACTTGGCTAGGGAAGAATCTACTTCCAAGCTCATTCCGGTTGTTGGGATAATTACTTTCTTTGTGGTTGTGTGACTGAGAAGTCCTTGCTTCTTATTGGCTGTCAGCTGAAGACTGCCTACAGTTCCCAGCCCTCTCAATAGGCAGCTCATACCATGGCTGTTTGCTTCTTCAAGATCAGCAGGAGAATATCTCTCTCCAGTCCACTAAGACAGGGTCTTACATAACAAGACAATTACAGGGGTGCTATCCCATCACCTCTGCTATATCGTATTGGTTAAAGGCAGATCTCAGTTTCCATCACTCAAGGGGAAGGCACGATATACTAGGGCTGTGAATCATTAGCGATGACCCTAGGGCATAATTGGACTTCATCAAAATAAAAACTTTGGTGCCTCAGAGGACACTACCAAGAAAGCAAAAAGACAGCCTACAAAATGGGAGACAACATTTACAAATCTTGCGTCTGATAAGTCCTTTATATAGTCTACTTTCTAGAATATATAAAGGACTCGTCCAACTCAAAAACAAAAAGACAATCCAGTTGAAAATGGGCAGAGAATGTGAATAAACAGTTCTCCAGAGAAGATATACAAATGGCCAATGAACACATGAAAAGATACTCAGCATCATTAGTCATTAGAGAAATGCTACTCAAAACCTCGATGAGATACCACTTTACACCCACTAGGATGCCTACAATAAAAAAGACAGACAAAACAAGTGTTAATGAGGATGTGGAGTTGGAACCCTTATATAGTACTGGACTCCCTCCTTGGTCAAACTTTAGCCAGCCTCCTCTTAGGCCTCTTCTCTATTAGGCATTATTGTTAACCTGCTCTCCTTGCTGTGCTGAGCCCGCTTTAGCAAAAATTGTGCCAAGCCAGTTTAACTAGAATCACGCACCCTTGGTGTCCAACCAGGTTCCTCTTGGTACTCTTCCATCCACAGACTCCCTCACTCTGCCCATTGCTATAAATCTCCAGCTGCCCCTGTTGTACTCAAAGTTCAGTTCAATTTCTCTTATTGCAATAGTCTTGAATAAAGCATTTCTTGCCTGTTTAATTCTATTCAATGCAATAGATTTATCATTGCATTACAAATGCATTTTTACCATCTAATATAATTTTTTGTAACGCTAGTGAGAATTTTAAATCAAACAGCTACTTTAGAAAGCAGTTTAGCACTTTCTCAAGTGGTTAAACATAGAGTTACTCAGCAATTCCACTCTTACGTATATACTCAAGAGAATTGAAAACATATGTTCACACAAAAACTTGCATGTGAATATTCATAGAATAATTATTCATAATAGCCAAAAAGTGAAAACAACTCAAATCAACTAATGAATGGATAATCAAAATGTCCATAAATAACCATAAATGGAATATTATTCATCCATAAAAATAAATAGTACTGATATATGCTAAAACATGGATGACTATGAAAACATTATGGTTAGTGAAAGAAGCCAGACATAAAAGGCCATATATTGTATAATTCCATTTCTATGAAATGCCCAGAAGAGGATAATCCATAGAGACAGATAAGAAATTGGTGGTTGGCAGAGCTGGGGGAAGACAGAAATTGAGAGGCACTGCTCAGGGGTATTATAATAGATTTATTTTTGCGGTGATGACAATGTTCTGGAATTAGATAGTGGTGATAGTTACATGACCTTGTGAATACACTGAAGGCCCCAGCATTTTACACTTTAAGAGTGAGAATTTTATGGTATGTGAATTTTATTTTAATCTGTTAGAAGTGTAGGGGCCAAGGGAAAACTTTCTTTTTACCCTCTGAAGTTTCACTGAAAATCAACTGAAAGATGGCATATTCATAAGAGAAGACATACCAAATTTGTTAATGTGCACCGAAGAGTCATACAAAATAGGAAAACACAAAGAGAGGGCCAGATGGTTGATACTTTTATATCATCTTGAAGTTACAGAAAGAACAGGGGCTTGGAGCATGGCAAGGCAAGTTATGGGAGGAAGAGAGAAAAAAGTCATGGGGCAAAGGCAGTCTTGCGATGCAGATGAAACCTCACATGTAGCAGCTCTCAGAAAGAATAGACAGTAGCCTGCGGTTGAGTTAACCTTTTCAAGATCTGGATGCACCAATGCAGATTTTCTCTACAGATGCAAATCTCCTCCCTGCAAAAGTATCTTTTTAGCTATTCTGTGTTTCTTGCCACTGTGAATAGTTATCTTGAAATATGTCAAAGAAGTATATTTTGGGGTAAAATATTTTGGGGTGGTTCATTTAAAAGTATACAAAAAAAAAAAAAAAACAGTGAAAAGGCATCATTTTCTAAGTGAACTTACTCCATTGTATGTTTGTGTGGTGTGTGACTTTTAAAGATTAATTTTAATTATAATGCTAAAATATAGAATAAGAAGTGTTAATATTTCTAAACAAGTACAACATCAAAGTTAGTTATCTTTGCTCAAGCACTAAACCTAACATTGCAGTAAGCTTTTAAGGATTCATCATTCCCAAATAGTCAATAGTAAAGGGAACAGTAACTAATGTGTAATGAATAAAGCAGTTCTGTAGCACATTGTCAAATATATATGTATTTTCTCAGGTATATAACTTATCTCTCTTGTGCTTCTCAGAAGGTTTGTGTTATCCAGTGGGGAAGGAGGCAGGGTGGAAGGAGCAGAGAGGGGAAGAGAGGAAAAAAGAAAAGAAGAGGAGAAGAAATAGTCATTAAAGCTCATCCCTGATTTCTACCTTAGGGCTTTCAAGATATTGCTGTTTTTCTCCAGCACCTAATTGAGATTAAGCATTTAGGCTGCAAAGCATTCTGTAAATTATTTTGCAATATTAATTTGTACTGGTTGAGCTGCATATCCAAGAGTTGGGAAGGAGACCACAAAACCCAGAGAGAAATAAACTGCTTTGCACAAGAAAGAAACAGGAAATTCATGGGTGAGGGGCACACAGTTAAAAACAGCTTAAAGAGAAGAGGGAGAACCTATGGAATAAGCAGAATCCTGGTAAAATAGTGAAACATCTGGCTCTGCCTGAGGTATTGGAAAGCAGAGGGACTTTTTATTAATGTAAATACCTAATGTAAGTTTAAATCACTTGCTGAGTGGTACTACAATTAACATCACTTTGGCAGACTTCAAAAACAAGTGATGTTATTTTGCAATACTAATATTATAATCATGAAGTTTAAACCACTTATATCTTTATAAGAAGACTAAAAAACAAAACTGTGAAAAATAATAGCTACAACAATTTGTTAAGAGACAGGCCATACAAAAATGCAAATTGTGACATCAAAAATTCAAAATGTTGGGGAGAAGGCAGTTAATGTGTGCAGTTTTTTGTTTGTTTGTCTCTTTTTTTGCAATCAAAGTTAAATTCTCCCATTAAAAGACAGAGTGGCCGAATGTATTAAAAAACAACAGCCAATTATATGCTGCCTACAAGAAACTCACTTCACCTACAAAGACATACATAGATTGAAAGTGAAGGGATAGAAAAAGAAATAAATCAAAGGCAAGTTATTTGCTTCCAAGATTCAATGATGGAACAGACATTGGTAAATATTCCCATTCCAAAAGGAAAAAATCAGCCAAAATGGTGGGTAACAGGGCCCACGCAAGTATGGAACCCAGCAGAGCAAATATTACAGTTTAAAACTCTAAAATAATCCCTCTTGACTGCACATTCTGTATCCAGGGCACACTGGTGAGAAGAGTGGGCACCCAAGGCCTTGAGCAGCCCTGTTTCCATGGCTTTGCTAGATGCAGCCTACATGGTAGTTCTCACAGGTTGGAGTTAAATGCCTTTGGCTTTTCCAGACTGAAGGTGCACATTGCCAGTGGCTATATAACTCTGGGGTTTGGAAGGTAGTGGTCCCGCTCCCACAACTTCACTAGACAGTTCCCCAGTGGGATTCTGCGAGGGCTCCAATCCCATATTTCTGCTCAGCATTGTCCTAGTAGTCTTGCCATGGGGACTCTCCACCAGAGTAGTCTCTCTTGTGGTAGTCTTCTGCCTGAGCACCCAGGCTTTCTGCTATATCCTCTGAAATCTAGGTGGCAGGTGCCAATTCTCCACCACCACTCCTGCATTCTGCACACCTACAGACCTAACACAACATGGAAGCTGCCAAGGCTTATGGCTTGTGCCCTTTGTAGCAGTGGCTCCAGTGGTACCTGGGGCTATTTGAGCTGTGTCTGGAGGCAGAGTGGCCAGGATGAGGAGAGCAGAATGCCCAGGTGGCAAAGGATGGCAGCACCCTGGGCCTGGCCCTTGAAACCATTCTGTCTTCCTAGGCCTCTGGGCCTGTGATGGGAGGCTCAGCCTTGAAATTTTCAGAAATGCTTTTGGGAACTTTTCCCCATTGTCTTGACTATTAGCACCTGCCTGCCTTATATCTCTGCTAATCTCTCTAGCAAGTGCTTGCTTCCCAATACCCTAGGACTTCTATCTTGAAAATGCTCTTTTCTCCTCTAACACATGGCCAGGATGTGAATTTTCTGAATTTTTCCACTCTGTTTGCTTTTTCTCTACCAGTTTACCATAAGCAGTTAGAAGTAACCACACAGCAGCCTGAGCGCTTTGCTGCTCAGAAATGTCTTCTGTCAGATACTTTAGTCATCAATCTTAAGTTCAGCCTTCCACAAAGCCCTAGGGCATGCACACAATGTAGTCAAGTTCTTCGCTAGATGTAAAAAGGGTGATAGCTGCAGTTCCCAGTAAGTTCCTCATTTCCATTTGAGACCTCATCAACGGCCTTTCCTGACCGTATTTCTATAAGCATTTTGATCACAACCACTTAACTAATCTCTAAAAAGTTCCAAACTTTCTCTCAAATTCTTATCTTTTTCTGAGCCCTCCAAATTCTTCCCATCTCTACCCATTACCCAGTTCAAAAGCCTCTTCTGCATTTTCAGGTATCTTTAGTGTAACACTCCACCTCTGGATACCAATTTTTTGTCTTAGTCTGTGTTGCTGTAAAGGAATACCTGAGACTGGGTAATTTATAAAGAAAAGAGGTTTATTTAGCTCACAGTTCTGCAGGCTGCACAAGAAGCATGGTGAGAACATCTGCTTCTGATGAGGGCCTCAAGAAGCTTCCAATCATGGTGGAAAGTGAAGGGGAGCCAACATGTGCAGATCACATGGTGAGAGAGGAGGCAAGTGAGAGGAGGAGGTGCCAGGCTGTTTTCAACAACCATTTCTCAGGGGAACTCTCATGGAAACTAATATAGTGAGAGCTCAGTACCACAAGGATGACACCATGCCATTCATGAGGGATCTACCCCCATGACCCAAACATTCCCATTAGGCTCTACCTCTAACTTTGGCATCAAATTTTAACATGCAGTCTGAAGGGTCAAATATCCAAACTATAGTCAGATAGATCAATAGATGAAAAAATTGGAAAATGGCCTAATAGCAAAGTTGTAATTTCATATTGTAAGCAATAGATGAGGGTAGCAGGTGGGGAGTGCATCTTGTCTTAGTCTGCTCAGGCTGCCATAACAAAATAGCAAACACCAGTATTTTTTACTTAAACAACAGATATTTATTTCTCACAGTTTTGGAGGCTGGGAAATCTGAGATCAAGGTGCTGATAAATTTGATTCTTGGTGAGGGTCCAATTCCTGGCTTGCACATGGTAATCTTCTCA